>NC_000004.12:185285017-185588047 GCF_000001405.40 Homo sapiens | reverse complement strand
CAGCCTCGCCTTGATCCCTCACCCCCGACTCTGGTGTGGCAGCCTCAGTGACTGAGCTCCTCCGCCCCCCTCCTCAGCAGGGCTGACTTTCCCTTTAGCTTGGGAGGCTCAGCATTTCTGTTTAGCCTGCCGCGATGGCAGCGCAGCATTTATGCCGGAGGGGCAGTGAGAGCGTCAGGCAACCAGCTAACACTGCTTATTTTGTCTGCCTATGGGCTTCATGTGAGTTGCCTGCCTTCTTTTCCAAACCCCTCGGGGCTTGCTGTCTTCCGAGGCCTTGTAAATGGGAAGTATTCAAGCCCATGTGTATGAACTGATATCGTTGTCACCCCCCTTTCATGACTCGCTTCTATTTTCAGGGACCTCAAGAAGAACCAAATTCTTTGGTACTTTCCCCGGAAACTACGTCAAGAGGCTGTGAATTGCGCTCCCTCCTTCTGTAGAGGCCGCCTGCCAGCCATGCACCTGCGTCAACGCGCCTGAAACACCCCGCGGGCCTCCCGTTGTCATGCCTTACGGTTTCCAATGCGCCGTCACCATCTCCACCTGCCACCAAACCACCAGCAGAGTAGCCGCCGCTGCTGTGAGCCTGGGGACGACATGGCAGGCTGGTCCCCCTCCGTGAAAGTGTGGATTCCTACTTCCTGCTCTAAGCTTTGACACGTCAAAATGTGGGATCAGAAAGAAAAAAATCATGATATTTAAAAATGGTCAAATATTTGAGGCAAAAAAAAAAAAAAAAAGTGTCTCCAGGAGGCTGTCCAGCCTCGTGGCTCCATTTCAACATCTCCCCCCAGGCGATGTTCTCCCCCAAGACGACCAGAAAATTGTTTATTGGGGAATGCTGTGGTTTGCATTTTCATATTCTTCGCTTGGCAGTGTGTATTCTTTTCACAAGTTTGCCTAGTGTCTTGGTTTACACAATATGACAACTGTAACTGTACTTTAGCTATTGTTTGCCTGCACATACATGTTGTAATATGCACAGTGATTACAACCTTTAAAGCAAGAGGAGGCGAGTTAATTTGGATGAGTGTGATTTTGCTGATTGAATGTGAGTTTTCAAATAGGAGTCTTTTTCTGCAATTTGTTTGCATTTTTTAGAAGTGCAAACAGTAAGTAAATAAAAGCCTTCGGTAATAATCATGACAATACAAGAGGCTGAGCTAGGCTACAGGGGAAAACTATTGTGTTGTAAAGTTGCATCGCTATTTTATATTAAAATGTAATGATCAGCATCATGAACAATGAGCTCTTAGTGTTTTATTTATCTGAAAAAATGTAAGTAAAAGCAGTGTTAGTGAGAGGTGCAAAGAATTATTCTAACAGACACCTGAAAGTATCTGTAAGCAATACTAGTAGGTAAGATTTCACTGTGTGTACACATACACATTTGAGATTGTATGAGAACATATAATCCATATGATATGTTGTACATTTTATGGAAATGTAATAGAATCTCACACATTATTTTATAGAAATAGAGTACAGAAGCATCACAAGTATTAAAGTTGGTTTTAGCAAGGATTAGGATTACTACAATTATTTTTACTATAATAATTATTTTTCTTCTATGGAACTCAGAATCCTGGCTACATTTGAGGACAGGAATATGTTGAGCCTGATTTTCCTGGTGTGTGTAAAATATTTCCTAGGAATAAATTAGGCACTTTTTAGAAGCAATGTTAAATCATTCAGGTTTTATTTTCTGCCCTGAAGCAGAAATTTAAAAAATGATATTGGGACCTGGAAGGTTTAATATGGTTCACAGTGCCTGAATTACACCTGCTCCGAAAACTAGCTTTGTATTTCTTATGACTTTGCATAAGAACTGTTCATCTTTGGATCTTGAGCACCTTACAGATAAAACTTTTTATGGCATCTCTTTCATGGACAGTGATATTGATCTTTTCACAATGTACGTAGCCTCTAGAATTTTGTACATATGTTTGCTCTTTTTTTGTACAGACTAGTTGTTGAGAAAACAGGGGCGTTTCCTAATTTGGTCTTTATCCTGCGACAACACTTTCAGCAGACTAGCCTCTCCTTATCTCACAGATCACAAGCACCCCTAGATAGTGTGATTCTGTCAGATAGCATTTATGCAAAAATCTATGAAGTTAAAAGATCGTAGAAGCCAAATGAAATGTACATATCTACTGACTGATGACAAGGGAATTTCATTAGGAAGAAGGTAAAGAAACATCGTTGAGTAGCCTACCTTGATTTCTGTCAAGTTCATAACCAGCTTCATATTTTAAAGGCTTCAGGTTTGAAATTAAGTCAACTGCATGCAGCTTTGCTGATAAATGAATAATTCTCTTTGATGCCATTTATGAGAAAAGACTTCAATATCTGTTGCCTGTCATATTTAAGAAAAATTACTGTTTCTACTCTCTGTATCTGATTTTAAAAGAAAAAACTATTCATACCTGGCTTCCAGGTAATTGACTTTGAATTCTTACAAGCAAAGGTCATTGTGTTTTTCTTGAATAGACATCTAATAAATTTTGCTTGGAAGTATACTTCAGTTTTTCTTCTTGACATTTATCTTTATAAAAATTGTGTATTTTATTCCAACTTGTTAAACTAAGAGAAAATGCATTTTGTTGTGTGTTCTTTTAACACAAACATGGAGAAAAGCTGTGTCAGCATCAGCTCAGAGAAGAAATATTTTTAAACCCACCACCAAAGCTCATTTGCTAAACGTTCTTTGGCTAAAAATTGCCCTTCAGTTAAAACAATACATTGTAAAATATTTCTGCCTCAAAACAGCTAGTTTTCCAAGGAGGGGTTAGTTACAAGGAGTTGTAAGCACTTTCCCAGTTCAACACTCTGAAATTTTAAAATCTTTGCCCTAAGCAGCTTCAGCACCATTGGCTCGGCAGCTTCTGCAAATGTCCACAGGCTTTCAGTGAATTTCAAATGATGGGTGGCGGTGGGGTCCCCGCTTTCTGCCACACAAATGGGAAAGAGCCAGCTTGCCTGCTTGGATCTTTTCTCATATACCTTAGTCCCTTCTTGCTCTATGTGTTTTGACCCTTTTCCATATCTATCTCTTAAATATTCAGAAATACGGACATTCCTCTTTTGCCAACTCGGTTATCAAAGATGTCTTGTCACGTTGCTTCCCCTTAACACCCACTCTGGTGCCTTCTATGCCATAGGATAATTCCCACTCTATATTAGCATTCTGCTAAAATGTAATCCCTTTGGGTGAAGAATATACCCCATAATAGTCTTTTGGTCTTGTTTTCATCTGAGTGTGTAAGGGTCATATAACTAGATCCATCTGACCTGTCCATCCAGGTGGGTGGAAGGGCGGAAGGAAGGGACCCTCTGATACTTACATGCCAGATCTTCATCCCTCCTTTAGCTGCATCATCACTAAAGACAAGCAAGTCCTTTTCTTACTTGATTCGATGCAGAAATAACCTATTTGAGTAACTTTTCACAATCATCCACTGCCTGATCTCTCATAGTAGGTGGTTGGTTTGTGTGGCCTGATCATTTCTTCCTGCTGTTTTCCAGATTTTAGCCACAAAGAAAGATATTATTTAAAGAATTATCTGATCACGGCCGGGTGCAGTGGCTTATGCCTGTAATCCCAGCACTTTGGGAGGCCGAGGCGGGCAGATCACCTGAGGTGGGGAGTTCGAGGCCAGCCTAACTAATATGGTGAAACCTGGTCTCTACTAAAAATACGAAAATTAGCTGGGCATGGTGGCGCGCGCCTGTAATGCCAGATACTCAGGAGGCCGAGGCAGGAGAATCGCTTGAACCCAGGAAGCAGAGGTTGCAGTGAGCTGAGATCACGTCATTGCACTCCAGCCTGGGCAACAGAGAGAGACCCTGTCTCAAAAAAAAAAAAAAAAAAAAAAAAGCCACACACAATTATTTGATCAAATAAGACTAAGTATCCTGTCAGCTTCCAGTGCCTGTTTATTTAATTAATTATTTCATCCCCCTCTGCAGATGGTAGCTCTCTAACAGTTCATTCATCACTTATGATTTCAGATTATTTACTCACCATTAATGATTACAGTTAGAATACAAGCAGAGATTGGTGCTATTAATAAGCTGTCCATAGCAGAGATTTCCAAACTGTGGCCTGTGGACAAAATTCAGCTCACGGCCTGCTCCTGCATGGCCTGCAAATTAAGAATGGTTTGTACAGATGAACACTGGCAATCCCCTTGATAAGAGGGAACTCTAACTTTGAACCTCAGTTAAGTAAAACGCTATCTCCCCAGAAAAGGGTTCTTTTCTTTTCATTAGTAGATCTATGTTAGAAAAAAAACTGTGCTCTATTTGTATTATTATATTCCTAAATCAGTAACAATTGGTGGAAATGTGTTTTCTCTTTATTATGTAAGAAAGAACGTACATAATATCCTTAATTTTGCCTCCTAGCTCACAAAACCTAGAGCATTTACTCTCTGTTTCTTTAGAGGAAACGTTTGTGAACGCTTGCCTGTGCCGATTGGTAGCAACACACCTGGAAACTGGAAACTGACCCGAGGGAAAGAAATAGCGAACACCTGCTGTACACCAGGCTGTTCCTCACATGCGTTCCTTATCTTTATGCTCACAAGAAATCTGACAGGAAGTCTGCTTTGTGCCCATTTTAGAGATGAGGGAGCTGAGGCTCTGGGAAGTTAAATAACTTATCCAGACATGTAAGGTATTATACATAATATTTGATTGAAATCGGATTGAGAATCTCACGTGTCTATCTCCCAAGCCTGTCATCTTTCTTCCAAACCATGTAAGCTTGGTGCTAAACACATTGTGGATGAAGCTGTGCACTCAGGGTTGAGCAGCTGCACCCATCCACCTCCTTCCCTCTCCACCATTCTCACAAGCAGGGCTGACATGAACAGACACCCCCTCATAGCAGCATCTTACTGTGCACAGGATGAAGAGAAAGAGGTGTACCCATCAGCACAAATTGTTTCCCTGAAGAAAGCTGAGTTTGGTTTCTAAAAGGACACTAACCAGTGAGAATATACTTTCAATGACTGACATGTTTTGACTGAGCACAAGCCTGTCTGTGAGTTGAATCAATGGGAGACAGGCGAGCCCAGCGTGCTCTAGGAATGCTGCGTGCTTGCCGGACAGCTCTTAAGCATACAAAGCCCCAAGATACACCAGCCATTTTCTGCTGGATGACTCTAAGTGACCTGAGCCTGAGCTCACTGCTAAATTCAGCCCCTCCACAGGTCAGGACAGTTCCATCTGAGCTCATGCACATGCATATAATCTTGACCCAAAAAACGTTCAGTACAAGACAGAAATCTGCCTAGTAAATCTTCACCTGTTCATTTGGGGTTTCTTGTTTCATTCTTTCCCCTAAAATACTATGGGTGACTCAGTTGTCCCTGTGTCTTCCAAAAATAAGTGTCATTTCCAATACAACTCTTGTTACCATTAACAACACCAGGGGGTACGTGCTGAATCTTGCACTGATTTCACAGGGAGCTTGAGAATAATTTTTTCAAGCATTTTTTTTCTTTTTCAATTCCACAAGCAATAGATGCTTATTGTAGGAAAAATTAAAAAGCTATAAAGGAACAAAAAGAAGAAACAGGTTCACTAAGAGTTCCATGTAGGGTATGGATTTGAGTGTGGAACATATTCTCCTGAGTGTTTCTCTATACATGTGGATTTGTTGGGGGCAGTGGGCAGTGTAGGGAAAAATGGGATCACACTGAACATACTGGGTAGTTTTTTGTTTTTTTTTTTCAGCGTCTCACTCTGTCACCCAGGCTGGAGTGCAGGGGTGCGATTTCGGCTCACTGCAACCTCCGACTCCAAGGTTCAAGCGATTCTCCTGCCTCAACCTCCCAAGTAGCTGGGATTACAGGTAAAAGCCACTGCGCCCAGCTAATTTCTGTATTGCTAGTAGAGACAGGGTTTCTCCATGTTGGCCAGGCTGCTCTTGAACTCCTGACGTCAGGTGATCCAACCGCCTTGGCCTCCCAAAGTGCTGGGATTGCAGGCATGAGCCACTGCGCCTGGCCTGAACATACTGTTTTATAATCTGCACTTACCTTTGAGCAGGACTCTGAAATAAAGTGAATAAATCATGTTTTCAAGTCAATTTGACATTAGCGAGGTCTATGAAAAAAAGGAGAAAAAGTCTAAGTCAATCCTCAGGATTCATGAAAATACAATGAACTCAAAACCTCAAAGCAAGAATTACAAAATTACCACCAGGTTAGAAAATCTATTGTAATCTGAGGAATTGGTAGAGGAAGGAAAGGCGAAATGAAGAGAGAAAAGAAAATAATACTTATAATCTTCCTACTATAGGCCATCACAGGTTTTAAAAGCACCTGTACAGTGAAGGGATGGCTAAAGGAAGAGAGAGATTAAACTGAGAAATGAATGTGTGGATTGCAGTTGGATGTAACATCCAAACCATCCTGGAGGTTTGTTTCAATTTTTTGAATCAAAATTGATGGAACAGATCATTTACTTTGAAATTAGACATAGTTCAAAAAAGTTAGATTGAACATATTTTTATAATGTACTAGCGCAGGGCTTCTTCCCTGTGGGTGACTTTGTCACTCCTCCAGGGGACATTTGGCAATATACAAGCACTTCTCAGGGGTGCTACTGGTATCTAGTGCATAGAGACCAGAGACACTGCTGGACCCACAATACACAGGCCAGCCCTCACAACTAAGAATTATCCAGCCCAAATTGCCTATAGTGTTGAGGTCAGAAGCCCTGCCCTAGGGTAACTCATACTACTTAGGAGAATCATCTTGTAAATCATTGTAAAGGATTTTTTTTTTAATCCGGAATTAAAAGGCTGAGAGTCACAGTCCTAATGGTCTCATCTTCTGCCCTATGACTGTCAGATCTAGGCCCTTTGTAGAAAGCAGTTTCTCCTCCCAAACTCTGGAGATAAAGCCAGAATGCACCTAGGAAGGAGTCAAACAATCCCTGAGGTGGACTGAAGCACAAGGTAGACGAGTGCCTAGAGATAAACAAGGATCTCTGTAGAATGTCTCTGGGCAAAGCAGTCATTGTAAAAATATCTCTACTGAGGCTCAGATCAGCCCAGAGCAGGGAGGCCATTCCCTCCCGGATGATCTCAGAGGCGATGATGTCATCAGCAAAAGCCAGGTGTGTGAAGCAAAGCAAGCTCAGTTATTAGTGAGCTGTCGCAGGCCACGTGGGTAGGGTAGAAAGATTCCTTTGCTTTCCAGAAGGTACGCAGACTTCAGGGCACCGATGACGAGGCCAGCCTGGGCTCAGAGTGGGAGCCTCGGTGAGGCTGCGCCATCAGGCTTTGCTCGGGGAATCCCATTGTGCCCTCTAATCACCCACATCGTCTGCAATGTGAGTGATGCCCATGTCCCTAGTGAAGAAAAGATGGGCGTATTCTCATCTCTAGTCCATACTAATAGTAACCATGTGTTTAAACACAAAACCAGGGGTCAGTCCTTGTTAGGGGCTGAATTGTGTCCCCATCCCCTTAAGTTCATACATTGAGTTCTAAACCCCAGAACCTCAGAATGTATTTGGAATAGGGCATTTAAAAAGGTAATTAAGGTAAAATGAGGTCATCTGAGTGGGCTCTAATCTAATATAACTGGAATCCTTATAAAAAGAAGTGATTGGGCCAGGCGCAGTGGCTCATGCCTGTAATTCCAGCACTTTGGGAGGCTGAGGCGGGCGGATCACGAGGTCAGGAGATCAAGACCATCCCGGCTAAGGCGGTGAAACCCCGTCTCTACTAAAAATACAAAAATTAGCTGGGCGTGGTGGCGGGTGCCTGTAGTCCTAGCTATTCAGGAGGCTGAGGCAGGGGAATCTCTTGAACCCAGGAGATGGAGCTTGCAATGAACCAAGATTGTGCCACTGCACTCCAGCCTGGGCGACAGAGCAAGACTCCGTCTCAAAAAAAAAAACAGAAGAAGAAGAAGAAGAAGTGATTAGGACACAGAAGTGTACAGAGGGAACCATGTGAAGACACAAAGAAAGCAGCCATCTATACCTAAGGAGAGAGGCTTCCCATACACCAACCCTGCGATACCTTGAACTCCAATTCCTAGCCTCCAGAACAGGAAGAAAATAAATGTCCATCGTTTGAGCCCCCCAGTCTCTGGTACCTGGTTATGGCAGCCCACGCAGACTAGTACAGGCCTTCTCTCAGGGACACTCGCTTCCACCCACTTCTCTGCTCCCTGGTTCCTAGTGGATGATCAATGCAGAGGATCTATCTTGTTCCAGAGGGTGACAACTGAAATGCCCCCTTCCCCCAGCTCCATACTCAATTTGGGATTTGCATAAAAACAAGATATAATAGGTGATAACTGTTGAGTAGTTCAGCTTATAGCTTCACAAAGACACCCCTTCCCTACACACACACAGACACACAGAGAGCACCCTAGCCAAAACAGTCAGTGGTATATTCAGTAATGCAGGAAAAAATTATATGTTCCCAGGGCGTAAATATTTAGCAATCTCTTTTCACTCATTGTTCATTATGCACACACTTGGATAGACTAGGAATCTACCATTAATCTACCCTGCTGCAGAAGCTCTATCTGAGTCAGAGGGATAGCAATGGCCCTCTACAAGGTAAGGAATCCCTAACTCTGATCTTAACTTTCCCTACTGCCTCTCATGTCTGCAGGTGGCTTATAAACAGCAGACATTTATCTCTCACAATTCTGGAGGCTGTGAAGTCCAAGATCAAGGCACGAGCAGATTTGATGCCTGGTGAGAACCCACTTCCTCAGAGAAAGCCTTCTTCTTGGCTGCATGTGGTAGCTCACATCTGTAATCCAAGCACTTTGGGAGGCCAAGGCAGGAGGATCACTTGAGCTCAGGAGTTCAAAAGCAGCCTAGGCAAAACAGTGAGACCATCTCCACTAAAAAATAAAAATAAAAATAAATCAGCCAGGCATAATGACACATACCTGTAGTCCCAGCTACTCAGGAGCCTGAGGCAGGAGAATTGCTTGAGCCCAGGAGGTCTAGGGTGCAGTGAGCTATGATCATGCCACTGCACTCCAGCCCAGGTGACACTGAGCAAGACCCTGTCTCATAAAATAAAAAATAATTTAAAAAAAGAATAGAAAGAAAAGAGCCTTCTTTTTCTGTGTTCTCACATGGTAGAAAGAGAAGGGAACTCTCTGGAACCTCTTTCATAAGGGCACTAACCCCATTCATGAGGGCCTTGCTCTCATAACACAATCACCTCCCAAAGACCCCACATCCCAATAGCAGCACTGTGGGGACCAGGATTTAACAAATGAATTGGAGGGGACACAAATACTTGGTCCATAGCCTTGCAAGGGCTGCTTCCATGGGGGCAACACCCTCAATAAAAGGCACAGCACGTTTCCAAGTTATAATTGCACAACTTGGAAAGTGAGCTGAAGAGGCAAAAAAGAAACAAGAAATGGATATCTAGAGCTCTCAGAGGATGCCTCAGGCAATCAGACTCTCTCGAGCTCTCTAGCTGGCTCCTGGTTCCATAAGACCAGACTATTTGATCTACCTTGTTTCATCATACGTTCTCAATCATTGGCTTTAAGAAGCCATCTCAAATGCACACTGAGGCTTCAAAGGAACTGTCAGCAGCCTGCGAGTTTTCCTTCCACAAGGGACAGAGGAGACATTGAAACATTCAGTCAACAGTGTTTGCCACTCAGTAAGTAAATACTCATATATGTTGTATGTTAAAATGTTAAAGGAAAATGAAGCCAAGTGTGGTGGTGGTGCCTGCAGTCCCAGCTACTCCAAAGGCTGAGGTAGAAGGATCTCTTGGACTGATGAGTTTGAGACCAGCCTGAGCAACGTAGTAAGATCCTGTCTTTAAAAAGAAAAAAAGTTAATAATATCAGAAGTTATTAATTAGATAATTACGAGATATCAGTGTTCTTTACCAGAGTGCAAGTATAGTTAAGGCCATGATGAAATATAAGCACAAGAATTTATAGATAATACTCATCCCAGAAAAATCTCCTTGGACAAAATACAAGGAACTGGTATACATTTTCTAATGATTCCCTGACAATTCTTTAATCAAACCAAGTGAAATGGGTCTGAAAATTAGATTGTCGGATTACAAATATTAATCATATTAGGTCTATAATGCAATGCCAACCAGTAACACTTTTTTCTGCCCCTCCTCAGTGACATTAGCCCATATTTGAACCAGGGCCACTTTTTTTCTTAACAGAAGAGCTTTGATACAAGGAACAGGATATCAAGATCAAAATTCCGCTCAAGCTTGGCATTCAAAGCGCTCAGACTTGACAATTCCTGACCGAATGCCACCAACATCTCAACTAAAGCCCTCTGGGGGCTGGGACACAAAGCTGTTCACACAGCAAGATATGACTTTGATAATTCCTCTGGGCTCATCTTGGTGACTCTATCTTAATACAGTGTGTTTCATTTAAAACAAAAGAAGTCACACACAAGCATCAAGATATTCTGAACCTGATAGGTACCATAGACCAGACCGGGAGCATGAGACTTGCTCACTTTTTCAATAAGAATGTCCCCCTCAGAGGCTGCTCCTATACAAACTAACCAGTTGTTAGCTTGTCAGAGTTGCTGATAGCACAGGCTTCCCCTTAGAATTACCGGCATTTTCCACCCTAACCCTTCAGCAAAGAAATTTGGTGGCTGGCAGACAGAAATGAGTTGAAACTAGTAAGTCTATCTTTGGCCTGTTCCCTAGGAAAAACACTGATATTATTTGTTCCAAGTATTTATAATGAGGTCTCTAAAATATTTTTTTCCCTCTCTCTCCCTCACTCTTTGTCTCCTTCTCCCTGCTAATGGAGAAATCTCAAAATGTTTATGAACTCTGAGAGCTGAGTGCTGTCCAGGCCTCCCACCCACCCGACATCCTTCCACACACACACTTATGGCTTTGGTCAGCTGTCAGATGATATGACAAAAAGCTTAGCAGACATCTGTTCATGGATTAATGGCCATGGTATTTCTTTCACTATCAAAGATAAATTGCTAGACAGCTGTACTAAAAACCACAGCACAGTTCTCGACACTGGTGATGCACAGACGAGATGACCAATTTTCTAAATGGAGTCACGAAGAACATTCTTATTTCGGGAGCCATTTTTTCCCAGTGAGAAAAGATGGAAAGCAATAACAAGGACTGCTGTGCAAACTTCAAATTCAAAAGGGTCCAAGCTTCCTTTTTGGCTGCTGATAATGACATGTTATTTGAAGATTGTTCTGGCAGTCAGAGTTTACAAAAAGAAAAAGGATCAGAGAGTGAACGCCTTGCTTTGCCAACGCGGCTCCTGTAAATGGTATGAAAAGCGTATTTTCCAAACTCAGACTCAGTTAGGTTCCTAAGGAAGTGGGCCTGTACTCGTGACTTTGGTCAGCTTGTGAAATGATGTAATAAAAGAATATCACATAATATTTATCTGAGGAGTAAATAAGATAAAATATACCAACAGTCCAGCATGTAGTTGGCTCTAAAAGGCTAGTTCCCTGGCCTTTTGGCCTTCGGAAGTCCCCTTTAAGCTGATTCTCACTGGCACCAAGCATGTGAATACCTGTGTTAGGTCCTCTTGGCTGCATTCCCAAGTTTTCTCAGCTAGATGTTTGATGAAGACAGTCAGAATGTGGCATTTATAAATATGTTTAAAATCAATGAGAGATTTCTAAAGCAGATATTATATAAAACAAATATTAGAATCGTTCATCAGTTTTTAAGAAGGAAGTAAGCTCATCAGTTTTTAAGAAGGAAGTGACATAAAAACACAGTTAGGGCCAGGCGCGGTGGCTCACTCCTGTAATCCCAGCACTTTGGGAGGCCAAGGCAGGCAGATCACGAGGTCAGGAGATCAAGACCATCCTGGCCAACATGGTGAAACCCCATCTCTACTAAAAATACAAAAATTAGCTGGGCATGGTGGCACCTGCTTGTAATCCCAGCTACTTGGGAGGCTGAGGCAGGAAAATTACTTGAACCAGCGAGTCGGAGGTTGCAGTGAGCCGAGATGGTGCCACTGCACTCCAGCCTGGCGAGAGAGCAAGACTCCATCTAAAAAAAAAAAAAAAAAAAAAAAAAAAATCTCACACACAGAAGCCACAAATAGAAAAGCAACAGAGCAGAAAACTTGGGTAAAGCACGACCAGCCAGCATTTATTTGGATGGCTCCCTGACAGAGACCAGGCCTGAGGAACCATCCCAGGACGAGAGGTGACAGATACACAACCAGACCAGGAGCCCAGATTCCAGCACTAGACCCTCATATGACCCGTGACACTGAGAAAGTTACTAGCATGGCCCGATGTCAATATCCTTGTTGGTGAAATGAAGAAAATCAACTAATCATCAAGATCTTTCCATTTCTCAACTGTCCATGAAATAATAGTTCAGTAAAAGTAGCAGCAGACTGAATGACAAATTGAATATGGATTTCAAAGAAGCAGAAGGTTTTGAGGCTAGAAATCTGCCTGAGAGATCGTGATGAGGGGCCAGACTGTGAGCTCAGCTTCCCATATAGGCAGGTTCAATATGGAGCTCAGCACATATAGGCAGGTTCAATATGGAGCTCAGCACAAAACAAACGCCATGAAACGATCATTAAAAAAAAAAAAAAAGACAAAGATAAAGATAAAGAAAACATAGAACTATTAAGTACAGGAATAATTATTCAATCCCAGGAACCAAAAGTAAAATCAGTTACAGTTTTTCACCTAGCAAGTTGGCAGCCAATTGAAGATTTGTCTCAGTATAGTGTTAAGAGAATGTAAATTGATAAATCAACTTTAAAATACAAGAAACTACCTACGGTGTATGCTTATTACCTGTGTGACAAAATAATCTGTACACCAAACCCCCAAGACACTCAGTTTACCTATATAACAAACCTGAACATGTACCCATTAACCGAAAATAAAAGTTAAAAAAAAAACTTCAAAATACTGTGTATCCATTGTTCTAGCAATGTCATTTCTATATATTTATTCTAAAAAAAATTCTCAATGTGTTCAAATATTTAGCTGTAAGTTTATGTATTACCATGTTATTCATGACATCAAATAATTATTAGAAATCTAAATATCTAACAACAGGTATTTAGATATATTTATCTAATAAACACATTGTGGCACTTTTTGCTGTGAAATACCATGTAATCACTTAAAAAGGACCTCCTGGAAAAATATTTAATGATGTATAAAGATGTTCACAACACATTGCTAAATTTTTAAAAAAAGTTATAAAACAGTATAATCTCATTTTTGAAGGGAAGAATATCTATTTTTACAGCTATACATATGCACCTAGAACATAGATGTACATGTATGTGTACGTGTGCATGTGTGTGTGCCCCTAGACCAGATGTATTAGGTTGACTCCATGAAATCTCTAATTTTATAAGTCAGAAACAGTACAATCTCAGAAATTTCTTAAGGTTCTATTTAATAAATCCATATACACTGGAATAAGATGTAAAAATTATTCACAAAAATGTTGACTATGGTCATATCTTCAGTGATTTATGGATACTTTTATTTTTCAAACATTTTACAACTAAGATGTATTTCTTTTAATATAACAAAAATCTTGTAGTGAAGTTAAATAATTTACACACATATCAGTCTAAAATATGCAATTTCTTCTATATATGATAAATATAAATATATAGCATATGTGTGTATATATATTATATATAACTGAAATTTATAGAGAGAGATAAAATTAACCAAATGTCTAATCCTTTTTAGTGTAATCCGTTCCAAAGATGGCAGCAGTCTATTAGGAAAAAATCACTCATCAGGATAAAAATGCCTGGTCTCTCCGAATAGTCTCCCCTCCTCCGCTTCCTTCCCAGGATAGTTCCCCGGTGAGTGGGAGCAGTTAACATCTTATGGTGGTGGGAAAACCTGGGCTGTTGGGCATGATGTCCTCTACCTCTTCTGGTCTCCAGGGCTGTGTCCCTGTTCCCTGGGTGTTTCCTGGCCTTCAAAGCTGAAACCTGAGGCTGGTGTCACTGGTAATCTGATCTCTTTGGGTCTGGGCAGGATTATCACTTCCTGCTGACTCAGCCAGTCAGCTCCCGCAGGCTACAGACTCCGGAATATCTGCCATGCCCTTCCTCCAGCCTCTGGCCCAGCCTCGCATCCAGGCTCTGCTGTGCGGTCAGCTCCCCTCACCACTCTGTGCACGCTGTGGATCCTTGGCTTCTCAACGCTGCATCCCTATCCTGTAAAGGTCGAGGGCACCCCAGAATGCTGAGCCCCAGAGCCCTCTTTCTGCCTGACCACCCCGGCTGCCCAGCTCGCTGTGATGTGCCTGAGGTGCAGACTGCTCTTGGAGTAACTCACCTTGAAGCACAGCCTCCAGACAGGAAGTCAAAGGGAACCTTACTGTGTGCCCTTCCTCTCCTTTTCCATCTTCCTGCCATCCCCAGGACCAGAAGCTGGCCAGGCCTTTCCTTACTTCCACTCTGTCCTCAATCCCTTCCTCCCTCTCCAGCCAGGTATGCAGGGTCTCCTTGGCTTTATAAAAACACCTCTCTGAATAGAGCCCCTTATGCTCAGTGATTAATTTGACAGAGGGTTCTAGAGATTATTTCTCAGGACAATAGCTTATGTCATTCCTTTTCTGAAGCACAGTATATTAATACTGAACATCACCCTGATCTTCCCCTTGGCCTTTCTCCTATAAAATATATACTTAGATGAATGCTAAGGGAGAAGAGACAAATGTTTTTGACTCATAAAAGCAAAATAAAGAGGCGGGTGGCTCATGCCTGTAATCCCACGTCTTTGGGAGGCAGAGGCAGTAGGATCCTTTGAGCCTAGGAGTTTGAGACCAGTCTGGGCAACATGTCGAGGCCCCATCTCCTACAAAAAAATAAAAATAAAAAATTAGGCAGGTGGCACGTGTCTGTAGTCCCAGCTGACAGGAGGCTGAGGTGCTTGAGCCCAGGAGTTGAGGTTACAGTGAGCTATGATTGCACCACTGTCCTCCAGCCTGAACGACAGAGCAAGACACTGTCTCTAAAAAAAAAAAAAAAAGAAAGAAAAAGAAAAATAAAATTATCTTAAGAGCTTGTCTTCATTATAAAATTATTTAAGAAAAAGAGGCAGCCTAAATATATACCTAACTAAAACAGAGAGACATCAGGAAAGGGAGAAGGCTTTGAACGAAGACTTGGAGGATGCTGAAACAAAGAAGAGAATTAAAAGAAACCAGTGCAAAATATAGAAAAAAAAATATAGAGATAAGAATTAAAATGTCTGATTTTTATTTGTAATATATGACATTTCTCTAAGTACTCAAGTTGCTTCAGAGAGCAGCAGTTCTGATGCACCCCAGCTTCCTGCCCTGGGCATGAAACTTACAGGACACCAAGATCAATAATCAAGACACCAAATGCCATCTTGTTCCGGAAAGGATTTCAGGCGGCTAACAGAGATAACCCGCTCTACAGAGAAAGTGAGCAGTAAATGTTCAAGAAGCTTCAAAAAAAGGGTGATTCGGCCAGGCGCGGTGGCTCACGCCTGTAATCCCAGCACTTTGGGAGGCCGAGACGGGCGGATCACGAGGTCAGGAGATCGAGACCATCCTGGCTAACACGGTGAAACCTCGTCTCTACTAAAAACACACAAAATTAGCCGGGTGTGGTGGTGGGTGCCTGTAGTCCCAGCTACTCTGGAGGCTGAGGCAGGAGAATGGCGTGAACCCGGGAGGTGGAGCTTGCAGTGAGTCGAGATCGCGCCACTGCACTCCAGCCTGGGCGACAGAGCGAAACTCCGTCTCAAAAAAAAAAAATAAATAAATAAATAAAAGGGTGATTCTTCTAAAAAGGATTTTAAAATCATAAATTCTCTAGTTGACAAAAACAAGACAGAGTTATGAAAAGAAAGAAATGTGGGAAATGACATAGCTCTGTAAAGAAAATAAACTTTGGTGCAGAAGGAAACAATGGTTTAATCGAGTGAAATGCAGCGGGAGAGCATGCGGGAGGTGACCTGGGCAGCAGGAAGCTTTCAGAAGGTGATTCTGGGGGATTTCAGAGGAGCAAGATGGAAGCCGAGAGCCAGCGGTGATCCTAGTCCCGGTGGGGAGAAGTGATCGACCAGATCAGGGCAGCAGGAGCGGGAATACACGTGACAGACGTTACAAAAATAAAATAAGCAAGACTTGGCCACTGGTTGGCTTTAGGGATTGAAGGAAGTGGTAGAGTCGGTGGTGACTACAAGGCTTCCAGCCAGGCCAACTGCAGGAATGATAGAAACAGTAAAAGAAATGGCTCGCATTTAGTCTTGCTCTTAAAACAGAATAACAGTAATATATTTTCCACTTACAAGTTTACTGTTATAAAAATATTAATAGACCTGAAAGGAAAGAAAGAAAATTTTCAAAATTCAAAAATTTGTACTGAGTACAAACTTTAATGGCAGTAAGAAGTACAATGTGTGTGTTTGTAACAAGCACTCTGAGTTAGAAAATACAGTTTTTCATTTCTTATCTTCAAAGCATGAAAGAAATAAAAAGGCAAAGTACTGACTTAACTGAAAGCACCTGATTGACGTGTGTCGTCTCACGTTGGGTTCGTACACTTTGTGCATGGCTTTGTATTTCCATAGTTGTCTAAGTACTTTTTTGCTTCCAGTGCTAGTCGAGTTGAATTCTGATTACCAATTGAGTTCTGTCTGAAGTTTATTATTTTAGTAGAAATAATGTAAAGTTAGATATAGCTATTACCCAACATGGTATCAGATTCAGATATTTGGAAAATCAATGTTTTATTAATGATTATCATTAATGATTAATGATTATCAGCTAGCAGTATGAGACTTTACTCACACTGCTACTCAAATGTGTGAAAAAAAAATGGTAGCTTCCTTATTTTGTTTAACCAATCTAATCTTTTTGCATTTTTTAACTGAGATATAATTCACAGGCCACAGCCCTATGACGTGTACAACTGAGTGGTTTTTAGTATATTTGCAAAGTTGTGCAGCCATCACCATTATCTAATTCTAAAACATTTTTATCACAAAAAAAAAAAAGCCCTGTACCCATTAGCAGTTACTCCCCTCCTCCTTCACCCATCCCCTGGCAACCACTAATCAACTTTCTGTCTCTGCAGATTTGCCTGCTTTAGATATTTCATACAGATAGAATCATACACTATGTAACCCACTCAATTGTCCCTGTGAACTCCCCGCTGCATGGTGGCAGTAAAATTTTACTTTCCCTCAAATTCAGTGATCAATATTATCTCAGATTTTTCCAGTTTAAGACAATTTAATTTTGGTAAACACTCATCAAGCTCCAAGTACACTCGCTAGCAGGCGATTTCTCCCCTCCCTTCTTCCTTCCCAAGATGGTCTGGGGATAGAGAAAACCCGTGGAGTCCTCCTGGCAGTGGTGGGAGTGTGGGCTGCCTTCTATGCTGGCCCCTGCAGGGTGTGGCCTGACGACCCCGGTCTCTGGGTCAGTGCCCCTCAAGGACGACTGGTCTCGACTGGACTCTTGGCGAATGACAGCTCCTCCTGCTGCCAACATCCAAGCTCATCTGTGCCTCCAGCCATGAAGATCACTGCCCATGGCAGTCTCCTCTTGCCAGCTCAGTCCTCAGCCAGCTCATGGTCCTCTCAGCAGCTCTGTGTCTGCTCTGGGGGTGGGCCTGGGCCTTTTTCCCCCACCGTATGCTCTGCACCTGTCATGGCCACCAGCATAGAAGTGAATGAATCCTTCAAAATTCAGCTGAAATATTGAACTCTTCGCCAATGTGTCCACCGTTTCCTCCTACTGCTTCCTCTGTGCTCTGGTAAGAAGATCATCTTGCTGCTACACGGAGCATTTTTTGGCTTCTATTCCAGCCCCTGCATGCATCTCATCTCTCCTACGTTATCAATCCCACCTCTCCCCCACTGCCCAGGTGGGGGCTTCCCAAGGCCACCCTCAGATCCTTGCCATGTACATGTTACGCTCAATAAATATTAAAATTAGTTGAAGTTGTGTTCTGTCTAATTAACTAGATTTCTATTTTAAAGTAACACCATGGGCATTTCATAAAATAATCATATGACAGAGATGAGTATAAGATGAACAGTACATCTCCACTCAGCCTCAAACAGTGCAGGGTAGTCTCTTGTTTGTAGGAACTTTTATGTTTTTCCTAGTATTTTACTCTTCCAGTTCGTTTTTGAATGAGAATATAAAGTATCTCTGAGTTGGGAAAAGAGAAAATTTATACGAGAATTTTCTAGGGGAAGAAGAGCAGGAAGGAATTACAGACAGAGTCACATTTGCAAAATCACCTGTTGGAGTATAAGAAGGAAAGAGGAGCCCGGCCAACCCCATGTATAAATTTCATTTTGAAGGCAATGACAACCCTGCTTCATCAGTTTCCTACAGACAAATGCATATCTCAGCTTTCCAGCAGAATCAAAATCTCACAAATGTCCCCTCTGAGGACTGTCTGAGCCCTGCCTTGCCATTTGTCTGCAAATGGTTTCTGACATAGAACCCAAACCAAATGACCAATCCAACACTTCTGGGATGAAAAAGAAAATTCAGAATGGTGACAATGAATTGGGAAGTTCAGATTCTGTGCTGTGTGTTGTGTTGAAAAAATTGACACTAAATCTTTTAATGTCCTTTTCACATCAAAGTTCCATGTGTTTCCTCCAGTCATTCCGGGATTCTACACACAAAGACATTTTTCAGAGAAGGGTTAGGAGAAAAGAAGAGGCAGGAAAGGCATTCTCTCCTACTAAGTTAGTGAAAAACCCTCTTCAGGCAGTCTCCCCAGAAGTAGAGGTGCTGTTGATAAACAGAGAACAAGGCCAGGCCCAGTGGCTCATGCCTGTAATCCTAGCACTTCGGGGAGGCCAAGGCAAGTGGATCACCTGAAGTCAGGAGTTCAAGATGAGACTGGCCAACATGGCAAAACCCTATCTCTACTAAAAGTACAAAAATTAGCCGGGTGTGGTGATGCATGCCTGTAATCCCAGCTCCTTGGGAGGCTGAGGCCGGAGAATTGCTTGAACCTGGGAGGCGGAGGTTGCAGTGAGCCGAGACCGCACCACTGTACTCAAGCTCGGGTGAAAGAGCCAGACTCCATCTCAAAAAAAAAAAAAGAAAAAGAAAAAGAAAAAGAAAGAAATAGAGAACAAAATCTCAGGCTTTGAGAAGCACTGGGATCCCAAGACAGGAAGCGTAGTGCTGAGCTTTAAGCACCAGGTCTGACCCAAACCGCCTGGATTCAAACCACAGCTTTGCCATGTACTGTGTATTTTGGACAAGGTATTTCTGCCATCCGTTTCCTTGTAAATCGGATTCGTAGCAATGCCTACCCGCCAGTGCTGTGTTGAGTACTGATATGTGCATAAAGGGTGCTTATAAGAGTGCCTGGAGCCCACTGGGCTGTCTGTGTGTCATCCTAGTCATCAGCACGGCATCACCCACTGCTATTCTGACCTTGTGTTGTGATCCTTGGCCAAGGGTGACATGCTCAGCCCACCTCCACTAGGCCTCCTTTTCAGTAGTTATAATTTCAGGGTCTTCTATGTTACCCCAGGTAACCATTTCCTTCAGACCGAAACTATGAAACGAAGAACCCAAATACCCATTTATATGCTGGCCTTAGATAGAAAGACACAATCACTTTCTCTTTTCTTTGCATAATGTTTTTCTAAACTGCAGCCCATTCGCCACCATCCTGCTCTAGGACCACACTAGAATGGAGGAAATTCTCCCAAACAAAGAAAGGTGAACATGAATGAACCTACCCCTGGCTTCTTGGTTTATGACACTCCAGCGTATGACCCAAAGGTCAAAGAACGCTGTTGTGAAAGTAGATTCAAATCTTTCTGTGTTTCGGCCCCTGTTAAGCAAAAGCTTTGAGATCCAAAAACAAAAAACAAAAAACTTGACAATCCTATCGATTTGTACAATGCTGGTGGACCCCTGGAAATAAGTTGTCATTGAAAGTATGAGGCAAACGCCTTTTTTAATGATTTCAAGCAATCTGTGGACCCACAATGCCAGGCAGCACTCTCAAAGGCCTCCTTGTGAGTGTGTGTGCCTGGAGGCTGCGGGTTGCTGGCCCCCTTCCATCGTCCTGCAAACACAGCACCATATTTGTCTTTCAGCTGTCACTATTTGTTAGGAGCCTATAAACAGAAGATTCTTTCTTAGCAACCACTGTGAAAAAGTAAAACCACCCCCACCCCCTCCAAAAAAAAAAAAGTCTGAAATGAGGAAAGAAAGAAAAATGAACTTTGCAAAATTACTTGTGGAAGTCACAATGACAATCCAATATGCAAAGTTTCAAAATTGCTGGCTGCCCTTGGTTTGGGGAAAAAAGAAAAAACTCTGAAGACGTTTTCAGAAGTCAGCTGCCAACAGATTAAGAGGCGACGAGAAATGATCTCACCACCATTTGTAGACGTCTGGTCACGCGGATATCTGCAAGATAACCAAGAATAATCCAGTTACGTGATTCGATTTCATTTCCTTGGAGAATGCTTCAGGCCTCATCTTGCTATTTTTAGCCTTGAGTGTCAAACGCCATGGGAAGCTCGTCCAAGGCTGTTCACAGATTACATGTTCCCCTAGAACAGGTAGGCGTTCTGGAAGCCAGAATCACTGACAAAGTGTCTGGAGATCGAAGCGTTAGAAGGAAGGAGAGACAGTAGGAAAATGGGCCTTTAGATTGGCAGCTACAGAATACCTTCACATAGACATCACCTCTCAGATAGAGAATTACAGAAAAATCATCAAACTGGTAAAGAAAGCATGAACCTTGACCCTAACAAAGAACACTGCAGAGGCCCTGTGGGAGTGCTCATAGCCACTTAATCTTTCAGGAAGTTTAAAATGTTTCTGGAGTGAAATCAGCTCACTCTTGCCAGCCTGAGAACAGCCAGTTTGGAAAACAGGACTTGTAGGCATGGAAACATCATGCATCCTGGTAACAAAACTCATTACAGGGTTTACTGGCAAAAAAATTGTGGAGAGTATCAGGGGTCAGGACAGGTTTGGTGCAATTCTGTGAGGCCAGATAGTATGAAATCCAAAATGACGATAACTAAAATATGCTAAGCTACAGTCATTAAATGGAAAGGATTAAACTTCTGTGAGCCAAGATCTTTCTCCTTCAAGCACTGCCTGTCTACAAGTATCAGGGCTGCTGATAGTCAAAACAACAGAAGGAAAAGATACCCAAACCAAAAATTTTTTTCTAATCCTATATTCCCACTACGCTCTTGAAGATAGATGATAAAGAGACATTGTTCAGAACTGAACTCTCATGAACAAACTGACAAATGTGAAAATATGTGTTATGAACAAAAAGACTCTCACATTGTCTCATTCTGATCTTCACAGAAGCCCTGTGATGAGGGCGTTATCACCGCAGCATGACAGATAAGGAAACAGGCCCAGGGAAGTCGAGGTCAGGAAGCCTCAGAGGCAGGCTCCCGGTCTAACCCCGGGGCTCATTCTCCCCTTCACCCAGTTGTCACCCCACACATGCTGTGCTTTAGGTGAGGATGCACTGATGGGCTGACACATCCAGATGCCAGGGATCATTCCGACGGTGCTGGGACTCCACCTCCAAAAATGCTATTGCAGTAGTATGCAGAGGTTATCAGTGAATGTGTTTTATTCTTACTATAAAAAGGGGAAACTGGGGGTTTTCTCTGTTCAAATCCCCCCCTCCCTCTGTCTCTGTATGAAGGAGCCGTTTTCTTCTTCCTTTCTTCCTTCTTTCTTGCCTAATAAATTTTCTCTCCTTAAAACCAAAAAAAAAAAAAAAAGAAAAGGAAACTGCTGTATATCATTTTCGTATTAGAAAAAAACTCTTTTCTTTGATCATAAAGTTTTTCCTTCTTTTTTTTTCTCACTCTCTTCCTTGCGTCTCCTTCTCTCTGCACTCTTCACATTCATTCACCTTACAATGGAGCCCCATACATTCTTAAAGTCCAGCTGGAGCTGAACTCCAAACTTCCCCGTGTCCTTGCTAGAGCCAGATGGTGCTTCAGTGACCACCCCAACCTTGCCTTCCTTCTCCCCCAGGCCTTCCCCCTGCACCCCATGCCAGCTGCTTTGTTTGCTGATAACGTCACAGGACAGGCAGTCATAGGCAACAACGAGGCCTCCAGGCAAGCTGGAGAATTGGTCACAGCCACTGCCAACTTCTCAGGACCCTCAGTCTTCTAGAAGCCTCTCTTAAAATGCCCAGAGTAAGTAACAGTGGAGAATGAAAAATTGGAGAAAGCATCATAGAGGTTAGCAAGAGTGGTGTGGCTCAACTTGGTGCCAGCCTGTGAAACCTATAAGCAGTGCTATGGTTTGAGAGCAGCAACACAACCATACATAATTAGGACTATGGTGGAAATTACCACATTCCAACCTAAGCCGCCTCCTCTATACAACTTTTAATCATTTTTTTTCCTTTTCTTTTTTCTCTCTAGTTGTAATTTAGATATTTAAGAAATAAAGTTTTCCCTGCCAGGATACTAAAAGTTAACCACAGCTATAATAGGTTAAAAGGTCCTTATGACTTTAAGAATTCAAATTTACTTTCCTAAGTGTTCAATTTAACATAACACAAGAAAAGAAAAGGAAGGGGAAATTCAAAAACTTGTCACTAAAAAACAAAAATTCTCCAGTATTATTTGTAATATACATAATTATATACATTTGAACCATCAATTTGCATGAATTTACACTTTTCTTAAAATCGACAATGCAAAATGTTGGCAAGGATGTGGAGCAACTAGAACTCTCATACACTGCCAGTGAGGATGCAAAATGGTACAACCATTTAGAAAAACTCTACGGCAGTCTCTTAAAAAGGAAACCACATGGCTGGGTGCAGTGGCTCACACCTGTAATTTCAACACTTTGTGAGGCTGAGGAGGGTGGATCACTTGAGGTCAGGAGTTCAAGACCAGCCTGGCCAACATGGTGAAACCCCATCTCTACTAAAGATACAAAAATTAGCTGGGCATGGTGGTGTGTGCCTGTAGTCCCAACTACTTGGGAGGCTGATGCAGGAGAATCGCTTGAACCAGGAGGGGGAGGTTGCAGTGAGCAGAAATCACATCATTGCACTCCAGCCTGGACAACAGTAAGACTGTCTCAAAAAGAAAAAAAGGTAAGCAAATACCTTCCATAGGATCCAGTCAGTCTACTCCTAGGTATTTACCCCAAATAAATGAAAATGTAAGCCTACACAGAGACTTGTACATGAATGTTCACAGCAGCATTACTCAAAATAACTAAAAACTAAAACAATCCAGATGCTCATCAATAGGTATGGATAAACAAACTGTGATATAGTCATATGAAAGAATAGTACTCAACCAAAGAAAAAAGCATGGTGAAAGAGTCGGGGGTGTGGACAGCTGATACATGCAACCTCACGGGTGACTCTTAAAGTCATTATGATAGATTTTAAAAGCCAGACTCAAAGAGTCTATACTGCATGATACTACTTGTAAAAGTCTAGAAAATGCAACTAAGTCCACAGTGACAAAAAGCAGATCAGTCAGATCAGTGGTTGCATGAGGCCAGGGACAGAAAGAGAAAAACTTCAGAAGGAAACTTTCAAGGGTAAATGGAAATATTGTGTTTCTTAAATTTTGGCAGTGACTTCATGGGTGTGTACAAAACTCAGCTAATTGAACACTTTAAATAAATCGAATGGTGCAATGTAAATGGATGCCTTTTACTGTATGTAAATTATACCTCAATAATGTTGATTATAAAATCGTAGTTAATAAATTAGGAATGTTTACATGTGATCACCATTCTTTTTATTATGAAACAATTCCCCATAGAATCTTTTTACATATCTAGGACACTTTAAATATGATTTTTATTAGCAAAAGCAAAGGAAAGGATTTCAGCAGCCTTTCATGCAGCCATTCCTTGCTCATCACAGGAGGCCGAGGTCAGTGTTCAGTGATGCCGCACAGCACTGGGTGACATATTTCTATCACCAATGCCCCTGGTTTCTGTATCCATCACTAACTAGGCTCCATTCTGGACTCACATGCTCTTCTTTAAGCAGCTAACACAAAACACACCAAGGAGCACTTGAATCTTTAGAAAGCTTATGTTTATAAACCAAAAATAAAATCCTAACTCCTCAACAGACTGAACAGACCTCCTCCAGGGCCAAGAGAACTCTGGAGGAACCTGAAAAACTGATTTCCTGGCCACGAAAGGAAAGAAGGCTAGGCATACTTCATCCAGCATACTCCGTCTCACCCGCTCCCCGGCCTTTTGGAGTTTAGGGAAAACTGACCAGCATTAACATTAAAATACAGATCATAAGACTTAAAGAAGACTGAAAGAAGACTCTTTGTGGCATTAAGATGCCAAATTCCAACCTGACTCTGGTATAGCACCACATAGCAGAGAGGCTCTGAAGAAAATAAAAATATTTTCTCCCAACATGTATTTACTTGACACATTTTGAAATGGTCCTGCAAAGCCATCTTTCATGGGGGAAATTTGCATCTGGAAAGAATCTCCATTTATGCAGCCAGGCCGTTCCCAGATCTAGAAGAGATTAACTAAGAGTCTGAAACGTTAAGGCCCTAAAAGGGACATTTGCCCTCTATTCTCTCTGAAGGCTGCTACTTGGAGGCTTCATCTAACTGACAAGAACCTTGGCTTCCACAACCTCCTCATCATAACTAAGCATTTCTTTCTGCTGTCTTCGAACCTTTAGACAAAGTTTAATTCAACCAATTGCCAACTCAATCAATTGCCAATTGCCAAATCATTGAATCCACCTATGACCTATAAGTCTCCGCCTCTTCAAGATATCCTGCCTCTTTAGGCTGAACAAATGTGCACCTTCCATATATGAATTTATGTCTTTGCCCGTAATTTCTGGTCACTCATACTGGCTCAGAATAAACCTCTTCACATGTTGTACAGAGTTTGTTTTTCTCATAAACATGTTTCACTATCACTGGTGCCAATGAGCTAATAATATTTTATCCTTGCTAAATATTTTTCTTCATTTTTTTTTTTGATACGGGGTCTCACTCTGTTGCCCAGGCTAGAGTGCAATTCAGCTCACTGCATCCTTGACCTCCTGAGCCCAGGCAATCCTCCCACCTCAGCCTCCAGAGTAGCTAAGACTAAAAGCATGCACCACCACACCCAGCTAATTTTTTTCTATTTCTTGTAGAGACAGGATTTCACTACGTTGCCTAGGCTGGTCTCAAACTCCTGGACTTAAGTGATCCTCCCACCTTGGCCTCCCAGAGTGTTGGAATTACAGGTGTGAGCCACCATACCTGGCCTATTTTTTTTTTCCAAAGCTGTTTGGCAACGTTCTGAGTAAACTTCTCTCTGGCTCTGGAATGATGTCATTTTTCCAGCAGCTCACCTCCGATCCTGAGGAGCAGGCACTGACAAACACTCCCTCCATATGCAGGGGGCACTCCCTATGAAGGCTCAGAACCAGAGGTGGTTCTGCTCAAAAGCACAGGACAGAAACATTGAAGAAAATGCTTTTAAGAACTGAGAACCGAAATTTTACCCTCAGAGCAGCAGGTTCATGAGTAAGGAGACAATGAGTGAATGTTCCAGGAAGAATTGTCACTTCATCATGAAGGCATCACCCTGGGGTCAGGAGAGAGACAGAACCCACTCTAGAGGTGGTGCTTTTGGAGCGAATCCCTCTAGAATCACGGTCATCGATACACAAATCCTCATGGCAATTGCAGAAGTTTCCCACGCATAAAGAGAAATACATGGAATCTAGTCAGAGAGGATTCTTGAGGGCAGACACAGAGACCTTCAAGTAAGGGGTACTATATACGGCATTCAGTCATTCCCTTCGTTATCCTCTCATAATGGAGAGTAAGGCAAGAGTCTGAGCCCTGGACACCACTGGTGGAGGAGATAGATGTTCCCTTCCATCAGCCTGTCTGTCTGCCTTCCAGCCACGGAGGCTACTGGGTGTTGCCCTGACTCCAGGCATCATTTTGCAACCATGAATTTACAAAGAGGCAGAAGACCTAGAAGAAAGACTAAGCACCTTACCATTTCTGTTGAAAGGCCGAAGATATCAAAATATGACTCATGAACTAGCATAACCCTATGTGAGACCCAAGGATGGAAAAGGACAATAGGGACACTCATCACAATGATGGGGCAGAGAGGTCTGAAGGATGGATTTGGACACAGCAGCAGGGCCTTGGCAGTGAAGGAATTGCCAGTCCTGGGGCAGGGTGCAGGTGACACTGACACCTCATTGCCCCAACCTCTGTCACAGTGTATGTGCTAAAAGGAAAATGGCTACTACACATAGGAGTGGACGGGATGTGTCACCAAGAGCTGTGATACCTAGATCCGTGACACCAAGAGCTGTGTCACCAAGAGCTGTGACACCAAGAGCTGTGACACCTAGAGCTGTGATACCTAGAGCTGTGTCACCAAGAGCTGTGACACCTAGAGCAGTGTCACCGAGAGCTGTGACACCAAGAGCTGTGTCACCAAGAGCTGTGTCACCAAGAGCTGTGACACCAACAGCTGTGTCACCAAGAGCTGTGATACCTAGAGCTGTGTCACCAAGAGCTGTGACACCAACAGCTGTGTCACCAAGAGCTGTGATACCTAGAGCTGTGTCACCAAGAGCTGTGATACCTAGAGCTGTGTCACCAAGAGCTGTGACACCAAGAGCTGTGACACCAACAGCTGTGTCACCAAGAGCTGTGATACCTAGAGCTGTGTCACCAAGAGATGTGACACCTAGAGCTGAGTCACCAAGAGCTGTGACACCAAGAGATGTGACACCTAGAGCTGTGATACCTAGAGCTATGTCACCAAGAGCTGTGTCACCAAGAGCTGTGACACCAAGAACTGTGTCACCAAGAGCTGTGATACCTAGAGCTGTGTCACCAAGATCTGTGACACCAAGAACTGTGTCACCAAAATCTGTGATACCTAGAGCTATGATACCTAGAGCTGTGTCACCAAGAGCTGTGTCACCAAGAGCTGTGACACCAAGAGCTGTGATACCAAGAGCTGTGACACCAAGAGCTGTGATACCTAGAGCTGTGTCACCAAGAGCTGTGACACCAAGAGCTGTGATACCTAGAGCTGTGTCACCAAGAGCTGTGACACCTAGAGCTGTGAGACCAAGAGCTGTGTCACCAAGAGCTGTGACACCAAGAGCTGTGATACCTAGAGCTGTGTCACCAAGAGCTGTGACACCTAGAGCTGTGACACCAAGAGCTGTGTCACCAAGAGCTGTGACACCTAGAGATGTGACACCAAGAGCTGTGATACCTAGAGCTGTGTCACCAAGAGCTGTGTCACCAAGAGCTGTGACACCTAGAGCTGTATCACCAAGGCTTTGGCCTCAGGGAGTTTTATTATGGGATGTTCTTGGCTGAACATGAGCATGAGGGAGCATCAGGAGTACGGAGTCCATTCAGTCCCCTTGGCCACCCCAGGGAGGCAGAGAGGCTGGTCACTGGGAGACCTGAAGGTGCAGGGTCCAGCCTCAGGACGAGAAGTACTGCCGTGGGCTCACAGTCTCCATCTTCCGAGAGAACTCTGAGGGCCTAACTGTGACATAAAAGCCATCACCTGAGTACCAGTGTGTTAGGCTGTTCTTGCATTGCTATAAAGAAATAACTGACACTGGGTAATTTATAAAGAAAAGAGGTTTAATTGGCTCATTGTTCCGCAAGCTGTACAAGCATGGTGCTGACATCACTTGGCTTCTGGGGAGGCCTCCGGAAGCTTTTACTCACGGCAGAAGGCAAAGCAGGAGCAGGCATTTCACACGGTGCAAGTAGAAGCGAGAGAGAGAGCTGGGCAGGAGGAAGTGCTGCACACTTTTAAATGACCAGATCTCATGTAAACTCAGAGTGTGAGCTCACTCATCACCAAGGGGACAGCCCAAGCCATTCATGAGTACCCACCCCCATGATCCAAACACCTCCCACCAGAGCTGGGTGAGGCCTGTGACTGCCAGCTTTCCCCCACTTCCCTGACAGCCTGCATGACTCAGCAGAGGCAGACATAATCCTCCTAGGTACACAACTCCAGCGACCTGGGAATCTCACCCCCATCCCCCACAGCAGCCACAGCAAGGACTGCCCAAGGAGAGCCTGAGCTCAGACATGCCTAGCCCTGCCCTCACCTGAGGGTCCCTCCCTACCCACCCTGGTAGCAGAAGACAAAGGGCATATAATCTTGGGAATTCTAGGGCCCCGCCCACTGCCAGTTCCTCTACACACTACCACAGCTGATGCTTTCTGGAAAGCACCACCTCCCAGCAGGAGGTCAAACAGCACAAAAATAGAGCATTAAACCACCAAAGCTAAGAACCCTCACGGAGTCCATTGCACCCTTCCCCCAGCCCCAATTGCCACCTCCACCAGAATAGGGGCTGGCCTATTCTTCTCTCCCCGTGGCTGAGAGACCCATAGACGGTTCACATCACAGGACTCTGTGCAGACAACACCCAGTACCAGCCAGGAGCCGGGTAGACTCGCTGGGTGGCTAGACCCAGAAGAGAGACAACAATCACTGCAGTTCGGCTCACAGGAAGCCACATCCATAGGAAAAGGGGGAGAGTATTACATCAGGGGAATACTCCGTGGGACAAAAGAATCTGGACAGCCTTCAGCCCTAGACCTTCCTGTGACAGAGCCTACCCAAATGAGAAGGAATCAGAAAACCAATCCTAGTAATATGATAAAACAAGGCCCTTCAACACCTCCCAAAAATCACATTAGTTCACCAGCAATGGATCCAAACCAAGAAGAAATCCTTGAATTATCTGAAAAAGGATTCAGGAGGTTAGTTATTAAGCTAATCAAGGAGGAACCAGAGAAAAGTAAAACCCAGTGCAAGGAAGTCCAAAAAACAATACAAGAAGTGAAGGGAGAAATATTCAAGGAAATAGATATCTTAAAGAAAAAAACAATCAAAAATTCAGGAAACACTGGACACACTTATAGAAATGCAAAATGTTCTGGAAAGTCTCAGCCATAAATTGAACCAGTAGAAGAAATTCAGAGCTCGAAGACAAGGTCTTCAAATTAACCCAATCCAACAAAGACAAAGGAAAAAGAATAAGAAAATATGAACAAAGCCTCCTAGAAGTCTGGGATTATGTTAAACGACGAAACCTAAGAATAATTGGTGTTCCTGAGGACGAAGAGAAATCTAAAACCTTGGAAAACATATTGGGGGGAATAATCGAAGAAAACTTCCCTAGCCTTGCTAGAGACCTAGACATCCAAATACAAGAAGCACAAAGAACACCTGGGAAATTCATCACAAAAAGATCTTTGCCTAGGCACATTGTCATCAGGTTATCCAAAGTTAAGATGAAGGAAAGAATCTTAAGAGCTGTGAGACAGAAGCACCAGGTAACCTCTAAAGGAAAACCTATCAGATTAACAGCAGATTTCTCAGCAGAAACCCACAAGCTAGACAGGATTGGGGCCCTATCTTCAGCCTCCTCAAACAAGACAATTATCAGCCAAGAATTTTGTATCCAGCGAAACTAAGCATCATATATCAAGTAAAGATACAGTCTTTTTCAGACAAGCAAATGTTGAGAGATTTCGCCACTACCAAGCCACCACTACAAGAACTGCTAAAAGGAGCTCTAAATCTTGAAACAAATCCTGGAAACACATCAAAGCAGAACCTCTTTAAAGCATACATCACACAGGACCTATAAAACAAAAATAAAAGTTAAAAAGCAAAAAACAAAAAACCAAAAGTACACAGGCAGCAAATAGCATGATTAATGCAATGGTACCTCACATTTCAATACTAACATTGAATGTAAATGGCCTAAATGTTCCACTTAAAAGATACAGAACTGCAGAATACATAAGAACTCACCAATCAACTATCTGCTGCCTTCAGAAGACTCACCTAACACATAAGGACTCACATAAAATAAAGGGGTAGAAAAAGTCATTTCATGCAAATGGACATCAAAAGCAAGTGGGAGTAGCTATTCTTATACCAGACAAAACAAACTTTAAAGCAACAGCAGTTAAAAGAGACAAAGAGGGACATTATATAATGGTAAAAGGCCTTATCCAACAGAAAAATATCACAATCCTAAACATATATGCACCTAACACTGGAGCTCCCCAATTTATAAAACAATTACGAATAGACCTAAGAAATGAGATAGACAGCAACACAATAATAGTGAGGAACTTCAATACTCCACTGATAGCACTAGACAGGTCATCAAGACAGAAAGTCAACAAAGAAACAATGGATTTAAACTACACCTTGGAACAAATGGACTTAACAGATATATACAGAACATTTCATCCAACAACTGCAGAATACACATTCTATTCAACAGCGCACAGAATAGACCAAGATAGACCATATGATAGGCCATAAAATGAGCCTCAATACATTTAAGAAAATTGAAATTATATCAAGCACTCTCTCAGACCACAGTGGAATAAAACTGGAAATCAACTCCAAAAAGAACCTTCAAAACCATGCAAATACATGGAAATTAAATAACCTGCTCCCGAATGAGCACTGGATCAAAAAACAAAATCAAGATAAAAATTAAAAAATTATTCAGGCCAGGCACAGTGGCTCATGCCTGTAATCCCCAGCACTTTGGGAGGCCGAGGTGGGCAGATCACAAGGTCAGGAGTTCAAGACCAGCCTGGCCAATATGGTGAAACTCCATCTCTACTGAAAAAAAAACACACACACAAAAATTAGCCAGGCGTGGTGGTGCATGCCTGTAGTCCCAGCTACTTGGGAGACTGAAGCAGAAGAATCACTTGAACCTGGGAGGCGGAGAATGCAGTGAGCTGAGATCGTGCCACTGACTCCAACCTGGGCAGCAGAGTGAGACTCCTTTTCCAAAAAAAAAAAAATCTTCAAACTGAACGACAATAATGACACAACCTACCAAAACCTCTTAGGAATATACCTAACCAAGGAGTCAAAAGACCTCTACAAGGAAAACTACCAAATGCTGCTGAAAGAAACATAGATGACACAAACAAATGGAAACACATCCCATGCTAATGGATGGATATAATTAATATTATGAAAATGACCATACTGCCAAAAGCAATCTACAAATTCAACGCAATCCCCATCAAAATATCACCATCATTCTTCACAGAATTAGAAAAAATAATCCTAAAATTTATATGGAACCAAAAAAGAGCCCACATTTCCAAAGCAAGACTAAGCAAAAAGAACAAATCTGGAGGCATCACACTACCTGATTTCAAACTATACTATAAAGCCATAGTCACCAAAATAGCATGGTACTAGTATAAAAACAGGCACATAGACCAATGGAACAGAATAGAGAACCCAGAAATAAACCCAAATACTTACAGCCAACCAATCTTTGACAAAGAAAACAAAAACATATAAAGTGGGGAAAGGACGCCCTTTTCAACAAATGGTGCTGGAATAATTAGCTAGCCACATGTAGGAGAATGAAACTGGATCCTCATCTCTCACCTTGTACAAAAATCAACTAAAGATGGATTAAGAACTTAAACCTAAGACCTGAAACTATAAAAATTCTATAAGATAACATTGGAAAACCCCTTCTAGATGTTGACTTAGGCAAGGATTTCATGACCAAGAACCCAAAAGCAAGTGCAATAAAAACAAAGATAAATAGTGGAGACCTAATTAAACTAAAGAGTTTTTGCATGGCAAAAAGAACAGTCAGCAGAGTAAACAGACAATCCACAGAGTGGAAGAAAATCTTCACAGTCTATACATCTGACAAAGGACTAATATTCAGAATCTACAATGACCTCAAACAAATCAGCAAGAAAAAAAAAATCCCATCAAAAAATGGGCTAAGGACATGAACAGACAATTCTCAAAAGAAGACATACAAATGACCAACAAACATATGAAAAAATGCTCAACATTACTAATGATAAGGGAAATACAAATCAAAACCACAATGCGATACCACCTTCCTCATGCAAGAATGGCCATAATCAAAAAATAGTTGATGTTGGCGTGGATGCAGTGAACAGGGAACACTTCTACACTGCTGGTGGGAATGTAATCTAGTACAACCACTATGGAAAACAGTGTGGAGATTCCTTAAAGAACTAAAAGTAGAACTACCATTTGATCCAGCAATCCCACTGCTGGGTAGTGGGATTACTACCCAAACAAAAAGAAGTCATTATATGCAAAAGATACTTGCACACGCATGTTTATAGCAGCACAATTCACAATTGCAAAATCATGGAACCAACCAAAATGCCCATCGATCAATGTCAATGACTGAATAAAGAAACTGTGGTGTATATATATATATATATATATATATATATATATGATGAAATACTACTTAGTCATAAAAAGGAATGAATTAACAGCATTTGCAGTGACCTGGATGAGACTGGAGACCATTTATTCTAAGTGAGGTAACTCAGGAATGGAAAACCAAACCATCGTATGGTTCTCGCTGATACGTGGGAGCTAAGCTATAAGGACCCAAAGGCATAAGAATGATGCAATGGACTTTAGGGACCTGGCGGGGAAGAGTGGGAAGGAGGCAAGGGATAAAAAAAACTACAAATGGGGTGCAGTGTACACTGCTCGGGTGATGGGTGCACCAAAATCTCACAAATCACCGCTAAAGAACTTACTCATGTAACCAAATACCACCTGTGTCTCAATCACTTGTGGAAAAATAAAAATAAAAATAAAGTCTGTATGAAACGAATGATCCCCTGGCGGGGAAAAACACCTCCCACCAGGACCCACCTCCAACATAGGGATTACATTTCAACATGAGATTTGTATAGGTACAAATATCCAAACTATATCAATCAGCATAACCGGGAGTCAAACAGAAGCACTTGTGTCCCGGCTACCTGCAAATTGAAGGAAACAGACACAGAAACAGAAAATTGGACAGGTCAGTCTTATTGTATTGAGAATTAGTGCCCATGGAACAAAGACCCAGACAGTTTGTGAAAACAATGACATTAGAAAGCTTGGAGCATGTCCTGCCTCCTATCTCCCAATTACATGGCCCTGAAGGAGTCTCCATCCAGCTGAACCCAGCAGCACAGTAATGCCCATAGGAAAGGGAGGGCAGCAAGGAGAGCTTCACTGGGGAAGAGAGACAGTCATTTCCGTGCTGAGCATCAATACCGAGTCCTCATGCAATCTTTTCTAAGGGAAAATTCAAATATACCAATTATTTTTCAACATTGCATATTCAAAGTTTGTGATTTTATTCTTGACTTATTCTCAAGTACAGTGTGTGCTTAGCTGGCCAAGTAGGGGGAAAGAAGGGGTGCATGTCCTTTCCAGCTTGGAAGGAATGTGTGCTCTGTGCACATTAGTCTTACTTATCATGCCTGCTCAGTTCCAAGCTTTTTGCTGAGGAACCATAAGATGGGCTCAAATGAAGTAAAAAGGAAATTGGATTCCATCAATCAACACACTAACACACAACCAAAATTAGATGTCATAAGGTTATACTATTTCATCACTTTTAATTAATATTGTCTGTGCATGACCGTTCTTAGAAAATATTTATACAACGTTCCACTTCCTACAAAGAAATTCATCTTTTGGCTTCCCTGCAAATGGAAAAATTACATAGTGAGTTAGGGAAACAGGAAAGTATTGTAGTCCCATTGCTTAATTTTAAAGTGAAATTTATTATAGAAAAATATTTTTCCCCTTTAAATAGAAGATGAAGTGATTTGGAAGCTCTCCCTAACTTTTCTCAAAGAAAACAAATCTGACTTTAGGGTAAATACAATTTTAGGTTATTAAATCATTTTTTTGCTCAAACCAAAATTCAGTACTAATCTAAATCAGGAATAATTAAAAGAACATTTCTGTAGTGCACTTTTTCTTTTTTCACTAGAAATGCTCATTCCTCAGATCAGGGGAAAGTTTTTCTTCTGTTTCTTCTCCAAGATAGCTTGTGAAAGCTCTGCCCTAAGAGTACTGATGGCATATCTTCTCATCTCTCCTCTTGAGGCAAGCCAACGACTAGCCACTCTGGAACCCTTATCAGCTTCTCTAATTCATTGCTCTTGGGTCCCCGAGAAGGCCCTGAGTCAGATAGCTCTGGGTAGAGGTGTTCGCTGGCTGTGTGACCTTGTGCACATTAGTTACCTCCATGAGCTCCAATTTTCTCAGCTGCAAAGTGGAGCTCCAGCAGGACTCACTCCACAGCATTGCCAATAGAAGCATCCCCTGGAGGGGGAAAAAACCACCAGTGGTGTTTGGTGGCAGCAGTGGTGGTGGTGGTGGTGGTGGTTATGCTTCAAGGGCCACCCTCCACTGCATGACAAGGATGAAGCAAATTCTGGATAGGACTCCAATGAGTATGTTCCTTAGTCAACTCATCAGCTGATTTGAAGGGATGTTCACCCTAGTGAAGGAGTGCCATGACAGAACTGGATCTCTTCTTTCACAGGAAATAATTTCTCATAAAAAATTTAAGTGCAATTCAGAATTCCTTGGAGTAGTATACTAGGAATGGATTTGCTCAAGCCATTTGCCAACCCTGCTCTTGGTACTCTCTGAATGGGCTAGGTCTTCACCAACAGGAAATTTTCAGAGGATTCAACATCCTATGTAACTACGTAGAATCAACCTATAGAATCATGGACTTCAGAGTCCTATCTACCTAGATTCAAATCTTGCCTCTGCCATTTATTTGCTGGATGTTCCCTGAGGAAGTATTTAGCTTTTTTATGTCTTGGTTTCCTCATAAATAAAATGGGCATATTAATAGTGCTTTCTCCATGCTGTTAGGCACAGTATTAAATGAGTTACTATACATCTATAGAGCTTTGAACAGTGCCTGGAATGTGGTAAGCACTCAGTAAATTTTAACATTTGTAAGTTCCACTGAAATTTATTGAGTTTCTGCTATACATAAGGCACTGTGCTGAGCCTTGCTATATCAAAAGCGAGAAAGGAAGAAAAAAATTAATGTTGAGTTTCTATGAACCAGTCACTATGACAGGTGTTTTACATACATTATCTTGATTAGTTTTTAATTTGTAACCTTATTAAGTGGATACTATTTGCCATATTTTATAAATGAAGGGCATGCGGTAAAGAGAAATTAATCATGTTTCTAAAAGCCACAGAACAAGTTAGTAGTAAAGCAGGGATTCAAAGCCAAGACTAAGCCCAATCCCTGCATTTACTATAAATAAGACATAGCCCCTTGTCCTTGAAGAATGAACAATCTGGGGTGAAAGATCCACATTTAAATGACTAAATATAATCAAATATAAGTGCTAAAGTAGAGCTATTTACAAAGTAGAAATACTAACCTAGAAGACTGAGAGCTTCTTTGGGGTGTTAGAGAAGTGATTTTTGAAGGATGAGGAAGATTACTCCAGGAGAACAAGGGCCCTAAAGGGATGGAGGGGAAGTAGAGTAAACACACAGATTCAGAGGCACAAAAAGTTCTGGAGGTAATGGAGGACTGAAAAAGAAAATGACCAAGAATATTGTCTCTGAGAATGGGAATGTGGCTGAGATTCCAACAGTCCTTTCCCACTGAGCATGTCCCTACTTGCAATGATGCCAGGGACTCATCTCTACTGGTAACATCAGCAGTTTCTAATTGTATGTGCAAAGCTATTCTGTGGTCACTGCTTTTGTCCAGAAGATCAAAGCTAGGTCCCCTGCACACATAAGCTTTGCTGCATCTTAAAGGTATTTCTGCTGTCCTCGTGTTCATCGGCACCACTGCAGTTGATGTGCCAGCATTTACTCTTTCTCCATGTCTGGATTGTTCCACAATCGCTTCTATGAGCCTGTGTCATCAGTTCCATCTGATTAAGAACATATATTTTCTCCAAGATTGTTCAGCCCTGCCTCCATTCCAGGCAACGAATTCTTCTGCTTAAGTTAATTAATCTTTGCTACCAGCCTACAAAGCTAAATCCTCTCTTCTCTGCCAGCTAAGATTAAACCCTTTCCTCATGATGTGCAAAGCATTCAGGGACCTTTGCCTCACTGACTATTTCCCACCCATACAATTTTTTTTTGTCAGAATTGTCTTTAACTTTTGGAACCTCTAACAGTCAGTTTACCCTTGTATTACACTCCAGTTACTTTATAAAGCATATCTTGTCTTCTCAAAGTCAGAAAATGTCATTTCTTGTTTCATTTTTCTGTGCCATTTCACAATGCTAGACATGTGGGAGTTTATGAGACAATCAAATAAGTGAGAAGCTGGTAGATTCACAATGGCTATGTAATGGCTAGTATATAGCAGGGTTCTCCAGAGGGACAAACTAGTAGGATCTATGTATACATGAAAGGGAGTTTATTAAGGAGAATTGACTCACATAATCACAAGGTATAGTCCCACCATAGCTCGTCTGTAAGCTGAGGAGGAAGGAAGCCAGTAATGCATCTATCTGTCCACGTCCAAAAGTCTTGAGAGCTCAACATCGAGGGTGGGTCTTCCTCTCCCAGTCCACTGACTCCAATGTCCAACTCCTCTGGCAACACCCTCACAGACACACCCAGAAATAATACTTTACCAGCTCTCTAGGCATTCTTAAATCCAATCAAGTTGACACTTAATATTAACCATCATAGCTAGTTTAATACAATATTATTCAAAATATTTCTAGTAGTAATAATAAATTACTATTACTATTACCATTTTCGTTAAGTATGATATATGGCCAGGGGGGTTTAGGACCAGGCTATACCTAATCTTTGCAGTATGTAAGTATTTTCAGGAGATACAATGTGGTGTACCAAGATCCAAGACTACGCAATTGTTCCATGACTGGGTTTTGCTGGCTTGAGAGCTCAATATTTAATCCTTTAGCATCCAGGCTCCTGAGTTTACAGGCCTTGCCTGTACCCTCCAGGCCAGCTCACAGGCTAGGTATCCTGCTGGCTTTCATTCTGTTCTCTGCAGACCTGGCAGACATGCACATTGTTTAAATTCAAACCAACTCTTCTGGAAAGAGCAGATCCATCTTCTTTGCCAGAAAAGACTCTAGCCTTAAACCAAATTGGGCAGCAGCTGTTTGCCAGACTCCAAGGTGATGTCTGAGTCTAATGATCAACATAGAGCTGAGCCACTGAGGAGCAGATGACAGGATGGAAAGTAATGATGCCCAACTTCCAAAGTAACAACCATGAACTTTTCTTAAGGGATCTATCTAGTTGGCTCTGGCCTGTAGGGCTCAATAAAACTCATCCTCACTTATGTTCTTTTCACATTAGTAGAAAAAAATATCAATGAAACATTTACTCTTATAAGAGGCTCTTTTAATACAAAATTACATTGAAAATCTTGGAATTAAGGAATTTTTGACATTTTTAAGGTGAACAGAAGAAAGACTGAAAGAACAGAAAGGAAAAGAATGCTTTGCAAGACTTTCTCAGTTATTCATCGATTCCCTCCAAGCACCTAAAACCTCCAAACATCAAAAATTTAAGCTGAGAACTGGTCCAAACTAACCAAATATTATTCTCTGGTTGCTCCAACCTGGGATAAAAAGAGGGTCGCAATTAAAGATAGAAAACTAAAACACTGCTTCTGCCCCCATAATTCTATAGGAACTCCAACTCTCCTTGGATTCCTCCCCAATTTTCCTTTATTTCCCCAGGAGTATCTCACATGTGTTCCACAATGGCCGCCTTTCATGGGCCAGTGCCTACAACTGTTTACACCAACAGTGCCAGCTTATACCAATGAATCTAGATGAAATCTGTGTTACTCAGGGTTACTCAGGGTGGCTCCAAAGCCAATCCACAAGTATATATCTGTGAATATATCTATTGTTGATAAATGATAGAAGATAGATTGATGATAGATAGATAGATAGATAGATAGATAGATAGATAGATAGATAGATAGATAGATAAAAGTTTGGATCTGTGTCCCTACCCAAATCTCATGTCCAATTTTAATCCCCAATGTTGGAGGTGGGACCTGGTGGGCTATGATTGGAACATGGGGATGGATTTTTCCCTTTGGTGCTGTTGTTGTGATAGTGAGTGAGTTCTCACAAGATCTCCTTGATTAAAAGTGTGTGGCACCTCCCCCACACTCCTCCTCCTGCTTCCAGTCATGTGAAGTACTGGCTCCCCCTTCACCTTCTGCCATGATTGTAAATTTCCTGAGGCCTCCCTAGAAGCTGAGCAGATGCCACCATGCTTCCCATACAGCCTGTGGAACCAGGAGTCAGTTAAACCTCTTTTCTTTGTAAATTACACAGTCTCAGGTATTTCTTTACAGCAATGCAAGAATGGGTTGATACAGATAGATGATAGGTAGATAGACAGATAGATAGACTTATCATAAGATATTGGCTGATGTAATTATGAAGGCTGAGAAGTCTCATGATCTACATCTGCAAGCTGGAGACTCAGGAAAGCCAGTGGTATAGTTAAGGCCTTAGAGCTGGAGAGCCAAAGACATAGATTCCGGGCCAGGTCTGAAGGCCTGAGAATACAAGTGCAAGGGCAGGAGAAAATTAATGTTCCAGCTCAGTCATGCAAAGTTCATTCAATCTTCCTCCATTCATGCCCTCCATGGATGGGATGATGACAACCCACAGTGGGGAGGGCCATCTGTTTTACTCAGTCCATCAATTCAAATGCTAATCCCATCTGAAAACGTTCTCAGACACACCCAGAGGTAATGTTTAACCAGCTATCTAGGCATCCAATGGCTCAGAGAAGTTAACACATAAAATTAAACATCATAAAGTCAAAACCACCATTGCTTAGAGAAGCTGTCATCACTCCTGCTTATGCCTATGTGTTAGTTCATTTCCTGCTGCTATACAAAATAACACAGATTGGGTAATTTGTAAAAAGTAGAAGTTTATTGGCTCACAGTCTGGAGAATGGGAAGTCCAAGGGCATGGCACTGGGCCTGGTGAGGGCCTTCTTCCTGCATTATCACATGGCGAAGGAGAGAAGATAGAAGCAAGCACATGAGACAGAGAGAAAAAGAAGTCCAAACGCCCAAGATAACTAACCCACTCTCACAACAGTGGCATTAATCCATTCATGAGGGTAGATCCCTCATGGCCTAATCAGCTCCCAAAGGCTCCACTTCCTAACACTGTCACAATGGCAATTAAATGTCAGTTTTGGTGGGGACATTCAAACCATACTACCCACTAAAGTCACTGATCCTGATAACAGTTCCCAGGAGAGCAGGCAACAAGCCTAAGCCAAGTCCATGCTGTGCTCACTCCCAGAGGCAGTGATACAGCTGCTAATGTCTACTACCTACTTCTGTTCCAAGGCCACCAATGCCCAACAACTATTCATGGCATGTTGAGAGTGTGCTCACTAAGAAATGTACCCTCCGAAACTACCAGTTTTCTGGCAGCATGTGTGCTCAAATCCCATAGATATTTTTATAACATCACTCTTTCTCATTATTTTATTGTAACTTCTTTTTTGGGACTCAGAAATGCTTTGACATGGCTTATCTGAAATGATAACTACCAGCTACACCTAGAATAACCCTTTCCCTCTTAAACCAGTCCATGGACTTGCACCAGTTTTGAGTATTTATCCAACTTCTTATTGTATCTTCCTTTAGGATCAGTTTCTTCAGAAGGGGTTACTCATGTAAATCCTCTTTATTTAAATACCAATTTAGTACCCAGTGGATTCACAAGTACTTCACATATGCCCAGACAATCTTGAATTCCAGGGTGTTGCAAATATGTATTTTCTTTCATTGAGAGTATTTGCTTCAAAGAGGGACCTCATACAGAAGACAATGAGAAATGGCCTTATCTTTATTCATGCCAAATGGTGGAGAAACTTAGAAACTCAAAACTTGAGTTGCAGTATGTATGAGCAATCTATGTTGACTTACCTGGTTATTTTATTTTCCTTTGTTTTGTTTGTCTGTGTCCCCAGAAGTGACACCACAATTTTCTTTAAATAAATTAAAATCTGGGTGCTAATCTTGAGATAACCCATCAAAATCTTAATAGAAGATGGTGAAGACACATAATGATATCAATAAAAGAAATCCCAAGTTCCTGACAATTCATTTAAAACTGCAATAATCAATTAAATTTTAATTTCAAAACTGGGTATAACAATGTAAGGATCTTAGGACTCTCGTAGAGAATTTTTCAGTAGAGATATCTTTTCTAATTTGAGGGCCCCAGTAAAAGACCAGTAAAAAAACATTATACTAAGGACTCTATCCTGGTTGCCACTGCTTGGCCTCTTCACCACAACCAGGCAATACTAAAAGCTCCTGGACAGATGAATTCTGTGTCTTCTGTTTTAAACTGCTTTTTAAAATGAAACTGTCTGCAATTCTAGGAATGCCTGTGAAGCCTCCCACCAATCTCTCAAGTCAATCACTATCTCGTCTATTATACCTTCAAAAAATATTTAGCTAAAAGACATCTTGATGCCAATGAAGCCCTGTATAAGTAAGTACATTATAAGTTAGAGGGCTAAATTTAACCTATGAGAGAGAAACCATACAGCATTACCCCAGAATAAAGAGCACACCTCCTCTGAATAGATTACCCCGTGGCACATGAATGGCAGGCAGTCATTACAGTTGCTTCTCTAGGACACCCACAGATGCAAATTTCTCTTTTTAATCTTCACTTCATTTCTTTTTTTTTTCTTTTAAAAATCATGCTTTCAAGAAAATGTGCAATTCATTTTTGTATTTCACCTGCTGACTAGCATAACGTTCAAAGTATTTGGCTTATCTTTTTAGGCAGCACACTATCTTAAAAAATACATAGTTCATTAACTTTTTTCAAGATGTTTGACACATCTTAAAATAGATTTTAAATCCCTTTATGGTTTAATTTTCAGGAAATTTGTAATCTGTGGCAAGTCAGTTTGCTAGTTGGAGAATGGAAATTAAAAAAATGCAAAGCAAAGGATTGAACTAGCATACTAGCAAGCTGGCTGAACCCATTTTACATCCTTAGACCACAGCCACATGAGCTCTCAGCGAGAAGGCAGCCATCTGCCACCCAAGGGGAGAGGCCCCTCCGGCCATCAACCCTGCTGGCACCTTGACTTTGGACTCCTCGGTCTCCAGAACCATGAGAAAACAAATTGCTGTGATTTAAACCTTTCAGTTTGCCAGATTTTGTTATGGTAGCCCAAGCTGACTAATACACATAACATAAAATTGACCTTTTGAACCATTTTAAAGAATACAATTCCTGGCATTAAGTAAACTTACAATTTCTACAACCACCCCCAACACCTAGTTCCAGAACCTTTTTATCACCCCAAAAGGACACCTGTACCCATTAAATAGTCACTCCCCGTTCCCCACACCTTCCAGCCCCTGGAAACTACTAATCTGTTTCCTATTTCTATGGACTTGCCTATTCTGGATACTCATATAAGTGGAATCATACAATATGTGGCCTTTCGTGTCTGTCTTTTCTCACTTAGCATAATGTTTTCAAGGCTCATGCATGCCGTGGCATGTATAAATGTTTCATTCTCCTCTATGGCGGAGTGACATCCCAATGTTTGGATACACTACATTTTGTTTACTCATTCATTAACTGATGGACTTTTATGCTGCTTCCACCTTTTGGCTATTGTGAATAGTGCTGCTATGAACGTTCATGTATGCATTTTTGTTTGAACACCGGTTTTTGATTACTTTGGTTATATTCCTAGGAGTGAATTGCTGGATCTTATGGTGAGTCTGTGAGGTAACTTACTGAGGAGCTGCCAAACCGTTTTCCGTAGTGGCTGTGCCATTTTACATCCCCACCAGTAATATATGAGTCCCTCAATTTCTCCACATTCTGCCAACACTTGTTATTTTAGAACAATCTTTTTGAAATATAAATCTGATCGCATCACTCCCCCGTTTAAATAAAAAATTAGACTCTTGGTCATGGCCTCCGTGGTCCAACATGATTCGGTCTCTTCCTCTTCATCTTCTACCACACTCTCCCTCAATCTCTAAACTGCAACCACACTGGCCTTGTAAACACCCCTGAAACACTCAGGGTATTCTCAACTCAGGGCCTTTATGCAGCTGTTCCTCACAGCTCCTGGCTCTTCCCTCCCAGCTGAGATCTCTGGAAAAATAGCCCTTCTCAGGAGGACCTTCCCACAGAACGCTGTCTAAGACAGCCCCTGCAGATTCACATACACCATTTTTTTTAACAGATTGGTTCATGTTTATTTTAAAAAATATTCATCTACTCCACCTGTATTTTCACAAGAAGAAATTGGATCCACTGGTGCATTTGAACTCAATAGCCTGCCTTTGGGAGTAGACCCTTCTTTCCAGATGATGAACGCCATAGATCGTGTAGCGTGAATTTGTAACACACATTATTCCAAACGAGTGAATTAAAAGTGTGGGAAATAGCTTTAAATGGTCCTGGACACATGTGGAAATTTTATCTTCCCCTCCTTCCATGTACTTGGCTGCTATGTGCCAAGTATTCAGCTGCATCCCAGGATAAAGTGCACATCAAGAGCCGTGCGTGTGGACGCTGGACCCACACTGCCATGTTTAACCACTGTCTCTGCCACTTGGTGCCCCCCAACTTTGGGCAGCTCTCTTGAGCTCAGGAGGTCTTAGTTGCTTTTCTGCATGAGCACACGCACATCCCACGTAATTTCATCACATATACCTTTTAGTACTGGCGATCTCATGACCCTGGCGCATTGCCTTCCTAACTTACAGAACTATCTGAGATTCACTGTGTGCTTGTTTACTGTATTCGTCTACTAGAATGTGAGTTTCGTGAGAGCAGGAATCAATGGAAGGGTGTCTGGTACACAGTACAAGCTCCACAAACAATTGTTGAATAAATGACTGACTGACTGAATGAATGAATGAATCCAAGCCAAAGAGGAATCATGGTCAAGGTCTTAAAACACTAGGCCATTTGGGGAGTTCTGTGGACAAGAGCTTTAGATGGCTAGAGAAAGGGCACCTGTCCAGGGAGTAGTGGAAGTTGAAGCTACAGACCCAATCTGAGGCAGAGCTTCAGGGACTATGGACTAAGTCAAGGCATCTGATATTTATCCTGAATGCTTCTGGGGAGCCCCCAAGGAACTTTAAACAGGGAAGGTACTCCGTGATACTTATCCTTCAGATCACAGTGGCAGCAGCATGCAGGGTGGACGGGAAGGGGTAAAGCCCAAGGCAAGGAAAGAGGTGAGAAGAAGCTTCTGGTCACCCCACGAAGAGTCCGTGAGAGCAACTAAAAGAGTCGGCATTGAGACAAGGGTTTCGATGCAAGAGCTGGTCATGTACCCATGAGGGATCTACCCTCATGAATGGATTAATGCCACTATTGTGAGAGTGGGTTAGTTATCTTGGGCGTTTGGACTTCTTTTTCTCTCTGTCTCATGTGCTTGCTTCTGCCTTCTCTCCTTCTGCCATGTGATAATGCAGGAAGAAACAGGAGAGAGTAACATACCAATGTGGTCCACAGGACTTGGATGTGAGGCTAGTAAGGAGGATGTGATCCACGAGACTTGCTGACCTGATATGTACTTGTGGTGGTTGAGGGGAGGCGTGGAAGGTGACACTCAGGTTTGAGCCCTGAGGGACGATTGTGGGGATGCTCTTCACCAAAACAGAGGGGAGAGGAAGGGAAAGAAGCAAAAGATTTGAATTTTGGACAAGTTGAGTTTGAGTTCCTCTGAGAGAAAAAGTTGAATAGACACTTCAAGATGACTCTCAGGTCCAGCAAACAGTAAAAAAGGAGCTATAGATTTAATTGGGAGGGGCCGGCTTTCATTTTTAAGTAGAAAAGGGCATGGGTTTTAATGAGACCACCCAGTGATATTCCAAAAGTGAGATGAATCTGGGACTCACTGCCATGTTAGAGCAATGAGAAGGGGGACCTTTTCAAGGAACTATAAGGAGCACCAGTGATGCATGTCAGAGAAAATCCAGAAGATTCTGGTAAGACAGGATCCAAGGGATGAACAATCTTAATGCCATAGCTAGGCCCAAGGCCTTCACTGAGTTTGGTTTTAATTTGGATCATAAACATTCAATTTATATCTAAAATTTAGTGATTTCTCTATTCCAGGAAAGTTTCAGCAAGTGTGTTTTCCTTGCAGATGGCTTTCCTGTAGAGAGACGTTCCCTTTATTTATTTATTTATTCTTATTTTTTGAGATGGAGTATTGCTGTCGCCCAGGATGGAGTGCAGTGGCGTGATCTTGGCTCACTGCAACCTCTGCCTCCTGGGTTCAAGTGATTCTTCTGCCTCAACCTCCCAAGTAGTTGGGATTACAGGTGCCTGCCACCACACCCAGCTAATTTTTGCATTTTTTTTTTTTTTTAGTAGAGATGGGGTTTCACCATGTTGGCCAAGCTGGTCTAGAACTCCTGACCTCATGACCCACCTGCCTTGGCCTCTCAAAGTACTGGGATTACAGGCGTGAGCCACCACGCCCAGCCTAACCTTCCCTTTAACCACAACCAGCTGGCCAGGACTTAAAACCTAAAATGTTCATTTCTTCCCAATGTCATCAGAAAACTGGAAAGAAACAGGGCAGAAGTCCTAATTTTCCTCCACTCTAAAATGTGTCTCTGTCTCTTCTTGAAGAGAAATCTGAGCCTATTATCCTAGAATATGAACAATATTTTCCATATCATTTAAATATGGACCCTATAAAGTAGTTAATCATTAGTTATTATCCTAATTTTTCATCTCTAGTTAAAGGACTTTTTAAAAAAGAAACTCAACACCACAAACATGACTATATATGGAACCCAGTCCTCTCTTGACTTAACTGACATGTCTAGTACAGAACACACACATTTTATTTGTTAGGAGACAGCCACGGGTCCCAGCGGCGGAACAGGTGGGAAAGCTCACGGAGAAGGCCAAGGCGTCTGTGACAGATTAAACACTAGCATTAGTGCTCCACTCCAGACCTTGGGAGTGACTCAACCGAGGCCAGGCAGTCAGCCGTCCAAACCATTCAGCCGTCCAAACCAAGAACTCCCTGTACTGCTCCCCAGGGTCTCTGTGCACTCCATTCTCCTTTGAAATGCTTTTATAGCGATGATAAACTGACTCCAAATTAAAAAAAAGCCCTGAAATGTATGGTCTCTGTTACTGACGAATGGGTTCAGATGTGTTTCTATTACAAATATGCATCCTGGCTCTTCAGATTGCTCTCCGGTGCCATGAAAAACATGTGCAGGTGCATCCAGAGAGAATCTGAGGCCAGCTAACCCTAGCAAGCAAAATACCATTGACCGAAGACCAGGTCTTTCCGGTCTCCTGATGCACATCTAGGCAGGGATTTCTAGGATCCAGACAACAACACTATCAGGCTGCGAAGAGGGAAATGGACTCCAAATTTCAGCTGTCTTCCACAGCATTTTGTGACTTCACCTTAGTCCCCAGGGAGAATGAAACCAGTCTGAATAGAGCTGCTGGCTTTTCAGGAGCTTAAACCATTGCACAAATATTGAATAGAGGTTGTGAGAGAGGCTCTAGGGTCAGCAAACCTTAGCAAATGTGCCTTCTTAAGAGGCAACGTGAAGCAGTAAAAGAATTGAGAAGCAGCGAAAAGATGCAGAGTCAGGTTTGAGTCCTGCTCTACCACTCTCCAGGAACCCTTTATCTTCTCCCTCTCTCCATCCTGGGATGATCATACGTGCTTTTGCAAGATTGTCTGAAGAATGAGAAGTAACTAACATCTCAAATGCCTAGCACAATGCCTGACACTTCACAGCAGCTCTTCTCATCAAAATCACTTTCACAGAACCAGAACCAGATCATGCGTCCACAAGGGAAGACGGGGCAAGAAGCAACACGCCCTCATTCAGCTTGAAATCCAACTGGAAGGCAATCCAGTAAGGATGGAAATGGCAGAGGCAAGCTGCTTAAATGGGAAGACGTGAAAATTCCCCCACCCTGAGTCTCTCTCTCTGTCTCTCTCTCTCTCTCTCTCTCTCTCTCACACACACACACACAGACACACACACACCCTCATGCACACCCTCTTTCTTCACAACCCAGCAAAACACTAGTAATTCCCCCACCCTGACTCTCTCTGTCTCTCTCTCCCTCTCTCTCACACACACACACACTCATGCACACCCTCTTTCTTCACAACCCAGCAAAACACTAGTAATTCCCCCACCCTGACTCTCTCTGTCTCTCTCTCTCTCTCACACACACACACACACACACACCCTCATGCACACCCTCTTTCTTCACAACCCAGCAAAAGCACTAGTACTGAAATGGCAGCCACACAGCAACAGGAGCTGATGCCCAAAGGAGGCCCCAGTTTGCTGCTCACCCACAATGTCTCAGTTCGTGTTCCCAGCATACTAATGATTCCCTCAATTGTTATTAGTTCATTCAGAACAAACAGTGGGAAAACTCAGTGACATTTCAGAGGGGAATACCAAATGAACTCGAGCTGAACCATCACATCAGCCCAAGGAGTGTGACGACGTGGGAATGAAACAATATAGGCTCCTGCCAGCACCGAGGGCAGACACAAAGCGTGGAATTCAGTGTGGCTAATTCCCCATAAGAGATTTCACAAGGGCCAGGTCCTCCAAAACATGAAAATCACATGGGCTCTTCCCAAAAAGGAAGTCATACACAATGCGTGGAAGGTTTGGGAGCGCTGGCTGGCCGGCTGCCTGGCCCTGGGATAAGTTGATCTGCACAGCCAGACCGGCAAGTATATGCAAATACACCAATAGCAAGGTGAAGCTGAGGGAGATGAAACTGTAAACACTGCACATAATGGCAATTGGCCAGAAGGTGCTTCTTGGTAGGACTATTCTTGAAGGAAAATATAGAAGGAAGAGTCAGCTTCCCTCATCCAACAAATCTCAGGACGAAACCTGTTTCTCCCTATCAGGAATCACTGACCACCTCTTCAGCGCCCAGCACTGGGATGACAGTTGTGGTTGATTCCAAAGAAAGGCAGCCCCTGCCCTGGAGGAGCCTACTGTCTGGTTGGGAATTCAGAAAAATAGCCCTTATGGAAAAGATGTGTTGTAAGAGTGTGCACCTCCCAAACCCACATCCATGCCTCGTTCCTTTGTTAGCCCAGCACCTCACATTGCTAAGTGACTGGCTAAATTGGAGAAATTGGAGGATGGCCAAGTTCAGACTTTCGTGTTATGTTGCCTAGATGTAAGAACTAAGCAAGGAGAAAGTCTGATAGAGCTACAGATGGTCAATCTTCCCAGGAAATGGGGAAAGAGGGTGAGATGTGATAGACAAAAGAGAACATTCCAGAAAGGAGGAGCAGCACATAAAAAGATACAGTATAAGAAAGTCTAATCCTATGTGTTGACTGGAATTACTGTTTCTTAATGTGTGGTCCACAGACCACCCACAGTGGATTTTGTCCTCGGCAACTGAATTCAAATCTCCTGAGCATGGAGCCCAAGAATTTGCATTTCTAATAACCACCAATGCTCTTTTAATGCACAAAAAAATTTAGCTGGCTAAGGGAACCCAAGATATAAACAGATATCTACTCTTCCCTTAAAGACAGGAAGAAAGAAAAGGAGGTAGGGAAGGAAAACGAGGAAGGAAGGAAGAAAGAAAAAGAAAGTTTTAAAATGTTAAAGTATAAAAAACCTGGGAAGAGAAGCCAGAACCCCCGGCCAGCCTTTGCAATGACTGTTGTGTGACATAGAGACAAACCTGAAGAGCGTCCACGGCACATGTTTACAGATGATGAAAGGCCCTCCAAGCCCTTCATTAGCAGATTTTTGCTCTATCCCAGGGCAATGAAGTGCTAGCATAGGTCCCCGACCCGAAGAGTGACAGCGTCTCCATCTGGCATAAGTCTGTGAGGTAGAAAGCACAGGAAAGATTGTTGGCAGGGAAGCAATCTCAGAACACTTGCCGCCAACAAGAGGTGAAGTCCCCGAAGGCCTAAAGCAGGCAGGGAGGTTTTCAATGAACTACAGGACTAGATCATCTGTTATTGTACAGCTAACACACCTCAATTTACAGAACTCCAACCATTCTCAGAAGAAAAGGGGTGTGTCATCCTGGAGACGTGCATTTCCACCGCTCATCAATGCCCGGCCCTTGCTCCATCCCTATCCCCTCTCTGTTTTCTCAGCATCTTCTCTGACTTCAGCAAACCCTTGCATCCTAATTTTTTAAAAGCCATTTCTCTTGATGTGCACTGCCTCAGCTGACCGTCCTGGGTCTCTCCTTCCCTTTTATAAACAAATTCTTTGGAAAGATTTTCCGTATTCTTGTCTCCACCCATTATCTTCAGACCACAGCAGGCTGCCTCTGTCCTCATCATTCTGTTGACTCTGCCCTAAGACTCCAGTAACTCGAGAATGAGCAAATCTAACAAGCACCTATCATTACAACTTTACCTGCACCTCTCTGTGATATTTGCCTTCACTCTTTGAATTTTTCTCCTCACCTGTCTTCCACGCTGTCACTTTCATGGTTTTCTTTAAATGTTTTGTAAGAGAAAAATCATCTTCTCTGGTCCCCTTATTTTCCTGCCCCTTAAATGCTGCTGTTCCTCAAGGTTCAATCATTCAATGTCTGTCTTCTCCCCTTGCATAGCTAATCTCCTTGGGTGATTTCATCTGGTATCTATTACTATTACCGTGTAACAAATGATCCTCAAATTTAGAAGCTGAAAACAACCATTTTATTATGCTCACAGATGCTACGGGTCAGCAAATCAGAAAGAGCACAGTGAGGGTGACTCCTCTCTGCCCCACAATGTCTGCAGCCTGAGCTGAGAGGACTCAGAGGCTGAGAGGGATGTAAGGACTGGATGGAGACTGTGTCGTGAACTGAATGTTTGTGTCCCCCCAAAAAATTCGTATGTTGAAACCCTAATCCCCAGTGTGATGGTATTAGGCAGTGGGGCCTTTGGGATGTAATTAGGTTTAGATAAGGTCATGAAGGTGAAACCCCCATGATGAGATCTGTGTCCTTTTAAGAAGAAGAAGGGATTAAATAGAGCTTTCTCTCAAGGACACAGCAAGAAGGCAGCCATCTGCAAATGAGGGAGAGGGGCCTCACCAGGTTCTCAATCTACCTGCACCTTGATCTTGGACCTCTAAGGCTCCAGAACTGTGAGAAATGAAAGCCTTTTGTTTAAGCCATGCAATCTATGGTATTTTGCCATAGCAGCCTGAACTGGCTAAGACACACTGGAAAGAAGAATCTTTTCTCACAGGTCTGGTGCCTAGTCTGGGGTTACCAATAATAGTACCAATATGTGACCTCCTCATGCAGCCCGGGCTTCCCCACAGCGTGGCACCTCAGAGCTCTTACACGGCAACCAGGCATTAGACACAAGTGTTACAATCAGCAAGGCAGCAGCTGCATTGCTTTTCCTGACCTAGCCTCAGAAGTCTCACCTCATTTCATTAGTAATATAAGAGTCACACCTCTATGCAAGTTCAAGGAGAGAAGACATAGCCTCCATTTCTTGAAGAGTGTCAAAGGATTTGCAACCACTTTTTAAAAAATGTCTAACTTATAGCCATAGATTCTACTATAATTCCAAAATCTTCATCTCAAGCCCAGATCTCTAGATTTATATCTCCAATTGCTTATAATAATAATAGCCAATGATTACATGTATAAAGCGTGTGCCAAGCACACTTCAGGTATTTTGTTATTAACTCAGGTAAACTGCACAGTAACTCTAGGAGGCAAATACTATCACTATCACCATTTTAACAAAGATGGTAAATAACTTGCCTTAAGATCACACAGCAAATACAATGGATCTAGAATATCCAGACTGGCAGTCTGGCTCCAAATCTTTTAGTCTTTTAACCAGTACACTATATGGCACAGATATTCTACAGGTGTCAAAATCAGCACGGCCAAAATGGTGCTCTAACCCACCATTCCCTAATTAAAACAAAAATAGCTTGTTGTATTTCTTACACATTTTCTCCTTGTTCATAATTCCACCATTCATGTAAAATCCAACGGGGAAGTCTGGGAGCCATCCAAATCTCCTAACCACTCCTAATCCCCCATGTGAGATTTGTCCCCAGATTGTGCCAATTAACCCCTATGTGATTCCCATATCTGCCCACTCTGCTCCATCCTCATTGCCCCAATCGATATCCTCCACTGGATTGTTGCAGTAATTGTTCATGGGACGCCCTGGGTTATCTCCTTCAATTGTGCTTCAGCCTCCCACCTCCCAGAATGATGCTTGTAAATGCAAATTTGATTATTATTCATGTTGCTTACAATTCTTCAAAGGCTCTCAATAGTCAAAACCTTATTGTAACGTATGAAATCCTCTCTACTAATATGGCCACTGACTACTGTGATCCTTGTCTCCTGTCTCTACCCAATGGGCTAGGCTCTATCCATACCACATTACTTGCTATTTCCTAATGGGTCATCAGTTTCTTCCCTCCCTGTGACGGCACATCCTATACAGTTCTTCTGCCTTGAATGTCCTCCCTCCTGTGCCCCTCCCAACTCCAGCCACTTGCAACATTCTCTTACCCTTCAAGGTCCACCTCTGACACCCCTTCCTCTAGAACCTGGACACACACCCCAAGGAGAGTTGATTACTTCATTCTTATTAACACTGTCCCCGTTTCCAAAGAAAAAAACAAATGAGGCCGGGCGCGGTGGCTCACGCCTGTAATCCCAGCACTTTGGGAGGCCGAGGCGGGTGGATCACGAGGTCAGGAGATCGAGACCATCCTGGCTAACACGGTGAAACCCCGTCTCTACTAAAAATACAAAAAATTAGCCGGGCGTGGTGGCGGGCGCCTGTAGTCCCAGCTACTCTGGAGGCTGAGGCAGGAGAATGGCCTGAACCCGGGAGGCGGAGCTTGCAGTGAGCCGAGATTGTGCCACTGCACTCCAGCCTGGGCGACAGAGTGAGACTCCATCTCAATAAATAAATAAGTAAACTTAAAAAAAAATCAAAGTCATGCAAAAAGAACCTCTTCTTAGAACAGTACCCAAACCCAAAGCAGGATTTTCTAGGACCATTTAGGATGCAGCCAGTGCTTCTTCCTTAGAATTCTCCCTCCCAGCTAGTCTCACCTCTACCTTAACAGTCACTTCTGAGCACTTTCCTGCTGGTCTCCGTGAAGAGCAGGATGTAGGAAAACTGCCCATCTCATGTCCCTGCTTTCCACACTCTCTGCAAAGCCTTAGGAACTCATCAAGCCTGGGTGACAGATTAAGACTCTGTCTCCAAAAAAAAAAAAAAAAAACAAAAAGAAAGAACTCATCAGATATTATGTGGATATTGTATAGATATTGGCTACATCTAAATGATGCCAAAATGACCAGCAAAAAGGCAAAGAAAAAATCAGCTGTTTATATAAGCCAGCTCGTGAAGTAAGGTAAAAACAATTACTATAATTACACAACACCAAATGACTTGTCTGATTTTTTTTTTCTGAATGGACCTCTGTGTGTGTGCACGTGTATGTCTGCACCACGCAGACAGAGCCAGCAGCTGACTGAAGAAATGTGCTCTGCAGTGATACAGCCACAGCCCAAACAGGCAGTCAGCAGGACACACAATGTTCAGCTCCTCGATGGTCCAGCATAGATGGGGCACTGGGAAATGTGTGGAGCTAGAAAGTGCTTATCCCCTGGGACTTTTATGTAATCCACCACAGCGGACAAAGTAATGCCCATCCTACCTTTGTGATTTACATTTGCCCAGGCTGGTTCGCTTTGCTTACTGCTTACTGCTTACTGCTTTCTGCATCTCCTTTCTCTTTCCTCCATCAGTCTTAAAACTGCTTCCAAACAGACTGCCCTCTTAAAAGTCTGCTGCAGCTCTGTCCTCCTGGACCAATACGACCCTATCATATGGGGCATTAAGTCCAAGACCCTTATTCTTGAGTGTTTAAAGCATTTCTTATTTCTCTTCCCTCATTCTCCCCTCTCCCTTTGGGAATCACAACATCCCAACGCGTAACACCAGAAATACTTGAGTCCACACTGAGACTACCACAGGACCCCGGCCAGACTCTCCTGCACTTTGGGAGGCTGAGGTGGGAAGATTGTTTGAGCCCAGGAGTTCAAGACTAGCCTGGGCAACAAAGTGGAGACCCGGTCTCTAAGAAAAATAAATAAATAAAATAAAAATTTAAAAGGACATTAAGTAATTTGGCCAAAGCCGCAGAGGTCGTAAGTAAATATTAACGCACTCGAAACTGCTAAATAACTTATTGTATCGATGATGCTCGTTTTAATTGAAAGCATGGAGGCTGTGGTCTGGCTGCTTTCGCTTCCAACAAAGTGCACTGCTGCGCTCCAAGCAGAAGATAAACAGGGAGACAGGTGTGACTTCAAGAGAGCGACGGACGCTGTAACCCGAAGCCCCCGCGCCCGCCGCGGCCCGGGAGGCTGCCCCAGCCGGCCGGGCTGCGCACTCCCGCGGGGCTGGCGCGGCTCTCGCTTCCAAAGTTGGAGCTCTCCGGGGTGGGAGGGGGCGGGGAGGACGGCGGGGCGGTGACGTCACCCCCAGCGGGGATAAAGCGCCCCCGCCCGGGTCGGGGCCAGGACGCCGCCCGGCGCGGAGTGGCTGCCCTGCGCGGGGACACTTAGAGCCCGGTGGGCGGGAGGAAGGCGGCATGCCCCAGACGGTGATCCTCCCGGGCCCTGCGCCCTGGGGCTTCAGGCTCTCAGGGGGCATAGACTTCAACCAGCCTTTGGTCATCACCAGGGTAGGTGTCGGCATTCTTGCTTTTGCTGCGAGGTGGGGACTCCGGCGGCGTCCGGGGGGACGCAGTGGATGCCCCGGGGCCGAGGGCGGCCAGAAAGCGCGCGAGGGCGGGCGGACGGGGCGCTGCTGGCTCCCGGGCTTCGGCGCCCAGCTCCGGGGGCGGCGGCAACTCCGTCAAGTGGCTGCGGAGCGGCTCAGAGATTTGACAAAGTCCGCTCTAAAGGTGTCCCATCCTCTGGGTCCGCAGCGACTTTCCGAGGAGAGCCACTGGGCTCAGGGAAGGCGAGGCTGCCAGGCTCGAGTGCCTCCTCCCCTTTAGGTTTTAAATGTTTTATATGTGATAACAGAAATAAAACACACCCCATCGCCCTTCCGTAACAAATGATGGGTCCCGGGTGGGAGAGGCGAGGGACTGGCACCCCCCGGCATTCCCTGGAGCTGGCGCGCATCTGAGCGTTTTTCTCGTCCGGATGAAAAGTTCAGCAGCGCGCTGTTCGCGGGGCACGACCTGCGTTGGCCAAACTGGAGCCGCTCCTATCAGCCCAGACAGGGGAAGTCTTCCTAATGCTCACTCCTCAGTTTCCAGGCATTTTGAGCACGTTTTCCAAAGCTGAGAACTTGGCTTAGGAATTACCAACTTCTAACTCTAGCTACAAAGAAAACGTGGCAGACAGTTTAGTTTACCTGATGCAAAGTAAACCACTCAGCCTAAAACGGAAAATAATGCTTTAATGTCAAAGTCAAGCTTTACTTGGTGTTCTCTACTGTCTAATGAGAAAACAAGGTAAAAATAAAACCTCAGGGTTTCTCTCCTGTCAGTAAATTTGTAGAATTAATTCTAAAGCATTATTTGGTCTAGCTGGTTTTTTTCTAACACAATGTTTTTCTTCATAGAAAATTAATGTATTATTTCAGTTATCACATATAAAACATTTAATACCTAAAGGCGTAAACTTCCAGAATATTATACTTTTAGTTGCAGAGTATTATACTTTATTTTCTTGTATTCTTCTCATGCCATATTTTATAATTGTATGTGTTATAATCTGATTGATCTGCTCATACAGATTTTGAACAAGGTAATACCTTTTAAATTCTGTTTTATTTATATATGCCTATGAGATTTGGGAACCAACATCCTTTTAAAAATATGTCAAAATGTGTATCCTACAGACGCATACAATGGAACGTTTCAAGCCTTGTTTTACATTTTTCAAAAACATATAAACACATCTGACGTGTTTTTATATGAAACATGAAAACTGTTCAACATACCCCCAAAAACGTTCCTAAGTAAAGTAAGCAGAAAATGCTTCAGTGACCTGGGCCAAGCAATTCCTATTATAGATTTACCAACAAAAACAGTTTCCGTTATATCTACTAAGAAATGTTTTAGTTTCTGGAGTATGGTTTTTATTTAAATTGAATAAGCTTTTGAATCCTAACACAGAATAAATCATATTTATATTAAATTCTAACCAAAATAATTTTGTCACGAAAACTTTTAAGGTGTTTATAAAAGAAATATTTTGCTATTATAGTATAATCGTATGTCAATATAATTAATCATATGCTTGAAATTTTGAGTTGTTGACATTATAAATGTTTATTTTAAAGCAGTACTTACATTCCAGAGTTGGACTACAATAGCTATTGGTAAATATATTTGATATAATGGCAGTTATTATTAGGGAAACCAATTCTATCTGGAATTCCTAACTCATAACTAATTTGTATCACTCATTTTTGACATTTGGTTCAATAACAGTTTATGACCAAATATGATTTCACTTGATTATGGCTTTTCTCTTTAATTAATTCTAGGACAGCAGGTAAAACCAAATCATTTTTGTATCCCAAGTGTCCCCAAAGCCAGGTATATAGTAGATTCTTATTGAATAAATAAGAACATTTATTTATTCAATAAGAACTTTTATGCTTTAGTGAACACCTAATTCAGAATATTTTCACTGAAATGATAAGAATATTGAAATTTGTTAAGGAAAAGAATAAAAAGTATTACAGAAAAGTATTACAGAAAAATAACTATCAGTATTGTTAAATGGTGAATTGTTGTACTGCTTTTAACATTTTAACACCATTTTGAAAGGCAGTGTGTGAGGTTGTAAGTGTGTTATTGTACTCTCTTGCTTGCCAGGCATTGATGGGAACCTTTTATGTGCACGAACTCACTGAAATCTCACAATAATCTTTAGGAGAGTAGCAGTAGTGACATCCCCTTTTGCAAATGAGGAGAATGAGGCTTCAAAAGATTTATTAACCCGCCGATGATCACAAGCAGTGGGACAGGCTCTGACGCTAGGTCTGTGTGCCTCCAAAGCCTGCATTCTGAAGGCCACATGTGAAAATGGACACCTGTTCCAATATTTCTAAAGAGTTGTTTTGTGCCATCCTGTTCATCACTGGCCTTATTGATGCTGTCTTCAACATCTGCCACTTTCCATTTTTTCTACTACTGTCCCTCTTCAAGATTTCCTAGCTCCACGCCTAGACATTTGGCTCCCCCGTCCAATTCACACAGCATATTCTTACCGTCTCTGGAAAATGCCAAATTGCTCCTTTCTCATTCTTAAAAATCCTTCAGCGGCATCACTTGTTTGTAGAGAGTGAAATGCGTGTCTTTGCACAACATTCATGACTTTTCACCATCTCCTATCCCAATTTGAGTTGCTAACTTCATTTCTTTCCTCTCCCTTTGTTGTCTCTCCCTTTCCTCCCCTTGTTCCACACGTAGGCAGTGGTACCGCCCTCTGGACTACTTACGATTTCCCTGACGTGTCTTTGCTCCTGATACCATTTTTCCCCACACCACACCACTGTCCTCTGTGCCTGTGGAAACCACTCAAATGCCTCTCCCCAAGCCTTCTTTCAGTAACAACCATCTCATCCGGTTGATTACTGTAGCTTTCGGCCTGTATAACCCCTCCTTATGTCATGCCTGTACCAGATGTTCCACTGCATCTGTATCCCACCAGATTGCACATTCCCCGAAGGCAGAAACCTTCTAATCTGGGGGCCATTCAGGGCCTAGCACAGTGCCTAGTAGAGCATATGTGTTGTAGAATAAATATAGACACGGTATGAATGATTGACTAGATTGTTCCCTTTTTACATGACTTTATTATAAATAGGTATAGAATGTGTTCTCAAAAATATTTCACAAAAAGATAAGTGAGAATTGTTTTATTGTGAGTTGATTTGTCATGTTTTTGTTTTGTTTTGTTGAGACAGAGTCTCGCTCTGTCTCCCAGGCTGGAGTGCAGTGGCGCGATCTCGCCTCACTGCAACCTCTGCCTCCTGGGTTCAAGCGATTCTCCTGCCTCAGCCTTCCAAGTAGCTGGGACTACAAGCACCCGCCACCATACCCAGCTAATTTTTTTTTTTTTTTTTTTTTTAGTAGAGATAGGGTTTCACCATGTTGGCCAGGCTACTCTCAAACTCCTGACCTCAGGCGATCCGCCCACCTCAGCTTCCCAAAGTGATTACAGTCGTGAGCCACCACGCCTGGCTGATGTGTCAGTTTTAAATAAGTTCTTAATATACAAAGAATTGAAATACCAATATCTACACTTAAAGCCACAAAAAGTCCCATAAACGAGATGTGTTTAATCGAGTCCCCATTAAATCAGCTTTTGTCCTCCTACAAGCTATACCCTTCACTCCCCGCCTCACACTATACAAATACAGACGACAGCAATACTGCTAGACAATGGGGCTCCAACCAGAGTTTGTAGGAGAGTGACAAATATGACTGCCTCCATCAATTGAAATTACAGTTCACAAAATTAGGACACAGGGCCCTCATGCCCGTAATTGTTTACAATCCAAATAGCCAGATGAATCTTTGTATTATAAAAAAATCAAAAGTAAGGTAAATCAAACACCAGACATTCTCAAAACAAATTTTTAGCAACTGGTTGTGATAAACACAATTTTTAGGAAAGCAGTTTCTAGGCAATAAGTGTGATAGACCTTGTGCAATATAAAATTTCAGTTTTGGATGTTCAGTTTAGGGGAGGGAGTTGTTAAACACCGTGTATAACTGGCCTAAGCATTTCACAGAAGAATTTGAAGGTTCACTTCTTCAAGTGAGCATCTTTTCTTTTTATAAGAAGCTTCTAAAGAGTCTAAGTTTTTGGACCATCCAGAAGCTAGATCTACTCTCACAGACAAGTTGCAAATCGTTTGCTTTGACAAGATTTCAATATGGAATATAGTAATCCCCTCTCATCCACAGGGGACACATTCCAAGACCCCCAATGGTTGCCTAAAACCTACATTAGTACCAAACCCTATATATATATACGTGTGTGTGTGTGTGTGTGTGTGTGTATGTGTGTGTGTGTGTGTGTGTTTCTATGCATGCATACCTATGATAAAGTTTAATTTATAACTTGGGCACAGCGCTCTTGCACTTTGGGGCCATTATTAAGTGAAATAAGGGTTGCTTGAACCCAAGCACTGCAATACTGTGACAGCCGATCTGATAACTAAGACTTCGAAGTGATTTACAGGTGAAGAGTGCAGCATAGACAAGGTGGATACGCTGGACAAAGGGATGATCCATGACCCAGGTGGGACAGAGTAAGACTTCATCGCGCTACTCAGCACAGCTGCAATTTAACACTTATGAGTTGTTTACTTCTCAAATATTCCAATTACTATTTGTAGGCTGCAGTTGGTCTCGGATAACTGAAACTGCAGAAAATAAAACCGTGAATAAGGGGAGGCTAGTGTACAGGGCAAGCTTCTTTTGTGTACATGATATAAAATGATTGTCTATATCTGATGCCAGTGTGTCTTTTCTCACTAAAATGTCTTCCCCCTCTTCACTCCTCCCTCCTTCCTATGCAGAGCACATCCAAGATCAAGATTATTATAACTGAGAATGCTATATGAGCTTGAGTACCAATATAGAAAAAGTTAGTGTGTTCCTAATTTGTACAGGCTTTAAGATAGAACAGTGTATGACTTTAACATAAACTACTTTTGAAATTTCATGTAATATAAACTACATTTGAAGTTTAAACTTTTAGAAAGGACTGTTTGCAATGGAATGCAATTCTTTTCCAGGGTAAAACACAAATGTAGTGGAAAGGTTGATGTAAATAAAAACCTGTTCAATTTTGTTCTAACACAGACCGTGTCTACGTGGAAGTACTGGTTCATGTGTAACTCATACATCCCACAAGCATCTACTGTGTGCAGAATGTCTCGTATGTGAAAGACACTGTGGGCATATAACTGTGGCTTAGATGGGCTTCTAACCCCTGAGAAGATAATATATCAGCAGAAAAAAAGGAACATGTATATGAACTGCCATCACACAACCTATCCAGAATTCCACAAGAAAAGTATGGTCAAAGAGCTAGGAGGTGTTGAAGGAAAGATTACCTGCAGGAGAGGCAATGCGAGATGATAGAAGATTCTGAGCTATAGAGCGAGGCGGACCCAGATGGGAATTTCAGGTTTTCTCGGGATGTGGGACCCTAACCAAGCTTCTTATACTTTCCAAGCATCCATTTTCTCATTTTAAAAAAGAGATAACTATGTTGTAAGATTGTCTTAAGAATTATGTGAGATAATAGTTCTCAATAGTAATACGGTGATGGTTCCCAGCCCTGGCAGCATGTTAAAGCCGCCCATGTGACTTCTGAACACAGCCATGCCCAGGTGCATGCAGAGATTCTAATATAACCGGTGTGGGGTGTGGCTCTAGAAATGTCTTTGGCAGGCAGGTGCTGCAGGGCTGTGGATGCCAAGGAGGCACGCGGAGTCTATTTGCTAGGGATGGAGAATGAACAATGGGGTTTCTCATGATTTTGGTCCGTGCCTACCGTGCAGTGCTTCAGTGTGTGCTTGTCTTGCTCCATAACTATTTCAGTCGTTTTTATTAACAGAAACATCATCTCAGGACCATGTCTTGGGCTTGCCTTACGTCTCCACATAAATAGGACATTATAGATGCTTTATCTGTGTTTTCAGTTAGCTTTTTTTTCCCCAACAGATCCAAGTAATATAAGTTGATGTGAATAACAGAAATCATCTGAGGCGCTTGTTGAAAGCATAAATTCCCTGGCTCCTCTCCTAGAGATTCTGTTCCTGATTCCGAGCATCTGGAATAGGACTGGAGCCTTTAACGTTCAGCAAGGGCCCCAGGTGATTCTTATAATCACACAAGTTTGAAAACATGGTGCTAAGTGATTCACTGCAGTACCGTGTTCAATGATCTCTCTGGTACTTTTGATATTTGAGACCCTAATGAACCTAAATAAAAAATAATCCGCTGACAAACACTATGCCTCATTTCAGCTCTCTCTTCTAATTTGGGAAAACAGTAATAAACTGTGCATGCTAATACAAAGTAATATAATAAGGAAAGAATATAATAATGCAATAAAGTAATAATATAAAGTAATGCAGGGAAAACAGATCGTTTAACTTAGTAAAATCAGGCCAATTTCGCAGTCATTTTCTGATCACTGGGCTCGCTGAACTTGAAAACGAGGAAAAAGTAAAGACATCATGTTTTCTCCTTCTCTCTCATTCCTCTCTCTATTTCCTTTTTCTCATCAACTGTCTCCTTAGAGGTCTCAGGACAGCAATAACCAGGTTGAATACAAAATGAGAAGTGGGATCTGGCCATCACTATCAACCACCTGTCCTAGCTGACTTCTGAAGGAGCTGGTGACATAGCTGTACAGCTGCTCAGCAGCAAAGCCGCAGGTTACTTAGACACCTCTTCTCCTCTGAAAGCCAGAGCCAGTTTTCCTTGTCCAGCCTGTCTTAGAGAGTTGTAATGGTCAAACGTGTGAGAAGGAGCTTTGCAAATGTAACATTTTGCATAAGTATAAGATGGTATTATTTAGTATTAATATTGTTAGTAAATTTTAGTAATATTCAGTATCTAAGATATTCAACTTAGATATCCAATAGTTATTCATTATCTAAGTCCAATATCAGGGGTATGGCTCTAGATATCAATAGATATTGGACTTAGATAATGAAAAGCTATTGTTCAGATGTGTGTTTAAAATTAGTGTGGACACATGCAGAAACAAACCCCCACTCATCCCACCTTACACTCATCCTAACCAGAGCTAAAAGAAAAGTTAGACTTTTCCAAATCAGAATTGAGTATTACATAACTTAACTCTATTAAGGTATATTAGAAAAGCTAAGTTAGGCTCTAAAAGCAAATATGTTGAGATACACCTGCTTGTGTGTTTTGTTTGTTTGTTTGTTTGTTTTGTTTTGTTTTTGGTGAGAGGAGGAGGTCTACCTCTGTTGCCCAGGCTGGCGTGCAGTGGTGCAATCATAGCTCTCTGTGGCCTCAAACTCCTGGGCTCAAGCAGTCCTCCTCCCTCAGCCTCCTGAGCAGCTGGGACTACAGGTGTGCACCATTATGCCTAGCTTTTTAAAAATATATTTTTTTGTAGAGACAGGGTCCTGCTATTTTGCCCAGGCTGGTCTCAAACTCCTAGCCTCAAGCAATCCTTCCACCTCAGCCTCCCAAAGCACTGGGATTACAGGCATGAGGCATCATGCCTGGCCCTGTGTTTTAACTCAAAGAAAATTATTCTAGTCTTAGACATTTAAAAATAGAAAATACTGATTTTGACAAATGAGAGAAAATTAAAAGTTTAAGATTATTTTTATCCTTACAAGTCACTTTGGGGATGGAAACTTTTGTTCTACTAACAGTTCTGGGTCTGAGAATGTTTCTAAATGGAAAACGGCTATGAAATGCCTCCCAAAGGCTAAGATATAATAATCCCCAGTTGTCTTCACCCAGCTTCTATTAACTGTTCCTACTGGGAAATCATTGTGATAGCTACAGTGAGGTGATCATAGAAATAAAGTGAGTACAATAAACATTTTAGTAATGAGACAGAAGATCCAGGACACAAGACAACTTATTATTTTAGCAATTTTTATTTATTCAGATGAACTTGTATCTTCCTTAGAACCGCAATTAGATAGCTAGAATAAGCAAATAAAGAAAAAGCAAATGAATTACTGATCCCTAAATAAAGCATTAGAAATAATCTAGTTTCTTCCTGGAGCAGTTTGAGATTTGATAGTAGTATGTATTGTTCTGCTCTAATAGAAACTCACAAACATAGCAATGACAAGTTGACATTAAAAGCCATAATCTTTGGGTATATAGGGACTAGTTCTTTTTTATATAAGCTCTGACAAATGCTTTTTAATTGATTCTTCAATTATTCTAAATACTGGGGTATACACTGTGAAGTATTAAAAATATACATCATATTGTACATATCCTCAAGAGCATCCAGTCTAGTTGGGAAGACAGACAATACACGAGTAAATAAACAAACATAAAAGTACAAATAACTTTCATTAAGGAAATAGGATGTAATGGTGAAAAATGATGAGGGGAGGACTAGAGAAGCTACTTCAGATGTTTGGCGAAGTCTTTCTGAGAGTGCAGCATTTGAACCTAGACCTAAAGGTTGAGAAGGAGTGAAGAGTAAGGGAAGCATTTCAGGCAGAAATAAGAGTGCATGAGAACCCCCAGAAAGGGCACAAGCTTGGCCTACATGAGGAACTAAAAGGAAATCAGAATGGCCACAGCACCATGGATGAGGGAGAGCAGGAATAATGTAAGATGATATGAGAGAAGTAGGCAAGGTAAGACCCATGTGAGGTCTAGACAGAGGTGTATAGTTGGGATTTGCCCAGAAAAATTGGGAGTAGGTATACTGGTCAAAAGAATCATTGACTTTAACTGAATATTCAACAGTAATAATTACAAACTTCCTATTTTTAAATATTTTAAATTATGGGAAACCATATTTTTCCCATATTCTGTATTCTTAAGTATTTCTTTTATTCCTGCCCCTGAAAAACATGTGGACAGCATAAAATTGGATCTCACTTCTTCACCTAGTTTGATAGTCTCTGTTTTTTAAGTGATGTGTTTAGATGATTTACATTTAATGTAATTGCTGCTATGGTTTAATTAAAATCTACTGTCTTGCTAGTTTGGTTTCATCTGTCCTTCATTCGTGGAGAAGAGACCATGAGTGAATACAAACTTCCTTTGTCTCTGGTTTCCGGGAGTTCTGTACGCTCATGTTAACTCACACTGGATCTTTAGCAATTTGTTAATAATTTTAGCTGAATTCTTCATAACAGCTAGTATGGGAGCCCCATCTTCCTCCATGCCCTGCTCCATGCAGGTGAGCCTGTGCTCATGTCTTGCCTTTGCTTGAAGGCACCTGTCTTTCCTTAGATTTCAAGTTTATTGCCCTGTGACTTTAGCTCTCTGAAGGGTTCAAGAGAAGTTATAATTTTGTGTATTATCTGGCCTCTTCTTGTTAGTCTCTACAGATTTCTAAACAAAGTGCAATAGACTGGGTGGCTTATAAGTAACATAAATTTATTTCTCACTGTTCTGGAGACCGGAAATCCAAGGTTAGGATACCAGCATGGTTGGGTTCTGGTGAGGAAACTCTTCTGGGTTGCAGACACCTCACTTGTTATTGTTTCCTCCTTATTGGAGGCAAGAGAGCTGAGAGCTCTCTCTGAGGCCTTTTTCATAAGGGCACTAATCCCATTCATGAGGGCTCCTCACTTCTGACCTAATTACCCCCCAAAAGTCCCTCCTCCAAATACCATCACATTGTGGTTAGGATTTCAACATTTGAGTTTTGGGGGGAGATAAAAAGTCCATTGCATGCCTCTTACGTGAATTTTAAAGATGATAAATAGTAAGGATTGCTATATTTGGATTGAAAGCAGTTTCAACCTGAATGTAAAAGATGCCTAAATATAGTAAAACTCTATTCCCAAATAGAGACTTCTGGGTGATGAAAAATAAAAAATAATTTTTTAAAACAAAAAAATGTATGATTCACACTGGGAATTATGTAAGATGTTTTAAAAGAGAGTAACAGATACAAGGATATGAAATGTGGTTAGTAAGAAACAAAATCATTCAGCAGGATGAGAAAATAGACCTAACTCAACTGACCAACTAAGAGTTATCTTTAGTTAGATTTACAGTCTTTCTGCCCAATTAAACATTTAAAATGTTACCAGGCTGAAACACAAATGTCAGGCACAAAACTCAAGATACTGCGGGATGTTGGTTTTTAAATAGTGCCATGATTTCTTCCAGATTACACCAGGAAGCAAGGCGGCAGCTGCCAACCTGTGTCCTGGAGATGTCATCCTGGCTATTGACGGCTTTGGGACAGAGTCCATGACTCATGCTGATGCGCAGGACAGGATTAAAGCAGCAGCTCACCAGCTGTGTCTCAAAATTGACAGGTGCTTCTTAACTAATGGTGCTTAAATCTGATCTGTTTTGCAGGAGAACCTGAACCAGAACTATAAATAACTTCATCCTCCCAGCAAGGAGGGCCACAGACCTAGTATTTTGGCTGACTTTTTATATATTAGCTACTTAATTCTTTACTAAAGTCAGTCAATCTAGCAGTTGTTGACAAATCATTTCTAAAAAGGATTCTCTGGAATGTTAGAATAATAAAAGAGGCTAAAAGAATTTGTTCCAGTAATAACCCGGTTAATTAACTATGAAAATAGAACTATTAGCCACATAAACACTGAACAACACAACTAGTTATATCACTGTTCTCAGTGTGGTAGAGAATGGAATGGAATGGAATGGAATGGAGAGATTCCCCTGAAATAATCTCTTGACTTGCCTGACTGTAATTATATTAAAACTGGTTGCTAATATCCTGTCTGCCATTGGCTGTTTTGTACAGAATTCAGCCCAGAAGAATGTTACAGGTGTGAGAGTGCATATGCACGTGGGCATGTGAAATACTGAGATGTTTCTGACCCCACCCCCCAAAAACACTAAGAAATTGAGCCTGATCTCTTGCCATCAGATCCCTGATCCAAAACTGAACCATGATAATAATAATTTGTTATAGTGGTTGTTAGTGTGTGTTTATCCTGTTATGATTGTACTCACAGTTTTCCGTGCTGTGGTACAGAAGGATCAATCAATCCACCAATCTGCCGTTTCCTTGGGGTGAAATAGATTCTTTCACTCTCTATGCATAACCTGTGTTCATGCCGAGCACACAGTCCCTTAGGAGCCACTAGGTCCCAGGCAGATGCATGAGAAGGGTTGGACAAAGCACATTTCCTTGATGCCAGTAACACATCCACCTGGCAGATCACTCACTGTCTTCTGCAGTGGCCTCAGTAGGACTGGAGGGAAGTAGGGAGGTCTAGGGAGCTTGCCTGGTGGTCATCTGCAGAGTGTGCCTGCAGAGTCTCCCTCTCCTGTTTCCCACATGCCTTGCAGGCCTCCTTCCTCCAGAAACTGTGCAGTGTACTCCAGGCAATTTTTATCTAGTCTGCCATACCCAAAAGGACATTAAAAATGTACGACTTCGGCCGGGTGTGGTGGCTCCCGCCTGTAATCCTAGCGCTTTGGGAGGCCGAACTGGGCGGATCACTTGAGGTCCAGAGTTCATGACCAGCCTGGCCAACTGGTGAAACCCCGTCTCTACTAAAAATACAAAAATTAGCCAGGCATGGTGGTGGGCACCTGTAATCCCAGCTACTCGGGAAGCTGAGGGAGGAGAATCGCTTGGACCCAGAAGGAGGAGGTTGCAGTGAGTCAAGATTTTGCCACTGCACTCCAGCCTGGTTGACAGAGGGAGACAACATTAAAAGAAAAAAAAAGGGGGGGGGAAGACTAATTATGTGGGAAAATACAGAATAATCAGCAAAAAAAAAAATTGTTTTTGCATAAGTTAGTGAGGTTTGCTAGTATTTTCACAAACATAATGGGAAACTAAAGTATGCTAAAACTGAAAGTACCATTAGAATTTGAAGTTTACAAATTTTATTTTATTTCCAGGGGAGAAACTCACTTATGGTCTCCACAAGTATCTGAAGATGGGAAAGCCCATCCTTTCAAAATCAACTTAGAATCAGAACCACAGGTATGCGTTTTAGAGCAAATGATACACATTGTATTTCCTTTTAAATCATGGGGATGCCTTCCAAGGGGAGGAAGAGACAAATAGAAAAATTGGAACAAGCCACCTATGAAGCTGTTGTCTGTCATTCCTCTCCGAGATTAATTTATATTATCCGTGTTTTCTTACATCAAGAAAAAGAAGTGTTCCTATGTGAACATCTTGTTGAAAGACAAAATATGCTCCCATCAGAAAGAATTTGGCTAAATCTACAGAGTCCACTTATTATTTTTTCATTTCTTATAATGGACTTCTGTGAAATGACCGTGAGGTAATCTAAGGAGTTTAAGTTGTTAAAACAAAGCAAAGCAAAAATAAGGTCTACCATTTGAAACAGGTGTCTCCAATCTACGGTTACTGTGAATTTCAGTCCTTCGAGGTCTTCACCCAGATCTCATTCTACATTCTTCTTTAATTCTCATTTCTGGGATTCTGTAATTAAATTTACTCTAAGAAAAGAGTGTTGCCTAGTGTGATGATGGTGATATTCTGCCGTTACAGCTGAATTATAAAAGATAAAGGATTTTCTCTGGAGGCAACTGTAATAAACTAAACTAATCATCTGATGCTTATCTATGTCTACTTTCAAAAGGCCCAAAAAACCTGAAATTAAATCAAATCTTGATTGTGATGTACTCATAAATCTAATTAAGAAAAGCATTTTATGACCTCTACATAGAAGCTCTAAAGGTTTAGAGATACAGATACATGAATTTACCATCCCTTTTGAAACACATGTTCCTGCTAAACTGATTAGATATTCCCAGCATGTAGTTGTTCTATATAACTGATGAAAGGGAACTGAAAACGTATTTGTAATTTATGTTTAGCAGTATTTCCCCTTTCAAGAAAATCAACTCCTGAATTTGTCCTTCAAGTTTTCTACTTGTCTCCATAAGCCTCTGATTTCTTTTGTGAAAAGATGTTGAATAACATCAGTACATGTGTCTCCTAGGGCTTCTCAAAAATTAGAATAAAATAATACAAGCAGAGAAGTTGGCACATTGAGTTATTCATAGAAATACTCAAGTAAGTGGTAGCTGTCCTTATTATCAGTACGTTACCCCCACCCCAGGCTGGGATCCGAAAGTCTCCTGGCGTTTCTTGCTGGTGAGATAGTTAGCTGCCTACATGATAGGACATCCTAGAGGCTAGGAATGCCTTCTTCATTGCTATTACGAGGGTCGTGACAAATGGAACAAAGCTTTATTTTCAGTTAAAATATAATCTCTCCTGGAGAAGAAGGATCCTGAGTAATGTAATCTTTAGAGGAAATGAGTTTATTAGATTGTTGTCGTAGAGTTTTGACTAAAGGGAAGGTAGAGTCTGAATCTAAAATCCACTAAAAGCAAAAGTAGGAGAAAATAAGCCCCAAAAGGAGTGAGCAGGACAGAGAATATGTTCATGAAGGCAGGAACCTTGAGGCTGTTGTCTTCCCTCTGAGTCCCTCCAGCTCAATAAATAGCCCACAGCTCAATAAATAGCTGACAAATGGATGAAAGGAACTGGAGGGCCTAAAAATGAGCTGTGCATTTTCTAACATTGCCAGGACCTGTCCTGGGAGCCAGTTCTCAAAATGGTGTTCTGCCATCACTCTCAGCTGTTGCATGGAAAGTAATCTTGAAAGTTGAGTGGGGCCAGGCGCATTGACTCACACCTATAATCCTTTGGGAGGCAGAGGCAAAAAGATTGCTTGAGCCCTGGAGTTTGAGACCAGCCTGGGCAACATGGTGAGACCCCATTTCTATAAATTTTAAAAATTAACCAGGGCATGTTGGTACACACCTGTAAGTCCCAGCTACACAGAAGGCTGAGGTGGGAGGAGTGCTTGAGCCCAGGATGTCGAGGCTGCAGTGAGCTGTGATTGCACCACTGCACTCCAGCTTGGGTGACAGAGCAAGACCCTGTCTCAAAAAAAAAAAAAAAGAAAAGAAAAGAAAGTTGAGTGGGATACTTAGGCTAGGTAAGACTTTTGCTCTTTGGGGTAAGTGAGCAAAAGAAAATGGATGGCACAGATAATAAATATAATGAGAAGGGATCTGAATGCTGATGGCGACTCCCCCTGACATACTAGGTGGGCTGGTGAATAATGACACCTCTAGTCAACATTTTCTTTGCTAGAAGAAAATAGTGGAAGAAAAAAGGAAAGTTCTTGAGGTAGAGTTCTCACTTGTATCTAGCCTTTTGCAGAGATGCCCAGGCTGACCTGCTTCCTCCCACCGTCATCAATTTATCACCTGGAGGTGACACATGAGAAAAAGAGACTATATGGTGCTTTTAAGAATTAAAGTCAATAGACATGCACTTATTGACCACTCAGCCTCTTATCATTACCTGGACCAACCAGAAGGGACTCTGCATTTCCTTTTCCCTACACAGCACACATCCAATATTGCACTGCATCCTTTGCAACTTATTTTTCCATGCAAGAATTTCTCCTAATTTTTAAACCCAATTTCGTTAATATGAGATGCAAGAAATGAGGCCAACTAGATAGATCTGACCGAAGTACCAAATCCCCAGTGATCCTTCATCATGGTTGCATCCGTCACCCCAGCATGTAAGTAATTCAGCAAGTATTTACTAAGCACAAAGTGAGTTTAGACCAGGATGGGAGCCCACGTTTTGCTAACATCTCTCCAGAATTGGAGTTTAAGGGTAATTTTCCAAGTTGTAGCTCTAGCAGAGGCTTCTATTGCAAGTCTATGAGTATTAATTTATGACTATGGTTATTCTAAGGATGGGATTTTAAGGCATAATCCTAATTTTAAATACTCTGACCTCTTGTCAAGCATGTATTAGCCCTTGTGTCCTACATTTGGGGGTTAGAAAATATGAATATTTACAATACTACAAATGAGAAAAAGGAGATTAAATTGTTTTTTTTTTAAAGGTTGAGATTAGGTTAAGGGCTATAGCAGCCAGTCAGATGGAGCCTTGAAACATTCCATGACTTTGCGTCATGACTAATTCTTACTGACATCCTCTCCAAGAGGCCGGTGTTTGAAATGCTCCAAGATAAGAACAATTCAGTTCTACTAATGAACCAAAGGATTTCTACTCCTTATGAGACTCTTAGGCCAGATTTCTGCACGGCCAGTTTATGTAACTTGGTACTTCAGGACAGACATTCCCTACACAAAAATAACTAAATTGCAGTGTATCTCCTGCTATCCAAAAATCCTTTAGCGTAAACCAGAACAAAACGTGCTGATAAAAGTCAAACAGTGAGTTTCACTTGTGGACTGAGACGAGAGAAAAGCTAAGCTATGGTTATAGGGTTTTTTGTTTTTCTAAGTAATACAAAGCTGTGCAAAAAAGATGTCTTTTTCTTTTTTATCAAAATGACAACTCTGCAAATACAGCAATCTTCTGGACAGCAAATACGTGTCAGTTAGAGAAACAAATGCCATTAATATTATCATGCTTCAGGATGTCATTGCAGATGAATAGCAAAAGGCCATGGAACAATATGAAATTTGAGTTTTTGTTTCTCAACCCAAGTCAAACTTTTATTGTAAGTTATGTGACCTTTGACATTGGAATAAAATACACTTTCTCACTTACTTATTGGGGAAAAAACTATACCATCCAAGCCCAGCCACAGATATTAAATATTAGTATGTTTATTTCTGGGGGTTTTTTTCCCCTGTGAATAGGTTTAAGCTAAGGAGACATTTTCTTATATGGTTATAGGAATAGTTGATATAAAATTTTAATATCTAGATTTTTAAAATGTGGCCGGGCATGGTGGCTCACGCCTGTAGTCCCAGCACTTTGGGAGGCCGAGGCAGGTGGATCACCTGAGGTCAGGAGTTTGAGACCAGCCTGGTCAACATGGTGAAACCCTGTCTCTACTAGAAATACAAAAAATTAGCCAGATGTGGTGGCACACGCCTGTGGTCCCAGCTACTGGGGAGGCTGAGGCAGGAGAATCACTTGAACCCAAGAGGTGGAGGTTGCAGTGAGCCAAGATCGCACCACTGCACTCCAGCCTGGGCAACAGAGTAAGACTCCGTCTCACAAATAATAATAATAATAATTTTTCCATGCTATCATCAAATAGCTAAGTTTTGTTTCTCTGAGTTTAGACTTGAATCTTAGGCTTAAAGGGCACGTTAGTTGTTGTTTAGATCAACTCCCAGCACCTGAATAAATGCCTTCCATGCAATCCTGAACACAATCTATTTTTCTCTATTTTTCTGTACAAAAATAGACAAAATGGTCCATTTTTTAGTACGAAGTGTTGCTCTTGACTAAGAGTATGTTAATGAAGCTCTTTGTCCTTTTTCAAAGCTTACATTCTCAAACCATAACCCTCATATTTGCTTAATGTTAGTGGAACAACTCAAAGGTATACTGTGCCTGTCACAATACAAGAAAGATGCTTTCAGAAACAAAAATGGTTCTTATCTAAATAAGAAGAAAGCTGTCTCCATTTCCATAAAAAGGATTGCATCCTTGCCAGAGAAGATAATAGAGTTTACATACACAGTCAAGAAGAGTGTGGGATAAAGTCATTTTTATTTTCACAAATAAAAAGTGTTTTGGTAACTGGAAGGCAGCCCATATAAAACAAGCTTTCATAGTCACCATTTCCTCAAGCTCTTCCCAGTGAGAGATGGGAAACACTTGAAACTGCTCACTGGAGAAAAAAGGATGATGAGGGTGACTTTACTGTTTATTTGAGGGGTGAGTATGAGGAGGAAGTGATTCTAAACTTCAAACGTGATGAAATATAATTTCTTCATCATGCCTTGATCAAATATAAGATCACTTCATAGAGTTTGTTTCTCTTATATGCCCACCATTTTTTCATATATATATGATTTGATTTTATATACACATATGTATACATATTATATATAAATATATATGTGTATACATATATGTGTGTATATCTATGAATCAAACATACTGTTTCTGTTGGAGATGGTTCAGAATTATAAAGATTATCTGAATCTTTATCTGTGAGCAGTCTCCAAGTAAGAAGTTGAAAGGTGAAGCCTTTGACTGCTGTCATGTCTGAGGTCATTCCAAGGACATGGGAGACTGCTGTCCATGGTTGGATCCTCTTAACATCAGCAGAGTTCTGTCAAGTTACTTAGCTTTCACTGGGGCAGCTCTAGCATTCCATTAATTCAAAATGTTGTTCCTTAATATAAGCCTCTAACATTTAAAATAAAAATTTTAAATGTATCCATTAAGGGAATAATTACATATTGAATTCCTAAGAAATAAGAATTATTTGGGTGGTTTTTTCTAGATAGAATAAACACAAGAGCTGGACTATATTAACTGTTGTATACACTTTTTTAACTGGCATTTTCAGTTACTTGTGATTTTTCCAGGAAAAATAAAAATGAATTAAAGTGGAACAGCGGACTTCTAATTGGTTTTGTCTTTTGATTACATTTGACCATCAACAATGATGTAAGCCTTGGATAGAATGTTGCCCCTCAGTGCCCCACTTAAATTTCTTGGTAAACCTTTGGTGTATACACTTCATTGTGCTTTTTGGAATGACTCTAAAAGCCCATAAACTAATGCTTTGCAAAGCCTAAATAAAAATGTTTGCAGCCTGTATTAGAAACACTTCCTTTTATGATCTGAATGTAAAATAGAGGTTGTTGGTTTTTTTTTTTAACAAATTACACATTTGTGATCTTTGCAATATATGTGTAACCAAAACCGAAAATTGCAAAGAAATTGCTTGGAGCTGATTAACTTACATGCTGCTATTTAGAAATTCTACTAGAGATTATTAATGCACAAATATTTTCAGAGAAGTTGCCTTATTTACAGGACAACACTACCTATATTTAATTATCATCTTAAGGCTAAGAAGAAATAAGGGCAGAGGTATTTTCCATAAAGCCATTATATTATGTTAGTTTTTATTAATTCAATTCTATTTACAAAGACTTTAAGGCAGGCCTTACTTTCTTTAAAAAAAAAAAAAAAAAAAAAAAAAAAAAGCTAAGCTCCACAAAACTTAAGTGATTCAGTACTGCCTGATTCTTTAATTAGCCTGAGAGACTTGTAATCCACCAAAACTTAACTAGGCAGTTAGGCAATTAGTGTGCTGTCTTCTCTCATATCAAAAAGGCTTGAATCATGGCCATTGTCATTACTTACAATTATTTCTAGTTTTTCATGCCATAATAATGGCTAATTATACTGGTTAATCACAAAACTCAGCCAATCCAAATTCACTAATAAATCAGCTAAAACAATTAGATTGCACCATTTATAAATGTTTAGCTACACACATTTTCACAGGATCTAGGATTAGGCATTTTTCTAAAGCTACATTTGATGGTTTGGGTCATTCTACCTAAGAGCAGCTACAATAATGTTAATCAACTCCTTGGCTGTGAGCCATTATTATGAAGGAAAAAAGTTAAGTGAACAAGGTATCAGCGAACTCAATCACACTACAAAATCATAGACTAAATGGAATTCAACTCAGACCTTCTTTTTGGGTTCAGGAGGCTGTTAACATATGCTGTCCAAGGTTGGTGAGAGAAATGCTGTTCTTTACCCCATCACAGATTCTCAGATCCCCTGAGATTTGGGGTGGGTGGAGTCAAAGGCTCCTAGGCTAGGATTTGAAGCTGTACCCCATTGCCCTGGCATAATTTTTGTTTTTTTAAGTGAGCTTTGCCAATAGGCCTAGATAGTAGAAGAAGGAGTATACTCAGAAGAACTGAAAGAAAGCGTTTTGTAGCTGGGGTCCCTACAGGAAGTTGTTCATATTCTCAGGCACAAGAATCTTCTATGAAAAACTCTGGTCTTACACCTAGGGAAGAGAGACACTCTCTTTTCTTTCCTCCTCCTTTTTCTTCTTTTTGTTTTTGACAGTCTGTTTTCTAACAGAAAAGCATAACCCACAACTTATCTGAAATGAAAAGGAGAAAACTAAATATTACAGGATCTTTTAATGTTTTAAAGACGATAATCTCTTTCCAGTATTATTTCAAATAATTATATATGTTTGTACGATTTCAAATCTGGAACACTGGTGCCACATTCACGAAAGTAAATGAAGTTGATGTGAATGTGTAAGGGAAAATACTGTTAGAAAGATTTATCTTACTAATTCTGCCAAATAGAAAGATTTGGGACTGGGCGCGGTGGCTCATGCCTATAATCCCAGCACTCTGGGAGGCCGAGGCAAGTGGATCACCTGAGGTCAGGAGTTCGAGACCAGCCTGGCCAACGTGGTGAAACCCTGTCTCTACTAAAAATACAAAAATTATCTGGGTGTGGTGGCACACACCTGTAATCCCAGCTACTTGGGAGACTGAGGCAGGAGAATCACCTGAACCGGGGAGGCGGAGGTTTGAGTGAGCCGAGATTGCGCCATTGCATTCTAGCCTGGGCAACAAGAGTGAAACTCTGTCTCATAAATAAATAAATATTAAAAAAAAAGATTTGGAAAGAGAATCAGCTGACCTGTAATTGAGCATTCCCTTTTGGTTTTCTTCTGTTGCTTAGAAGAAAAAAGTTTTAAAGGCTTTACAAAATTATAAATCTGTACAAAAACTGGAAAACATGATTCCCACGTTAAAAAAAAAAATTATAGGATTTTAGATCATTCAGACATGTTTCAAACTCAGGGTTGAGGACTCTGCTGTTTGGTCCTTTTCCCAAGGAATAAAGTGAAAATCCTCCTGTGAACCATACACATTTTCTCTCTCTGAATTACTGACTTTAATCTTTTGGGGACTAGAGTAAACATGAAGAGGTCTTCAAACACACAACATGAAATCATTACAATAAAGGGAGGGGTTGTATATGTTATTCCCGCTTTCATAAAAAGAGTCTCTCACTTGTGTTTTCTAAAATTAAGATTATAGCTTAATCCAAGTTAAGAACTTTTTGTTAAAAGGTGTTTTCAAAAACGAGTTTTCACCTGGCTTAGTTTAAATGATTCAGTGTAGCTAATTATTCGTAAATGCTCATTCTCCTTGTTTTGTTCCCTCATGTCTCAAAATGGGGGAAAGTTTATCAATGTATCAATAGAAGAGAAACCATATGTAAATTCTACTTGAGAAAACGTTAAGTATATTTTTCAAGCCAAAAATCCCATTTCTGACACAAAATGTCTGTATTCAAATGAGTCATTAGAATTTCTTAAAGCTATAGATGAAGAAGTCAGGGGCAGATAAGAGGTGCAATGTTTAAATTATTTTATAATATGTTAAATAAGGTCAGTTCCTTTTCACCTTAACATTTGATCGGTGAATATAGCACATGTAAAGCTCAGAGAAAACCATGGAAAAGTTTATGGCTAACTCCTCCTCTAATCTTTCCGTCAATCTCGTCGTGGGTAAAGATGCCTTTATTAACAGTAGTGATGCTGTTGGTTTCGCTCACTAATGGCTTTCTTGTGCGCTGTGTGGCTGTGTATTTTGTCTGCCATTGTACAGGAATTCAAACCCATTGGTACCGCGCACAACAGAAGGGCCCAGCCTTTTGTTGCAGCTGCAAACATTGATGACAAAAGACAGGTAGTGAGCGCTTCCTATAACTCGCCAATTGGGCTCTATTCAACTAGCAATATACAAGATGCGCTTCACGGACAGCTGCGGGGTCTCATTCCTAGCTCACCTCAAAAGTAAGTATCCGGCTCTGTTCTGGCCACAGTGTACCTAACAGTGATAGCATGGTTTCTTTTCTTTTCAAAAGTCCAGCTCTTGCTGTTTTATTTTTACTTTCCTGAAGGCACTATCAGATTTCTCTTTTAAAGACAAGCATCTAAAACATGTTCTAATTGTTGTGGGGTCCAATCCGCCAGTGCCTGACCGTTTAGCGGATAGATGGTTGGAAAGAAGACATCGTCCTGGTCCCGTCATCGCCTTTCTTAGTTATGACAGTAGTTGGTGGTAAATGATCCTCCCTGTACAACTATCGTTCGTTTAATCTTATCTGCAACAGTGTCCGCCTTCCACTGAGGGCCTTTTTAACGCTTTGTTTTCACAGGACGGGAACTACTTTGAACACAAGCATAATATTCGGCCCAAACCTTTCGTGATCCCGGGCCGAAGCAGGTCATAAGCGCTGAGACTGTGGAGTTTGCAGTGCATGCTTCTTAAATCAGTTCTTACTAATCATCAAGAAAAGTAACTGGTAGATGTTTGGAGTGGCTTTTCTCATTGCGAAGCTTATTTCAAAAGCAAAAAGAAACAAACTCACTTGGCAGAGAACAGAAGCCAAATAACTTGCATTTCCAAGAGTAAATATTGACAAGATGACAGAGCTGTGAAATTGTATGCAATCACCACGTGTATTTATAGCGAACACCCCTGAGGCTCTGGGGATCCCATCCAGAACACTGTGACCTTTGAGTCGGGCAGTCAGTATGTCTATCCCAGGTCAGGAAAGCCCTGCCAGCAGGAGCGAGCATGGAAACCAGCCCCGGTTAGGAGGAAGGAATCAGGTGAACAAGCCAGAATGATAAGGAGCAAGCTCTTCCTTCTCGTCTCTCAGTAGAGAAACTGATCATCTTCAGATCATCCTTTTCAAATATCTTCTCTAGAAATTGAACTCCAACCTAAGGGGAAAGAAAATAATGCCCTGTATTGCCAAATCAGGAAACAGTGACTTCAGGAAACCTCTGTTCCATCCTTCTGACCTCAGCTAAGCCAGTCAGCCCACAGGAAGGAAGCTGGTGGTTAGACCGGATTGATTCCGACAGGAACATTGAATATGATTTACCGCAGCTGTTGCAAACTGATGGCCCATAGGTGGATTTATTTCACAGGCATGTTTTATTTAATTCTTTTGTTTAAAAAAAAAAAAAGAATTTAAGTGCCTTTAGACAGAACATTTAAACTCACCATCTTGTCAAAATGCACATCACTCTTAAGTGTGTGAGACACGGCCCATTTTCATACATGTGTGACCTCCTGGCCCCTCTAGACACCCGAGCTTATGACTCCTGTCATAAGCTGCGGATAGCAGGTCATCCCTTATGTATGATTTCCATGTCCAGACCTTTCAGGAAGCTACAGGCAGAGCCAGGTGATTGTCTCAAAATATGCCAGACAATTCTTGTGATATCAGATCCAGAAAGGAGCCCTGGACCAGAGGAGCAGGAGAAAGGCGTTAAGAAGGCAACCATGAGCAAACACATCTTCCCCCCCCTAGAACGTGAGCTCAGTGTCTGCAGGGGCCTGGTCTGACTGGCTCAACATTATACCCCCAGCACCTAGAAATGAGACAGAATAAATGCTCAATAAGCGACCATCTACAAACAGACAAAATAAATGCCCAATAAATGCTCACTGGATAAAGGAATCAAATCCTGAGGGTGCACAACATTTCCCAAGCAAGTGGCAAGAAGAGTCCAGAGCCGTCTCGCTCCCGATGCTGGCAGCTCTGTGTCCTCTCCTGCTTCTCTCTATGTGTTCCCTCGTTCATACTCTGTTCTCATCTGCATCTTTTCCGTTTCTCCACTTTCAACAGCTTCCCCACCCCAACCCAACCCCAATAACAAAACACTGGATTTAAAGTTAAAAGGATATGATATTTTACTGTTGAATATATACAACTTCCCAAAGAAGCATAGTAAAATTAATCACTTGCATTCTTTTCAGGTTAGTGTGACTGAGTCCACCCACACAAGCTCTGGGGCTTCAGAAGGCTTGAATAAAGTGATACGTTAGAGTAACACATATCCTGCCTTTACTAAAAACCTATAACATTTAATTTTATAAAAAGTCAGGAAAGTCAGAGAATCCTAGGTATATAATCACCTTTTAAAAAAATTTTTCATTTTAACTTAAACATAGGGATAATGGCAAGCCACTCATAATGTTGTCATTTGAAGATCACACCTTTTAATGTAGCTGAATTTGGAAGAGAGAAGGAGAGAAACAGAAATGAGAAGGTTTGCTTAAAAAACAGATGCCAGTGCACAAATCTTAAAGAATTATAAGGCCTGGTGCGATGGCTCACACCTGTAATCCCAGCACTTTGGGAGACAGAGGTGGGCGAATCACAAGGTCAGGAGTTCGAGACCATCCTGGCCAACATGGTGTAACCCCATGTCTACCAAAAATACAAAAAATTAGCTGGGCATGGTGGCGGGCACCTGTAATCCCAGCTACTGGGGAGGCTGAGGCAGGAGAATCGCCTGAGCCTGGGAGGCGGAGGTTGTAGTGAGCTGAGATCATGCCACTGCAACAAGCGTGAGACTCCATCTCAAAAAAAAAAAAAAAAAAAGAATTATAAGAGTGCCCCCAACATCCTCCTTCTCTTCCTGTCCCTCCTCACTATTTGCTATAACTTCTGAATTTTTTGTTCCCACCAAACTATTCTTCATCAAGGTGGAATTGTGAGTGGCTGCATACCAGCCTACAACTAGATTTGTTTTTAACTTTTAAAACAAATGTAGTTTTTTTCGGGTGCATTCTACTTGTACATGTTTATGGGGTACGTGTGCTGTTTTGATATATGCATACAATATGTAATGATCAAATCAGGGTAATTGGGGGTATCCATCACCTCGAGCAGTAACTTTCTTTGTGCTTTGGAACATTCCACATCCACTCCTCTAGTTATTTTGAAATATACAAATAATTGTTGTTAACTATAGTCACCCTGTAACTACACTGTTAATGAACTTCTTTAATCAAAAGTAAGTTGGACATGCTAGTGCTGGACATGGCGGCTCACACTTGTAGTCCCAGAACTTTGGGAGGCCCAGGTGAGCAGATCACCTGAGATCAGGAGTTTGAGACCAGCCTGGCCAACGTGATGAAACCCCATCTCTACTAAAAATAGAAAAATTAGCTGGGCATGGTGGCACATGCCTGTAATTGCAGCTATTCAGGAGGCTGAGGCATGAGAATCACTTGAAGCTGGAGGCAGAGGTTGCGGTGAGCCAAGATTGCACCACTGCACTCCAGATGGGTAACAGAGTGAGACTGTCTCAAAAAAAAAAAAAAGTAGTAAGTTGGACATGCTAAATTGTTAACAGCTCAATTTCCCTGGGGTTTTACCATTAGCTATAGTTCTTTTGATTATTTCATCATAACTGAAGCCTTTTAAAAGACTGGTGTTTTCATATACAAATATGTAAAATTTTTAAGGGTAAAGCTACAATTAAATACATATGTAAGGTATTTTAGATCCAAATGATAAAATGCAATCCTATGAGTGGTTTTTGGACAAGTTGCTTCCGGAAGTATGCCCCAAAATGTCTGTACACACCCCAGAGAAATTAGCAATCTGTCAAATGACGTATCTGGGCATGAAGTAATTGAGTGTGTTATCAACCTTACAAGTGGCCTTGCCAAGTCACTAAGTCAACCCCAGAAAATCTCATTAGCACCTGCCTTTCCAGGTCATCAGGAACAGGTCGTGGTGACCCACGGTGCTATCCCCAGTGATATCCACAGTGACTGGAATCCATGAAAACTCGTTTACTTAAAGGATCAGTTTAAAAGATCTTTTTAAATTGGCCCAGAAATTTATAAAAGTTCATTCTTGTTTGCTTAGGGTTCATTACTCATTTATTTAATAGACATGGGCCTGATTGATAAAGGAACTGGGAATGCATGTTTAACTAAAATTACATAGTACACACATATGCATATACTGTTGACCCTGAGAACACGGGTTTGAACTGTGCAAGTTCACTTATATGTGGATTTTTTTTCCAATAAATATGTTGGAAAAATTTTTGGAGATTTGCGACAATTTGAAAAAAGTCACTAATGGTAGCCTTGAAATATCAAAAAAATTAAGAAAAAGATTTGCCATGAATGTATACAATACACATAGGTAGTAGTCTATTTGTGTGCTAATAGACTGTTTATCTGTAAAACTTCGGTTCAACAGTAGGCTATTGGTAGTTAAGTTTTGGAGGAGTCAAAAGTTATACATGGCTTTTATAGCAGAAAAATATTACTAATAACCGCTATAAAACATGGCATAAGTAAAAGTTCTAAATTGATCATTGTTTATCTACCCAGTACGGGCACTATGTCTGGCACACAGTAGGGTGAGAGTAGTTATAAATGCTTGTTGAGTAGGTTCATTACTGGGAGGCCGAAGTCTCCCAGGATTTAACTCTGTGTTTCAAATCCCTAAACTGATTTCATAAGCTTCATTACACTCAGGTTAAATCCACATGATCCTGACTAAACTGCACTACAACTGAAAATGTACTCATATTCTTTTACCAGCTGAAGTCCATTTCAAGAGTCACTATAGATCGTACAAAAATGGTGAATAGGCCACTTGATATTTTGGTATGTGATCTAAACAATGTACAGATTGGGTTTTCAATAGGTTCTCAAAAGGCAGGAAGTGAAGGAGCAAGCTGGTATTCACCTGTCTGGTTTAGGTTATGTAGGTAGTTAAACTGGATAGCACAAGACAAAAAAAAAAAAATTTAAACCCATTTAGTGACATGAGTTCTCCAGACTAATCCGGCTGCAACATTGCTGGAGTAGAGAAAGTTACTGCTCAATACCTTTTGGTTTCTTATCTTTATATGGGCTGAAGTTAGCATTAATACCTCTAGAGAGTAAATGCAGATATGGGGCCATACTTGAGACCAGAGACAATCTTGACTTAGCGGTAAACACACCATATACATCCATTCTCTGTCTTGAGCTTACAGCAACACTAACTGGAAAGTATGATAAATATTTACATTAATACTAATATTTCTTTTTGCTTTGTCTTAAATGACTATGCTTTTTTTACAAAAATCTCTTGGTATCTCTCATGCATGTGGAAAAATGGACTTTTTAGTCACTAGCATGTCAGTTGTTAACTGACCCCTATCCAGTTTCCAAATAGAATGTACAATCTCCCTAGTTCTTCGATGTGCATGACTGGCCTTTGATGTTTTAATAAGTCCCTGAAATGTATCTTTAAAAGGAAAAGGGAAATATGCCTGGGAATAGATGCGTGCTTCTGAAATTGTGCATAAAATAGCTATGTAAGAAATATAAGCATCGAAAGAGTGAAACACCACCTTATTTCTCCTCTAATCATTAATTTCAAGGTGATAAGCATTTATTGGTTTTTTCTAGGGCTTGTATTAAACCACTGAACAATTGTCTTAAAGTATACTCCTCACAGAACTAAAGAGTAAAAATAGAAAATGTTAAAATAGTAACAAAATATTTACAAGATAGCCTTAAAACATAATCTGTACCATAAAACCTACAAGTTACCAATTACTATTCAATTAAAGTTCAACCGTATTACTGAAATATACTTCTGATTTTGAAATGTTGAGCCCAAATATGTGATTGCATCTTCATGCTGCATATTCAGTGTTCACTAAAACTTTAATTTTAAATGTTGCACTTCAGAAATGTAAAAGGATGTCCAGCCAATGTAATTTTCCTTCATCACTTGTGATATTGACCAGTTTTAAAGTCTTTGGCCTATTTTTAAAAAGTGAGGATAGCTGCATCTTTTCTACTTCATATACAACTTTTCTACATGTAACCCTCAAATTACACATTGCCTAGTGAAACAGAGCCAAAAAATGCAGTATCACCTGTACCTTTTAATTTTATTAAACTTTTTTCAATCATGAATTTTTCACCGTCTTCCCTTTATAAATAAATTCTAGTGACAAATCAAGATTTGGTTTTATTTTGATGTAATTCACCTCTCACTTTTGTCTTCAATTCCTTTTAACCTCTCTGTACGTGTTCTCTGTGTTCTTCTGTCTGGACTGTCTGGCTCCCGGTGCCATCTCTGTGTAACGTGTATCCATTAACACAGTGGATGCAGCACTCCCTCCGGGATTGACTGTGGCAGTGGACGCAGCACCCCTTCTTCTGTCAGTACTGTTAGTACCATTTGCCCAGGTGACTTGAAAGTTGCGGCTAAGCTGGCCCCTAACATTCCTTTGGAAATGGAACTTCCTGGTGTGAAGATTGTACATGCTCAGTTTAATACACCTATGCAGTTGTACTCAGATGACAATATTATGGAAACACTCCAGGGTCAGGTTTCAACAGCCCTAGGGGAAACACCTTTGATGAGGTAATATGAGTCTCTTTGAACCATGGGCATATTAACTAAACACGTGGGCAATGTCAGCTTTACTGGTGTCTTTTAACATTGTCTTAATGGAAAGAAAGCTATGTGAAAAGCTTTTTTAAAATACTAAGGATTTACTGCAAATATCTAGGCTTGGAAAGAAAGCTATGTGAAAAGCTTTTTTAAAATACTAAGGATTTATTGCAAATATCTAGGCTTGGTGATAAAGGTGATTTGAGGAATTATCTGTAGAGCTTTATGTGTCAGATAGCAATAAAATGAAATCAGGTAAGGACCAAATGTATATGTCTCTCGAAAGCTACAATGTACTTTACAAATATCTGGTGTAATACTTCTCAAAGTTATTTATAATCTAGTATACCCTATGTCTGTCCTTTGGGGATCAAAAATTAGGAAGGAGGTGGGAGGTTTAGAGGAATTTTATGAGATGATTCTTCTCTCTTCTGATAGCAGCTTGTGGAGAGGTCATTATTTACTCATTTACAATGTTTATTGTGCATAAAGGTTTTTAGGTGAATACCCTCAGGCTGTTAATGTAGATATTTAATTTTTGCTGGTCTCTTTTTGACTAATTTTTTCTTTGTTATAACTATTTGTTCACAGTACTTTTGCCATAAAGATTTTGATTAAAAAGATTTATTATAGGATAAAATCTTACTGCTTCTTTCACTATTACAGAATCACTATTTATAAATTAAATTATTATAATGCTTCAGAGTGTTAAATAGTGATATCCCAAAGCTATCTCTTGGGATGAACACATTGAACTAATAGTAGTGTAAGATATCTCAAAGCCATTTGCAAATATGACATAGGGAATAAAAATATTACAGATAGTATGTTTTCTAGATAATGCAATAAAATGATATAAAATAATAAAGTAGTGCTTAACATATAGTATTATGAAATTCTTTATTGTCTATTATGAATATATTTGTAGAAAGCATGTTAAAGCTGCTGTCATTATTGTAAATGAATTTTAACATGGCTATTTTTAAAAGACAGTGCAGTCAGTTATAGCAGATATAAAAATGTAAGTTTCTACATTACAGGCTTTCAAACCCTGAGAGGTTAAATTTCTAGAATTTACAAGTAAAATGATACCCTTGTTATTTCCAGGGGTTAACAAATTAGCCTTAAAACTAAAAACATATTAAACCATATACTTTTTGTTTAATATCAAAAGTGAATGTGAATTTTACCGACAATTTGATGACTGAGAATAATCTGAGTGCTCACTGCTGCACTTTCTGTCATGTGTATATTGCCTTTTCTCTGGGAAAAGTTAATTTTGTTCACATCTATCATTATGTATCCATCAGACTCAAGTCTTGTTCTTCTTAATTACTATTTCCTGACAATTATCTTTTAGTTTCCTTCCAAAGTATTTTGCCAAGTGGAGGAGTGTGGGTGTGACTCCCCGATTTGTTGTTCAATGACATTTCCAAGGCAGCCATTTGAATTCACATTATGCTTTTAACTATACTAGAGATTCACTTGAAAATACTAGACCTCTGTTCAGGAGTGGCTGTGCATAGAGTAATGGCTGAGTATTGATGTCTCTGGCCTCTTGCACGTCTGGTGCCTCCCAGCACCTGACGATGCTCCCCGCCGTGCCTGTGTTTCAGCGAGCCCACAGCCTCGGTGCCCCCCGAGTCGGACGTGTACCGGATGCTCCACGACAATCGGAATGAGCCCACACAGCCTCGCCAGTCGGGCTCCTTCAGAGTGCTCCAGGGAATGGTGGACGATGGCTCTGGTGAGCAGCCGCTGACACCTGCTGAAACGTATTGATAGAGGCCACTGCAGGGGGCGGGACGGGGACGACAGCAAACATACTGGGAATGAAAGTCTAAAACTTGGTTTTCATTGGGAGCCAAATGAATTTTTGCTCAGAAGGATAGGATATGGATGGTGCCTCGTTTAAAAAAGGAGATTCCAGGACATGTCCAAGTAGCCACCAAGTGAAGTCACAAAAGGACACCAAAGACAAATTGCATTAATGGTAGTCAAGGGCTAGCTCAGCTTACAAATCATGAGATATCATTTTAAATGAATGTTGTCAAACTTCTCAGCCTCCCCCCCACACTCTGGAGTATCACCATCATCAAAAACTAAACAATGCTCTAAAAACCCTTACTGTGTTCCATGTTCTGTGCAAAGTATTTTGCATACAGTATCATGTAATCCTCACAGGAACTTGGGGAGGTGAGCCTATTATTTGCCCTACTTAGCAAATGAGACGCTGAGAGATGGGCGGGTGGCCTTGTGAAAGGCCACATAGCCAGTGAGCCACAGACCTGGGTCTCCAGCCCACTCCCGTCATCTTCAGGGCTCCTGCCCTGACCTAGGCTTCTCCATGCCCAAAAGATATAGACTGTCCTTTAAAAGCCACACAAAAATGCAAAATGTCCCATTAGGGTGGCTATTGTGGCAGACATGGAGAATAACAAGTATTGGTGAGGATATGGAGAAATGGGAACCCTGTGCATTACTGATGGGAAGGTAACATAGAGCAACCCTGGGAGAGGATGGCAGCTCCTGGAAAAGTTAAACACAGAATTACCATGTGATCCAGCAACTCCACTCCTAGGAATATACCCCAAAACACTTGAAAGCAGGGACTCAAACAGATTCTTTATTTTTTTTTTTTTCTTTTTTGAGATGGAGTCTTGCTCTGTTGCCCAGGCTAGAGTGAGTGGCACAATCTTGGCTCACTGCAACCTCTGCCTCCCGGGTTCAAGTGATTCTTCTGCCTCAGCCTCCCAAGTAGATGGGATTACAGGCACCCACCACCGCGCCCGGCTAATTTTTGTATTTTTGGTAGAGACGGGGTTTTACCTCTTGGCCAGGCTGGTCTCGAACTCCTGACCTCGTGGTCCACCCGCCTCGGCCTCCCAGAGTGCTGGGATTACAGGCGTGAGCCACCACGCCCAGCCTGTATGCCAGCATTTATCTTATTCACAATAGCCCAAAGAGGGAAAACACCCAATGTCCATTGACTGATGAATGGATAAGCAAAATGTAGTATACACATACAATGAAATAGTATTCAGTCTTCAAAGAAATTAAATTCTGACACACGGCGCACCATGAATGAACTTTGCAAACATTATGTGAAGTGAAAGAAGCCAGACACAAAGAGGCAAATATTGTATGATTCCATTTATTTGAGAGATCCAGAATAGGCAAATCCAAGAGACAGAAAGTAGAATGAAAGTTACCAGGGGCTATGAGCAGGAGCACGGGGAGTTACTGTTTCATGGGTGGGGAGTTACTGTTTCATGGGTACAGAGGTTCTGTGAGGTGAAGAAATAGTTCTGGAGGTGGATATTGGCAGTGCTTGCACAACATTTTGGATGTACCTAATGTCATTGAATTGCACCCCTAACCATGGTGAAAATGGTAAATTTTATGTATATTTTGCTACAATAAAAAATAATAATGCCCTCTGCTCCTTTGAGCGTTTTTGTAACAGTTTCCTCCAACCACAACAAAATAAATGTTTTCACTAATTCCATTCTATAATGCCCTATTTCAGAACAGCGTCCCTTATGATTGCATCAGTCCTGCCCCTCTCGGAATGACGGTGCAGATGCAACTTCAGGTTAAAGTGCACACTTTAAAATAGAAGCCAAGCACAGGCTGCGGCCAGCTGTTCCCTAGCCATAAATGGAAACGCTTTGTTTTTCAGATGACCGTCCGGCTGGAACGCGGAGTGTGAGAGCTCCGGTGACGAAAGTCCATGGCGGTTCAGGCGGGGCACAGAGGATGCCGCTCTGTGACAAATGTGGGAGTGGCATAGTGTAAGTTTCACTTTTAACCCTGGAATTTACGATACAGCTTGGCGACAGTTCATTTCTTCTCCTTTAAGACTTTATAGACTAAAGGCAACTGTGAAAACCAAATTTCTATTCATCAACTTGAAACGTAAGGTCCCCAACATTTAGCACATTGTGACTGTCACTCCTTAGATATACCTCCAAATTGTCACATCACATGAGTCAGCAATTTTGACTTACAATTTCAGATAGATTCTCATGAAAAAAAAAAGATGCCCAAATGTATGTTGAAAAGTCACGTCTAAGAATCAAGACTTCACTTTAAACTCCCCCACCCCTGTTAACGTATAGTGTTTAGTAAATGCATACATGAACTGTGTATACATTTAGTATACATAGTATCCTCCTCTGTATAAACACAGGGAAACAAATACAGGCAACAGGATGTTACTTAAAATACATTATCCTTACCCAGTGTAAGTTACACAAATGTTGAAACAAAATATTGAAAAACTGTCAGCTTCCATTACAAGGGAACTTTTATTTATTCAGAGATAGAGCCCTGCTCTGTCACCCAGACTGGAGTGCAGTGGCGCAATCTTGGCTCACTGCAAGCTCCACCTCCCAGGTTCAAGCGATTCTCCTGCCTCAGCCTCCCCAGTAGCTGAGATTACAGGGACCCACCACCACACCTGGCTAATTTTTGTATTTTTGGTAGAGAGGGGGTTTCACCGTGTTGGCCAGGCAGGTCTCAAACTCCTGACCTCAGGTGATCCACCCGCCTCGGCCTCCCAAAGTGCTGGGATTACAAGTGTGAGCCACCGTGCCCGGCAGGGACCTTATGTTTAAATAGCCACACTTGCTAGTGCAGGATCAAGTCAACCAAGATAATTCTAACATCTCCATGGCATTCGTGCCATGTGGCCACGTCCCCATTCCCTTATTCCATTCCTCCTGCCATGAACTCACACACTGATGTGTCCTCTGTCCGGTTAGCCAGGATACATCCCAAGAAGGCAGTGGGGGATAAGCCTGGTTAGGGCAAAAGGAGGAACGTGAGACCAAAAGGTCAAAGCAGGGCAGGGAGCTCGGAGCAGAGAGGCCCTCAGTAAAATACAACAGTGCCTGACGTTACCAGAAGCAATCATTGTGCCTAAGTTGGAATAAACTGTTCACAGTAGAAGCCAATCCACCCACCCCAAAGGAATTCCATCTCTGCTGTTTGATCTGGTTTTTTGTTTTGTTTTGTTTTTGTTGTTATTGTTGTTGTTGTTTTTGAGACAGTCTCGCTCTGTCGCCCAGGCTGGAGTGCAGTGGCGCGATCTCGGCTCACTGCAACCTCCGCCTCCCGGGTTCACACCATTCTCCTGCCTCAGCCTCCCGAGTAGCTGGGACTACAGGTGCCCACGCCCGGCTAATTTTTTTGTATTTTTTTAGTAGAGATGGGGTTTCACCGTGTTAGCCAGGATGGTCTCGATCTCCTGACCTTGTGATCTGCCCGCCTTGGCCTCTCAAAGTGCTGGGATTTCAGGCGTGAGCCACCACGCCCGGTCGTCTTTGATCTGTTTTCTCTTGCTCCATTGAATAGAGGCTGGACCACGCAGACGGAAAGCAATCAGAGAGACTCTTCATTGGGTAGACAACCACCCCCGTCAAAAGCAGAATCTTTTGCAGAGGGGTTGGTCTTGTCTCCATCATGTCTCCCTCTTCAAAGAAACGATGGGGAAAGATCATGAAGTAGGATCCTACAAATTTTCTATAAAGTACTTGTTTGAAAATCTGAAAAATAGTCACACGTCAACATCAGAGAGAAACACGGGATGGTTTATTGTGGATATCCTAGATCTCCATGACAATTACATACAGTTTCACGGCTGTGCCTGCTTTCACAGCTGGAGGCCATTGTTTCCTGACTGTGAAATAGAGAACATCTGCCTTCTCTGTTGGGTTCTCTCCTTTGTCTCATATTTTTGCTCTGTGGTTTTTTAACTTGAGCTCGTTTTCTTCCCCAACAGCGGTGCTGTGGTGAAGGCGCGGGATAAGTACCGGCACCCTGAGTGCTTCGTGTGTGCCGACTGCAACCTCAACCTCAAGCAAAAGGGCTACTTCTTCATAGAAGGGGAGCTGTACTGCGAAACCCACGCAAGAGCCCGCACAAAGCCCCCAGAGGGCTATGACACGGTCACTCTGTATCCCAAAGCTTAAGTCTCTGCAGGCGTGGCACGCACGCACGCACCCACCCACGCGCACTTACACGAGAAGACATTCATGGCTTTGGGCAGAAGGATTGTGCAGATTGTCAACTCCAAATCTAAAGTCAAGGCTTTAGACCTTTATCCTATTGTTTATTGAGGAAAAGGAATGGGAGGCAAATGCCTGCTATGTGAAAAAAACATACACTTAGCTATGTTTTGCAACTCTTTTTGGGGCTAGCAATAATGATATTTAAAGCAATAATTTTTTGTATGTCATACTCCACAATTTACATGTATATTACAGCCATCAAACACATAAACATCAAGATATTTGAAGGACTCTAATTGTCTTTCCTTGACAAGTTGATTTTGCAATTGTGGTAAATAGCAAATAACAATCTTGTATTCTAACATAATCTGCAGTTGTCTGTATGTGTTTTAACTATTACAGTGCATGTTAGGGAGAAATTCCCTGAATTTCTTTAGTTTTGTATTCAAACAATTATGCCACTCGATGCAACAAACATAATAAATACATAAAAGATTTAAAAAATACCTAATGAAGTGGCATTCATTGAATTCAAATAAAATCAACATTTCAATGAGAGAACCCAATCATATTTTAACATGTACACTAACAAATATTTTAAGATAAATGTGGCTTCTTCAGGTTTTATAACTCATTACTCTTTCTTATGAGCACAAAATTTCTGATGATAGAAGCGTTGAAATTTGCTAGTTAAAGGTAGTTCAGTCTCTTTCAAATTAAAAGTTTCACTTGCTTCAACAGAGACTCTTTCAATTTAAATATCTCTTTCAGATCAATATTCAGTCAAATTGAAGGTTCAAAGTCCATCACTGCTGTTTCTTAGGCTCAATGGTTCACCACCTCCTCCTCTTCCCAAGATGGCATCTCCAGGAAGAAACAATTTAGACGACTTCCTAAGGAAGGCAGGGGCTGCTGGTCTCCTGGGGTCCTGCTTGTATCCACTGTTGAAATCCTTGGTTTCACTTGTGATCTGTGGTCTGTTTTCTTGACATAGTTGAGGCCAGGCAATAATAACACCTCCACTACCACCTCCAAAACTCTCAGCTCAGCTTTCCTGGAGTCATGGATCCTCTGTCTGAGACATGCACTCTGCCTGGCCCTGGCGCAGGCAGCCTACCTTGCAGGCTCTGCATGGCGTTACCTTGCCTCTCACCCAGGGTGCCCATGGCAATGCTCCTGACTTGCATCTCTCACCTACTTTCCATGTCCCCCACTGGGGACGTACAGGAACTTCTGAAACTGTCCCCTCAGGTTCAAACCATGGGGAACCAGCAGGGTGGGGACCCTCAGACCCTCTGTCTCACCACCTTGTGTCACATGGTCATCTCTACCACCCCTCAACCCCCACAGCTGCTAACTTCTGGCCTGAAACAAGTGTTCTCCTCCCATAAGGTCCCAAATGGGACACAAGTTTTATTGCTCTGGGATTCTTCCAAACTTAACTGACTCTGACCCTGACCTGTTCAGGATTTTGAGAGGAGCCAAAACACGTGCCTGGCCCCTGTAGGCATTTGACATTGCAACTCCTGTGCCAACACATGCATTCACTAACAAAGCTATTAAAAAAATAAAACAGACTTTTGAGATCAAAGAAATGAATGTATCCAAAATACATGTTTGTTCAACAGTCATTTTCAAACATTTTGTTCTGGGAAGGATATAAAGTTAAAGTTTAGAAAGCAAAGGAATGGTAACTGACTTTGAAAACCTGAGAAAGTTAAAACTCAAAGTAGCAATGGAGAAAACCATAAACCAACCCAATTTACTCTCTAGAATCTTAAAAAGGCATGGCAATGGGCAGCACCTGGCATTTCCGGACCCCAGGATAAAGGTACGACTACCATAAGGAAAGCTGAGTAGAAGCTGTTTCAGAAGCACTTAATCCCTAGAGCAGGGGTCCCCAGCCCCCACTGTGGCCTGATACCAGTCTGTGGCCTTTTAGCAACCAGGCCACGCAGCAGGAGGTGAGCGGCGGGCTGCCGAGCAAAGCTTCATCTGTATTTACAGCCGCTCCCCATTGCTCGCATTACCACCTGAGCTCCACCTCCTGTCGGATCAGAGGCAGCACTAGATTCTCAGAGGAGCATGAACCCTATGGTGAGCTGCACATGCAAGGGATCTAAACTGTGTGCTCCTTATGAGAATCGAATGCCTGATGATCTGTCACTGTCTCCATCACCCCTAGATGGGACCATCTAGTTGCAGGAAAACAAGCACAAGGCTCCTGCTGATTCTACATTATGGTGACTTATATAATTATTTCATTATATATTACAATGTAATCATAATAGAAATAAAATGCACAATAAACGTAATGCACTTGAATCATCCCCTAACCATCCCCCACTGCCCCCATCTGTGGAAAATTCTCTTCCACGACACTGGTCCCTGGTACCAAAAAGGTTGGGGACCTCTGCCCAACAGGCTCCCCCTGCTAGGTACTATCTGGAAAAGGTAAAACAGAGCATCTCCCAATTGGAAGGTGGAAGCACAGTTGATGGTACGTGTACCGTACTGCAAAGAGGGTAAATTAACAATGAAAGATTTGGCCGGGCACAGTGGTTCATGCCTGTAATCCCAGCACTTTGGGAGGCCAAGGTGGGTGGATCATGAGGTCAGGAGTTCAAGACCAGCCTGGCCAAGATGGTGAGGCCCCCATCTCTACTAAAAATACAAAAAAATTAGCCGGGCCTGGTGGCGGGTGCCTGTAATCCCAGCTACTCGGGAGGCTGAGGCAGAGAATTGCTTGAACCCAGGAGGTGGAGGTTGCAGTGAGCCGAGAGCACACCACTGCTCTCTAGCCTGGGCGACAGAGGGAGAAACCGTCTCAAAAAAAAAGAATGAAAGATACATGAGAAAAGTGTACATTAGACATTATATTGTACATGTGTCTACATTGTTAGATATTAGACATTAATATCTAACAAATATTCCTTAAATTTATATTGTATATATTTTATGTTGTAGAGTACATAATAAACTGCTTATGTTTTTCCTTAAATTTATATTTTATATATTTTATGTTGTAGAGTACATAATAAACTGCTTAAGTTCAGATGTTTAATAAGAAGCTTTTTATAGTAACAAAACGTAGTATGTTCTAATCTGAAATTTGGGAGAGATATGGCTTAAATTTGATAATTTAGACTGTGTAACTAAGGCAGGTCCTAAAATTGCATGCTCATTACTTTGAAGAAAAGTTATTCTTTTGACAATTAAATCTCAAAATTTAAACATGTAGAGGAATTACATACAGAATTAAACAGAAATGAATACTAAGTGAAAATTGTTTTTTTAATATATAAGGTCCATAATGAAAACAGTGATGTCAAAATGGAAAAAAAAACTAAAAATGCAAACAAATGCAAAAGCAATATTTCCCCCTCTGCTAGCATTTTGTTTCTCAATAATGAATTCACACCAGGAATCCCATATAGAAATTCATGCCATGAAAAATAATGCCAACCAGTTTTGATTTAGCTCACAGAAAAACATTTTCCTAGAAAACAGACTAGCCACGGTGTTTACATTTATAAGCTTATGAAAGCTAAGAATGATCAATGAAATGATCTATGATTAAGAACTGGGTGCCTATGAACTTTGGATTCATTATTAACTAAATTGCTATATTTTTCAGAGTAAACATAATATAGAGCTACTCCACTATCTGCCAATGGGGAGACTGATTGAATGAAAACAATTCTAGTTATCACATATTTTTGCACCTGTGTAAGCAGCATACAGTGAAGCTTAACAGTTAATGTGAGCCACAGTTTACCAGTCTCTACAGATGATAAAGCTTGCCAATTGCCCAGCATGGGAACACTCCAAGCTAAGTAGAATGGAGCTTTACATTTCTTCTACCAACATCTTTAGTTGCAAAAGTCTGCCAAGTTGTCCTTTCAACAGATTTGATTTCAGTCCTAAGAAAAACTGCTACTTGTAACCATTACTCTCTATTATCGTGTCGTGGTGACTTAATGTTCTTTTTAAAATTTATGCTGTTCCAGTTGTATCTTAAGCATAAAAAAAGAAAACTGAAGAAAGAATGAAGGCATTCAGATAATTCAAGTAAATAAACCATTTGCCTGATCTATATGATTATTTCAAGATAATTCTCTCAGGTGTCTATTCATTCTGGAGAGCACTCAATAAATATTTATTGAGCACCTATGAAGTAAAAGATGTTGAAGGCTACATACAAAATAGATTTTTAAATATTTATTTTATCTATATTCACAAATTGACTTTTTTTTTTTTTTTTTTTTTTTTTTTTGAGATGGGGTTTCGTTCTTGTTGCCCTGGCTGGAGTGCAATGGTATGATCTCACCTCACTGCAACCTCAGCCTCCCGGGCTCAAGCCATTCTCCTGCGTCAGCCTCCCGAGTAGCTGGGATTATAGGCGTGTGCCACCACACCTGGCTAATTTTTGTATTTTTAGTAGAGACGGGGTTTCACCATGTTGGCCAGCCTGGTTTCGAACTCCTGACCTCAGGTGATCCTCCCGCCTCGGCCTCCCAAAGTGCTGGGATTACAGGCATGAACCACCACACCCGGCACCTTTTTGTTTGTTTGAGACAGAGTCTCACTCTGTCATCCAGGCTGGAGTGCAGTGGTATGATCTCATCTCACAGCAAACTCTGCCTCTTGGTGAGATCTCAGCTCCCTGCAACCTCTGCCTGTTGGGCTCAAGCAATTCTCCTGTCTCAGCCTCCCGAGCAGCTGGGACTACAGGCATGTGCCACCACGCCTGGCTAATTTTTGTATTTTTAGCAGAGATGGTCGTTTCACCATGCTGGCCAGGCTGGTCTCAAACCCCTGACCTCAGGTGATCCACCTCCTTCAGCCTTCCAAAGTGCTGGGATTACAGGCGTGAGCCACCGCGCCTGGCCTACCAATTGACCTTTTAAAGCTAATTCGAATGTTATGTGTGATTGATTTGAAAACAAAGTACCTATAAGAAGTGGTTATCTCATTGAAATTACTTTCTTTCAGATTTCTTAGTAATATTATCAATCATTCATTCATTAAAAACAACAACAAACAAACAAAAAAAAATAAAATAAATAAAATTAGGCCAGGCACGGTGGCTTCCGCCTGTAATCCCAGCACTTTGGGAGGCCGAGGTGGGCAGATCACGAGGTCAGGAGATCGAGACCATCCTGGCTAACACGGGGAAACCCCGTCTCTACTAAAAATACAAAAAAATGAGCCGGGCATGGTGGTGGGCGCCTGTAGTCCCAACTACTCGGGAGGCTGAGGCAGGAGAATGGCGTGAACCCGGGAGGCGGAGCTTGCAGTGAGCCAAGATCGCGCCACTGCACCCCAGCCTGGGCGACAGAGCAAGACTCCGTCTCAAAAAATAAAAAAAAACATAAAATTAGATATTAACATTAGCTTTTTAAAATCCCTGAAAACTTTGTCTAAGTATGCAGAGAATGTCCAAGAAATGTCACCATGTCATAATTTATGAAAACCCAAAGCACAATTCCATTATCCAAATTATTCAAAAAATAATACAATATCAAAAATCTGCTTGCTACTACATCGTTAAGTATCGCAATTGCATAAATAGATTTTAAATTAAGATTATAGTAAATACCAAATGTTTACTTTAGGATGAAAATTACTTCATTCATGTATTTCTTTGATTATTCATCTTGTGAAATAGTGAAATAGTATATACAGGTTATCCATTTCTGCACCAAGAGCAAAATTATCTTGTAAGTTCGAGAACTACTTCTCAGGAAGCCAAATTCCTATTCCACCTCATTTTCTAAGGTATATGAGTTGAAAAGCACAAGTGTGTGTGTGACCATTGGGTACAGACAGCAAGGTGGGCACATATCTGTGGTCCATTCAAGCACTGAGGATATGCAACAGTGTCACATGCAGGAGCCTGCGCTCTGTGCAATTATGCCCCAGGCACCACTTCGTTCCGTGTTGCTCAGCCCACCTCTTCTTACATCTATGGCCCCAGTGACTGCTCTCTGAGTTCCCAAAGCTCCCAGCCATCACCCTTCTAGAGCACTGCTTCATCCTGCAGACCTTTTACTCCCTTCATGAATATACTTGATCCTGATGGCAATTCCTCCGATTAATGCTTGCTCTGCCAGCTAATCCAATAGACTAAAGCATGCTAATAAGTACTAATAATTTTCTTTTCTTTTCTTTTCTTTTTTGAGATGGAGTCTCGCTCTGTCACCCAGGCTGGAGTGCAGTGGCTCAATCTCTGCTCACCGCAACCTCTGCCTCCCTGGTTCAAGTGATTCTCCTGCCTCAGCCTCCTGAGTAGCTGGGATGACAGGGGCGCACCATTACACCTGGCTAATTTTTGTATTTTTAGTAGAGATGGGGTTTCACCATGTTGGTCAGACTGGTCTCGAACTCCTGACCTCAGCTGATCCACCTGCCTCAGCCTCTCAAAGTGTTGTGATTACAGGCATGAAGCATCGTACCCGGCCTAATAATTTCCTATTGCTCTCATTTATGTCAGATATTTGTATTTTGTTCCAGAGACAGTCCTTTCATGGAGAAGAATGTCTTCAATTGTAGGAATTCTAGATAATTAGTTGGGCGGTGGCAGGCCATTAGGTGGCTCTCAGATGACCTCATTATTATGAACAGGAACAAAATTAATCACAGGTTCAATACGCAATTCAGCTATTTGACTTTACTCTGTTTAACCTTCCAGATGACACCAGAAATTGATATCCTTTTCTGAATAATGCAAGTTATTTCAACACATGGAAGACTAGAAAGCATGTGGTAATAGATGTGTATAAATGTGTCATCCCAGGTAGAAACATTCCAAATGTACGTCCTCATGATGGCTTGGTAACAATAGCATGTTATAGTATGTGCACTCCAGTGTATACTCATGATGTTCACAGCTATCAAGAAGCGCAGCTTTGGAACTCAGCGCAGCAACTGGCACCTCACTCTGGTTAACAACAGTCAATTGCTGTGGATCACACCTGAAGATTCAAGATGGCTCATCCACTATAATGTAGTTAGGACAGGTTTTGAGAGTTATCTGATCAAATAACAATTCAATTCCATTTTTTAAAACTTTTTATTAAAACGTGACATACATGCAGAAAAGCGCACACACACGGAGTATGCCTGCAGCACAGCGAATTTACTCACGAAGTGAATAAACCCCTGTAACTGTCAAGTGTTGAAGAAATAGAAGACAGCTAGCTCTCTAACCCCCTTCCTTCCTCTCCCTTTTATTAACATCCCATCATCTCCAAAGTTTTCCACTATCCTAACTTCTAACACCATAAACTAGTATTGCCCGGTTTTGAACTTTATATTTTTAATAAATATTTATATTTTTATAAATATTTTTTATATTTTTATATTTAAATATTTATATTTATTCTGTGACAGTTCCTTACACACACACTTGCGCTTTCCATTGCTCTTCATTCCCTTCTGCATGTCTACATTTCCATCCTCTTTTAAACCTTTAGTAGTTCTTTTTTTTGTTTTGTTTTTCTTTGAGACGGACCCCCAGGCTGGAGTGCAGTGGCGCGATCTCGGCTCACTGCAAGCTCCGCCTCCCGGGTTCACGCCATTCTCCCGCCTCAGCCTCCCGAGTAGCTGGGACTGCAGGTGCCCACCACCACGCCCGGCTAGTTTTTTGTATTTTTAGTAGAGACGGGGTTTCACCGTGTTAGCCAGGATGGTCTCCATCTCCTGACCTCATGATCCTCCCGCCTCGGCCTCCCAAAGTGCTGGGATGACAGGCGTGAGCCACTGTGCCCGGCAACTTTAGTTGTTCTTTAGTGCAGACCTGCAGGTCACAAATTTTCTCTATTCTATTTCTGAAAAATGTTCATTTCAGTTTCATTTGTGAAGAATATTTAAATCAGGAAAACATACTAGGTTTACAATTTATTTTTCTTTGTGTTCTCTTATTGTGCTAAAATATACATAACATGAAATTTACCATTTTTAAGTATATGATTCAATGGCATTAATGACATTCATGATGTTGTGCAACCATCATCAATATCCATTTCCAGAACTTTTTCATCATCCCCAAACAGAAACTCTGTGCCCATTAAACAATAACTCCCCAGTCCCCTCTACTTTCAGTCCCTGGTAACCTCTATTATGTTCTACGACTGTGACCATGCCTCCTTGAGTACCTCGTATAAGTGGAATCGAACAGTATTTGTCCTTTTGTGTCTGCTTTCTTTCACTTAGCAGAGTGTTTTCAAGTTTTATCTATGTTACAGCATGTGTCGGAATTTCACTCCTTTTTAAGGTGGAATAGTATTTCATTTCATATATATATATATATGTCACACGTTTTAATACATTCATTTATTGATGGAATTTTAGCTTTTTTCCCACGTTCTAACCATTTTGAACACTGATGTGCACACTAGTTATTTTAGCGTCTTCACTTTCAAAGATTATAATACTGATGATGACTACATTGTCACCAAAGATTGTAAAAAAAATGCAAATATAATGATCCTTTGCATTTTGCACACACGTCACAATTTCAGCTTCACAATCTATGGAGCTGCTGTTTGGGGAGTATAAGGACAAAAATTGCACCAACTGAACTTAGTTTTAAGGAAACCCGTTGTTAGGAGAGGAGTTCTACAGCCAAAGATCTACCTATGAATCACCACGTATGGAAAATTACGTTTCCAAAGAAGAACCAGACAAGTAGATGATCTTCTGATGTCACATTTCCCCTAATTCCTAAGTTTTCTGTGAGGGAGAGAATGTGTTCACGCCACCAATGTGTCGAGATCAACGAGAGGTGCTCAATGAGGAAAGAACACTTGGTGGAATGTGGGTTGCCAATTACAAATCTCTGGATAAAATAGAAAATGCGACCGTGTCTCCACTTGAGACCCCTAGTTAGCCAACAGATCAGGGGCAGGGTAGAAAGACAAGTGTAATTATTTCAGTCTACTAGAAGAGCAAGAAAAAACGCCTTGGGGTCTACATTTATGCTTATTAACTACTAAAACTAAAATGAATTAGTGTTTGTCAGGCAAAGAAAACTGAAAAATCAGGAATTACACTCCATAACTGCCACAGTGGGTTACTTATTCATTTTTTATCAATATAATGTAAACAAAATAATTGGAGAAATAAAAAGAAATGAATTTATTATAAAATAATGTATATTTTAATATTTATGGATGTCGGCATAGCTATAATAGAAGATAATAGGAATTAATCATTGTTAATGCAGTAGCTATAAATGCAGACTAATGTGAGTGCATTATATTGGCCCCTCAGACACCTAAGAAGTGCTGCTTTTGGTGACTTGATTACATTTAGAAAAGTTGTGAACAAACAAAGTTTGTTCAAACAATCTATTAATTTTCATGGCAGTTAAAGTCATAACACCTTCTATTTATATTAAACATTACAAAATCATTTTGCATTTTGCAAGCAAAATAGACTAGTTTTTATAATTATGTAATTATAAACAGGTTTTTCACCTACATGAATATCTGGCAAGACTATTGAATGTGCAAGCAATGCAGAAGAATTCTTTTTTTTTTTTTTTTTTTTTGAGACAGGGTCTCACTCTGTCACTCAGGCTGGAGTGCAGGGGTACAATCACAGCTCACTGTGCAGCCTCAACCTCATAGGCTCAACTGATCCTCTCACCTCAGCCTCCTGTGTAGCTGGGACTACAGGCATGTGCCACCACGCCTGGCTAATGTTTTTATTTTGTTATAGAGATAAAGCCTTGCTATGTTGCCAGGGCTGGTCCCAAGCAGTCCTGCCACTTCAGCCTTCCAAAGTGCTGGGATTACAGTCATGAGCCACCGTATCCGGTCAATACAGGAGAATTCCTCAATATGTAGGACTGTTTGGCACATTACAGATCATTTCACATCCCTGGTCCAATTGCACTAAATCCCAATAGACTTCCCACCCCTGTGACAGCCATAACATAGAGGCAGATAATCCTCTGAAGTGTATCACCATCACTGAGAACTGCTTGTCCTTGAAGGTGATTAGATGGAATTGTTCTAGATAAGGAAGTGATCTGACGATGGCTCCTCAGGGCAATAGTAAGGGGTTAAGGGAAGAAGACCAGGACACACATGTATGAAAATGTAATTTTATGCTTCCACAAGTGGTAGGGACCTAGGCCTACCATATACCTGAAACCCAAAGATGGCAAGACCCAGAATAAGGATGTCTTTGTAGTTATTTAAGAATTCCATTTCCAGGTTTGCCATAGAGTGAGCCAAACTTGGAAATGGAATTCCTGGAAATAACTAAAAATATTAATTGTGGAACCACTTGACTTTAAATTGTCCTTGATCCTGGGCAAGAAACACTGAAAGCAGCAGACACAATGCCTGAAGATCAGCGCAGAGCCCTTTACCCAGTCACCTGGATTGTGTAAGCCTGAGTTTTGTTTAGACATGAACCTAAAAGTTTCCCCTTACTTGTCATTTTGCACCTGGATTGGGAACTGAGTATGGATCTCTTGCCAAGCTAAGAAAAGTGAAGAAAAGCCTAAAACTACAGCATGTCACTGTGTTTGATAAAGCATGGTGGTCTGTCTCAAAAGTGTTATTTTGAGAATTCCTAGTCTTGTGTTCCTTTACAAGGAACAGAAAACAGACAGGCAGGCTGGAAAGCTGGACAACAGATTTAGCAGAACTTCTAATCATTTTAGGTGGAAAATGCATTTGTGGATGGGTGAATTATTTGGGTCCAGAAGTTAACATTATTAGGTGACATCAACACAAATGGCAGAGTAAGGACCTCTAAAAATTCTCTTCTCCGTAAAAGTGACTAGAACAACAGCACAATTGTCAGAAGCAACTTTTTCACACATCTGGAAATTAACCCAAGTCTTGCAATAATCCAGGCAGCATTCATTTAATAAAAATGGCAGAATCTTGGTAAGAACAGTGAGCTCTGGGTGTTTTGTTAGGTTGGTGCAAATGTAATTGCAGTTTTCTCATTGGAATTTGCCATTTGATGTTGGAATACATTCTTAAATAAATGTGGTTATGTGATACATCATTTTAATGGGCATTTCTCACGTTATGCTTTTTTGCTAATGACATTACTTGCTATTTATTTTAGACTATGGAAATGATGTTAGACAAAAAGCAAATTCAAGCAATTTTTTTAATTCAAGTTCAAAATGCGTCATAAAGGAGCAGAGACAACTCACAACACCAACAATGCATTTGGCCAGGAGCAGTGCAGTGGTGGTTCCAAAATGTATTGATTGTAATGGTTCCTATTTTGATTAATAAAGATGTTTCGAACCTAGTTATAATGACTTAAAATTCACAGTCCAAAACCGTGATTACTTTTGCACCAACCTATTAACTTCCCCAGTCCTATTTCCTGAGCCCCAGCTCCGTGACAGCTTTGAAAACCAAAAGCCCTCGTTCATTATTAAAATCAGCAGCCTACATTGACAAACTCCACAAGAGACAAACTCAAAGAGATCCACACTTAGACCCATCATAATCAAACGGTTAAAAGCCAAAGACAAAAGAGAGAATCTTGAAAGATCAAGAGAGAAGCAAGTCATAATGTACAAAGGATCCTCAATGAGAGTAAGAGCTGATTTCCCATCAAAAACCATGGCGGCAGAGGAAGTGGGATGATGTATTCAAAATGCTGAAAGAAAAGGATTGCCAACTCAGGAGTCTATAACCAACAAAGCTATCCTTTAGAAGTGAAAGTGAAATTAAAACATTCCCAGATAAACAAAAACCAAGAGAATTTGTTGCTAATAGATCTGTCTTGCAAGAAATACTAAAGAGTGTGTATCCAGTTGAAATAAAAAGACACTGGACAGTGACTCAAATCCACATTATTAAATAAAACAGCACTGGTAAAGGTACACATAAGTAAATATAAAAAAGACTGTAAATATACATCTATATAAACACATATATATGCACATATATACATATATATGTATAGTAACCCCTTTCTTCTCCTCTGTGACTTAAAAGACAACCACATAAATAGATAATTATACACTGGGTGTGGTGGCTCAAGCTTCTAGTCCCAGCATTTTGGGAGGCTGAGGTGGGAGGATCACTTGATGCCAGGAGTTTGTAACCAGACTTGATGACATAGTGAGACTCCTGTCCACAAAAAAAAAAAAAAAAAAAAAAAAAAAAAAAAAAAAAATTAATTATCCAGACATGATGGCATCTTCTTGTAGTTCCAGCTACTTGGGAGGCTGAGGTGGGAGTATTGCTTGAGCTCAGGAGTTCAAGGTTGCAGTGAGCTATGATTGTGCCACTGCACTCCAGCCTGGGCAACAGAACAAGGCCTTGTCCTCTTAATTTATCCTCTTAAAAAAAGAAAAAAAATACATACAACATATATATAATATAAATAAATCTACATTTATACGTGTGTGTATATATATTTTCATATGTGTGTGTATATATACACACACATATATAAATGTAGATTTATTACATATATATGCACACACATATATAAATATAGATGTAGATTTATATTATACATATTTAAGGCCAGGTGTGGCGGCTTACATCTGTAATTCTAGCACTTTGGGAGGCCAAGGTGGGCAGATAAGCTGAGCTCAGGAGTTCGAGACCAGCCTAGGTAAAATGGTGAAACCCTGTTTCTACTAAAAATACAAAAAATGATCTGGGTGCGGTGGTGCATGCCTGTAATTCCAGCTACTCAAAAGGCTGAGGCACAAGCATCACTTGAGCCCAGGAGGCAGAGGTTGCAGTGAGCCAAGATTGTGCCACTACACTCCAGCCTGAGTGACAGAGCAAGACTCTGTCTCAAAAAAAAAATAATAATTAAATTAAATTTTAAAAATAAAAAATAAAATATATATTATTATATATAAAATAATCTACATTGTAGATGAAATAAATCTACTATATATAAAATAAATCTACATTGATGGTCACACAAACATAGATGTAGATATAATTACATAGAAGCAATTTATATAACAATAACAAATAGATGTAATTTGTATAACAATAATAGCATAAAGGAGGTTGAAGAGAACAAAACTATATTGAAGCAAAATTTTGTAGATTATTGAAATTAACTTGTTATTAATATGAACTACATTATTATAAATTAAGATGTTAATTATAATCCTCAGGGCAACTACTAAGGGAAAAGATACATACATACATACATACATACATACATACATGACTTCCCCAAATTTCCCAAATGTATCTCTCAAGGGAATTAAAATGGTACACCAGAACATATGTATAAACAACACTATTTAACACAAAATAAGGCAGTAATAAAAGGAACGAAAAATTAAAAAGGCATAAGATATAGAAAAACAGCAAATGACAGAACTAAATCCTACGTTATCAAATATTATATTAAATGTAAATGTTTTAAACATTTCAATTAAAAGGCAGAGATTAGCACAATGGATTTATATAACATGATTCAGCTATTTGCTGCCTGTAGGAGACACATTTTAGATTTAAAGACACTAATAAATTGAAAGAAAAAGATATACCATGCAATGGTAACCAAAAGAGAGCTGGAGGGTTATAATAATACCAGACAAAACAAGTGTTTAGAAAAAAAATGTTACTAAACACAAAAAAAGACATTTTAATGATAAAAGAGTAAATACATCAAAAAGATATAACAATTATAAACATATTGCACCTAACAACAGAGCCCCAAAATAAGTGAAGCAAGAACTGACAGACTTGAAGGAAGACAATTCAAAGATTATACTTTAAGACTTCAGTACTCCACTTTCAATAATGCAGTGAACAACTAAAGAGATCAACGTGGAAATAGAGAACTTGACCTACTCTACATATCAGCTAGACCCAAAAGACAACTACAGAAAATACCACCCAACAGGCCAGGCGTGGTGGCTCATGTCTGTAATCCCAGCACTTTGGGAGGCCAAGGCGGGCAGATCACAAGGTCAAGAGATCGAGACCATCCTGGCCAACACAGTGAAACCCCATCTCTACTAAAAATACAAAAAAAAAATTAGCTAGGCATGGTGGCATGCGCCTGCAGTCCCAGCTACTTGGGAGGCTGAGGCAGGAGAATTGCTTGAACCAGGAGCTGGAGGTTGCAGTGAGCCGAGATCGGGCCACTGCACTCCAGCCTGGCAACAGAGCAAGACTCCACATCAAAAAAAACACACACAAAAAAAGAAAATACCACCCAACAATGACAGAAAACACATTCTTCTCAAGGGCATATGGAACATTCTTCAGAATAGACCACATATTAAACCATAAAACAATATCAATACTTTTTTTAAAAATTGACATCATATGAGGTATGTTCTACAACCAACCACAATGGAATAAAATTATAAGAACCAAAGGAAATATGGGAAAGTCACAAATATGTGGAAATCAAGCAACACTCTTCTAAAATGGTTATCCACAAGTCAAAGAAGAAATCACAAGGGAAAATAGAAAATTCTTTAAGGTGCATGAAAATAAAACACAACGTTCTGAAACTTAAGGGATGCAGCAAAAGCAAAGTTTAGAAAAATAACTTTTAGCTATAAACGCCTACATTAAAAAGAAGAAAGATCTCAAGTCAATAGCCTAATTCTGTCTTAAGAAACTAGTAAAAGAAGAGCAAACTAAACCCAAACAAGCAGGTGGAGGGAAATAATAAAGATAAGAGAGAAAATAAATAAAAATAGATAATAGAAAAACTGTGGGGGAAAAAAAAAACCTGGTTCTTTTAAAAGATCAGGCCAGGGGCCGGGCGCGGTGGCTCACGCCTGTAATCCCAGCACTTTGGGAGGCCGATGCAGGCGGATCACAAGGTCAGGAGATCAAGACCATCCTGGCTAACACGGTGAAACCCGGTCCCTACTAAAAATACAAAAAATTAGCCGGGCGTGGTGGCAGGCGCCTGTAGTCCCAGCTACTCGGGAGACTGAGGCAGGAGAATGGCCTGAACCTGGGAGGCGGAGCTTGCAGTGAGCCGAGATCACACCACTGCACTCCAGCCTGGGCGACAGAGCGAGACTCCGTCTCAAAAAAAAAAAAAAAAAAAAAAAGATCAGGCCATTACAGGTGTGAGCAGTGGCTCAAAGTAATCCCAGCACTTTGGGAGCCCGATGCGGGCAGATCACTTGAGGTCAGGACTTTGAAACCAGTCTGGGCAACATGGTGAAACCCTGTCTCTACTAAAAATACAAAAAAATAGCCAAGCTTGGTGGCGCATGCCTGCAATCCTAACTGCTTGGGAGGCTGAGTTAGGAGAATCACTTGAACCCGGGAGAGGAAGGTTGCAGTGAGCCGATGTCATGCCACTGCACTCCAGCCTGGGCAACAGAGCAAGACTTTGTCTCAGAAAATTAATTAATTAATTAAAATAATTTTAAAAATCAATAAAATAGGTAAACCTTTAGCCAGACTAATGAAGACGATAAAAAGAAAACTCAAATTTCCAAAATCAAATATGAAAGAGGGGACATTGTTACCAATCTTATAGAAATAGAAAAAAAATGTAAGGAAAAACTTATGAAACAAAATGTGTGTACATCAAAAAATTAGCTAACTAAGTTGGACAAATAACCAGAAAAAACACGAACTACCAAAGCTGACTCAAAAGGCAATACAAAATCGGAATAGACCTATAAGTAAGCAGATTGAAGTCATAATCAAAAATTTCCCTCGAAGAAAAGCCCAAGACTGATTATTTCTACCAATTGTTTAAAGAATAACAAAGAGCTTCATAAACTTTTCTGTACAATGTAAGAAGGATCACTTCCTCACTCATTCTCCAAGAACAGTATAACCCTGATACTAAAATCAAGAAAAGAGTATCACATGAAAACTACCAAATCCAGCAATATATTATGGATTATACATGATAACCAAGTGGAGTTTATCCCAGGGTTACAAGGTTGTTTCAATACATGAGAATTAATCAATGTAATACATCATATTAATAGAATGAAATACAAAAACCACATAACATCTCAGTAGACACAGAGAATTTGATAAAATCTACCACTCTCCTATTAAAACCAAAAAAAAAAAAAAAAAACACTCAACAAAATAGGAATACCAGTGTACTTCCTCAAGCTGATGAAAGGCATCTACGAAAATCCCACAACTAACATAAAACTTAATGATGAAAGACTGAACGCTTTCCCTCTAAGATCAGGAACAAGACAGAGATATCTGCTCTCACCAATCCTATTCAAAATTGTACTTGAAGTTCTACCCAGGGCAATTAAGTAAAAAAGAAATAAGTCCAGACGCAGTAGCTCACACCTGTAATCCCAGAACTTTGGGAGGCTGAGGTGGGCGAATCACACTAGGTCAGGAGTTCGAGACCAGGCAGGCCAACATGGTGAAACCCTGTCTCTACTAAAAATACAAAAATTAGCCAGGCATGGTGGTGCACGCCTGTAATCCCAGCTACTAGCGAGACTGAGGCAGGAGAATCGCTTGAATGCGGGAGGTGGAGGTTGCAGTGAGCCAAGATTGTGCTATTGCACTCCAGCCTGGGTGACAAGAGTGAAACTCCGTCTCAATAAAAAATAAATAAATAAATAAAAAGCATCCATATGGGAATGGAGAAAGTAAAAAGATCTCTACTTACAAATGACAGAATCGTGTATATAGAATATCCTGAAGAATTCATATTAAAAGAACACAACTGGCCAGGCGCAGTAGCTCATGCCTGTAATCACAGCACTGTGGGAGGCTGAGGCAGGTGGATCACTTGAGGTCAGGAGTTTGAGACCAGCCTGACCAACATGGTGAAACCCTGTCTCTACTAAAAATAGAAAATTAGCTGGGCGTGGTGGCACACGCCTGTAATCCCAGCTACTTAGGAGGCTGAGGCAGGAGAATCACTTGAACCCAGGAGGTAGAGGTTGCAGTGAGCCAATATTGTGCCACTGTACTACAGCCTGGGCAACCGGAGCGAAACTCCATCTTAAAAAAAGAAAAAAAAACACACACACACCCAACTTATTAGAGCTAATAAATGAATTCAACAAGGCTGTAGAATACACTATCAACATACAAAAAGTCAACACTTCATAATGAATAATCTGATATTGAAATTAAGAAATTGGCTTTATTTACAAAGTAACAAGAATAAAATACTTAGGACTAAATTTAAAAAAGAAATGCAACACTTGTACACTAAAACTACAAATCATCATTGAAAGAAATTAATGAAGATTTAAATAAATGAAAAGACACACTGTATTCATGTATTACAAGACTTACTATTGTTAGGGTGGCCGTACTCCTAATTTGAGGCACAGATTCAATGTTGTCTCTCTCAAAATTCCAGCTGCCATTTTTGCAGAAATTGACAAGATGACCCTAAAATTCATATGGAAATGCAAGGGATCTAGTAAGAGCCACAACAATCTAGAAAGAAAAGAACAAAATTGGGGATTCATACTTCTAGATTTTAAAACTTACTATGGTAATCAAGACCACCTGGAATTGGCATAAGGATAAACATATAAATCAATGGAATAGAATACACTCAGAATAAACCCATATATCAATGGTCAGTTTGTTTTAGGCAAGGATGCCAAGACAATCCAATGTGGGAAAGAATAGTCTTTCCAACAAATGGTTATGTGACAACTGAATATCCGTATACAAAGGAATAAATTTGGACTCCTATCTCATACAATAAACAAAAATTGACCCAGAGGGATTAGAGACCTAAATACAAGAGCTACAACAATAAAATTCCTAGAAGAAAATACAGACGTAAATCTTCATTTCCTTAGATTAGGCGATGGTTTCTTAGATATGAAACTAAAAGCACAAGCAAAGAAAAAAATAGATAAATCTGACTTTATGAAAATGTAAAACTTAAATGTGCTTCAGTGAACACTATCAAGAAAGTAAAAAGATAACCCACAGCATGGGAGAAAATATTGCAATCCTGTATCTGATAAGGGTCTGGTATCCAGAATTTTAAAACTCTTACAATTCAACAATAAGTAACCCAATTTAAAAGCAGGCAAAGATTTGAAAATACATTTGTCCAAAGAAGATATGCAATTGGCCAATAACCATATGAAAAGATGCTCAACACTATTAGTGATTAGGAAAATACAAATCAAAATCACAATGAGATACCACTTCTCACTCGTTAGGATGGCTATAATTAAAAAGATAATAACAAAAGTTTTCAAGAACGTAGAGAACAAGGAACCCTCACATATTACTGGTAGAAATGTAAAACGGTAACCTGCTTTGGAAAATAGTTTTGCAGTTCCTTAAAATGTTAAACATGGAGTCACTTATATGATCCAATTTTTCATGTCTAGTATATAATAAAGAAAAATGAACACATATGTCCACACTTGCACACAAATGTTCACAACAGCACGATTCATAACATCCAAACAGTGGAAATAGCATCAAGGTCCACTAACTGATGAATGGATAAACAAAATGTGGCCAATCCATACAGTGGAATATGATTCAGCCATAAAAAGGAATGAAGTACTGATAGATGCTACCACATGGATGAACCTTGAAAATAATATGTTAAATTAAAGAATCCAGACACAAAGGCCATATGTTGTATAGCTTCATTCATAGGAAACATCTAGAATAGGCAAATCCATAGACACTGAAACTAGGTTAGTGGTTGCCTGGGGCTGGCGGGGAAGGTAGAGTGGGGAGTGGCTGCTAAAGGGTACGGGTTTGGGGGGTAGTGATGAAAACATTCTGGAATTAGACAGTTGTGATGCTCGTGCAACATTATGAATATACTAAAAACCACTACATTACATACCATTAAAAGATGAATTTTATGGTATGCAAATCATATCTCAATAAAATCAGTCGGTCCACGTATTTTATGGTTCCATTAATAGGAAACATCCAGAATAGGCAAATCTGCAGAGACAGAAAATAAATTAATGATTGCCTAGAGCTGGGGGGTTGCGGTGAAATGGGGAATGGTAAGTAATGGGTGCAGGGCTTTTTTTGGGGTGACGAAAACATTCTGAAGTTGTTTTGTTGTAAGATTGTTCCAAAATCTGTGAATATACTATGAACCATTGAATTACACTTTAAATGGGTGAAGTATATCTCATTAAAGCTCTTCTTTTTAAAAAGAACACTAATATAAATATGTATGTGTCATTAATCTGTTAAGTATATACATTCCTAAGAACAGAAATGTTTAGGGTCAAATGAAACAACATGGTTAGAAATATTCTTCCTTATTTAGATGTTTTATAAATCCCTTTTCTGGAAATGCATGATCATTGCTGATATAATATCAATAGCAAACACACAGCTCTTACTATATACGAAGCACTGTTCTAAATGCTTTACATGCATGAACTCATTCACTCTTCACAGCAGCCCTGTGAGGTAGCCACTCTTTGTCTTCCTATTTTACAGATGAGGAAACTGAGACATAGAGGTTATTCCTTTTCTCCTGTAGTAAATGGAGGCAGAATTTGAATCCAGGTAGTCTGGTTTTAGAATCCAGGCTCTTTGCTTTTCACTTAGGATAATCATAAAGTTTTCATGGAATCACAAAGCTCTCAGTAAGCTTTGTCAAAATTGTCTCCTGGATTCCGTTTCAATATAACTTACTTCAGGTATTAGAGCCTAATGGTTACGAAAATGATCTTTGGACTCAGGCAGAGGTGACATGAATCCCAGCTCTCTACCTGTCAGCTTAAGAAACAGGGAAATCACGAAATCTCTCCAGACCTCAGTTTCATCAACCCATAAGATTAGGATAATCCTACTTTACAGGGTTGTTGTAAGAATTAAGATAATTCATACAAAAATATCAAACACATCACCTATTAAGTAAACTGTAAGTAATCCCTTAAGAAACTATTATTATATATAATTTTCACTATTCAATCCCAGATCCAAAATGACGTTCCTCTTTCTTCCAATTATTCTTTGGTACTAAAATCAAGGGTCAATTAAATGAGCACAACTATATCAAGCTGCAACGTTCACAGAGCTGGATTCCTATTCCTGCGGATCCCAAGAGAGCTGATATTTCACACTGAAACTGATCAGGTTCATGGAGCTCACTGGAGCTTTTCTTCATCTGAGGAGGGCAGTTTTAAAAGCCTGATCTCACATGAAACCCAACTCCACCAAAGACTCACTGACAATACTCTGTTATATCCAATGGTAATTTCAAGGCAATTCTTAATTCTTTAAGGATTTAGAAGACTAACAGAATTAAAGTCAATTCTGAGTAAGATTTCCAGCTACTGACACATTATTTCTAATCCTTATAACAACTTTGCCAAATAAATATTTTACAGATGAGGGAAAGTTTCAGAGAGTTGGATTTTTGTACAGGGCCAAACAGGTAGAAGGAAAAAAGCATGTAAACTCACCAATATTCACTAGTAATAAGTAAGATGGTTTGGAAATCTTTACACCTATGAAATTTAAACATTATTAAAATTCCTCCTCTCTATTGTATGGTTTTATTTTTTATCACTGATAAGTTATAGTCCATGTTTGTTCTCTTTAGAATAAAAATCATTTCTTCCATGAGTGCTAGCAAAAGCAGTGTGGAATAATAAAAACATTAAGTAATACTGTCACTAAGAAGGTTGTCATGGAGAGAGCTCTGGATAAGGACTTGGAATGCGGGCACAGCTTGGCCATCTGCAGAATGAGGAGGGAGGACAGGATGATCTCTGAGACCTCTAATACTCAAATACTCAATGTTCTGTTTTTGACATTGTCTTCACCTGTGTCAACTAGGCTGGCCATTCCATTTAGTGAGGGCACGCTGTCAATGTGGCCAGGTTCTTGGTGCAATTTAGAAGTTTCTTTCTGTTCCATGGTCATAAATGCCACCTCTAACTCATGCGTGGCTCACAACAGAAATCAAGCAAGGAGCATGCATTTATCATTGCAAATTAATTAGCTCCATTGAAAGTACACATTAATGGTAACTTTATATAGCAAGGGGAAACATGCCATTATTATTAATGTAAAACAAGTGGCCTGAGGCAGTGCAGCTCTTTAAGTGTCTAAAAACTAGAAGGCAGTTTGGCATCAAAAAGAAAGGGGCTCTCCTAACTTTTAAAGTCAGATAAAAAAGGAAAAAGAGAAAAAGGGGCTCATGTACTACAAGTTGAATTAAAGACTCCTCAGTCTGGAAGAGGCTACAGAGACTACTGCCTTTGACAGACTCAAAATGATGACACCTACTCACCCGTAGTAAACTTCACAGACAGCACTCATTGGACCTAAGGACCTTGTTACAAAGAAAGTGTGTTCCCCGTTGCTTCTGTCTCTGTCATCTCTACAAAACGGCCAGACCTTCACACATTCAAAGAGACTGTTAGTCCTCTGTCCTCCTCTTGGTCCGAGTCATGTCTATCACTCAATTCCTATTCTATTACTCTATTCTTCAAGTTCTCTTTCCAACTTATTTTATTGCACCCAGACTGTCTTTGCCACTGATTCTCATTCCCAGCCTACAAACATGCTCAAGTACTCCAACCCATCCTAAAAATATCCCTTTCCCTAACACCTGCTCCTTCTCGAGCTACTTTGATATTTCTCTATGTCTGACCCTTTAGCACACCAAACTTGTTAGAGTTAAACCAGCATCACTCTCTCAGTAACCCACCATAGCATTAAATAAACCCTCTTAAAGCAGCAATTAACTTCCTAAGAGCCACAGCTGGAGTTTACCTTGTTGGCTTATGGAGCTCATTCGCATATAGATGAAATCAGGTGTTAACACTAACACTAACGGCAACTTAAAGAAGGCTGGGGGAAGAGGTGTTTGTATTTGGATAAAGCCTTTGAGTTGCGGAAGGAAGGGCCACTACCCACCCAAGACATCCTAAGTCCCTAGCACATGGGTCCTCTCTGTGATCAAAACACAATTGCCCAAATTTCTTTCTTTCTTTCTTTCTTTTTTTTTTTTTGAGACAGAGTCTGTCACCCAGGCTGGAATGCAGTGGTGCAATCTCGGCTCACTGCAAGCTCCACCTCCTGTGTTCAAGCGATTCTCCTGTCTCAGCCCCCCGAGTAGCTGGGACTACAGGTGCCCACCATCACGCCTGGCTAATTCTCTGTATTTTTAGCAGACACGGGGTTTCACCGTGTCAGCCAGGATGGTCTTGATCTCCTGATCCAGTGATCCGCCCACCTCGGCCTCCCAAAGTGCTGGGATTACAGGCGCAAGCCACCACGCCCGGCCCCAAATTTCTTGTACCCTAAGGGCAATCTGGTCGTTTTTTCATGCTACTATAGATTTCATCTATGATTAATAATAGCCTTGTGATATCAGGTTTAAAAAAAGGTCTTATGAAACTGAAAAGCCCAGAAGTATTTTAGTCTGGTAATAAGTTGCTAAGAATAGGTTCCCTAGCTTGTTTTTGTGCAATGCTCTTGACTTTACTCCAGATTGTTAAATCTGCAGCTGTTAGTCAACAGGTGAAGAGGATTCCCTAGGAGGAGCTACTGTTTGAAGATTTTTGAAATACTGTGACTCACAGCTTTTGTTTAAATTGGTACTTCAGATTTTAATTCCATCCTTCAGCAAATGACCTTCACAATCAAAAAAAGTCAAAGATTTTTTTCAGGGCAGTTGGTGGACTGACTAACATATGTGGCCAGGGAAACCATACCCAACCCCCTACAGAATATGCTCTACCCTCTATCTGACATGGGGCCGAGTAAAATAGAAAGTCTCACCACAAGAAGGAGGTTTTGCAGGTGGAGTGGGATGCCTCATCAGGTATTGTGAACTTTCAGCTCTGAAGATGTTTATACGGTCTCTATACTCTTGTAAAATTTAGATTAAACACTGAGCTAACCCCTAGAATTGTAATGTGTTATGGGTTGGGGCAGAACCAAAGTTTCGGAATTAGGAAGTCTGGTACTGACCAATTACAAAGAGTTTTTTAAAGTTCCCTAACCTCATATTTTCATATTCCCACATAAATCTGGAAACAACATTTTTCCTAAAATTCTGCAACTCTCAATAAAATGACACATAAGCAAGAATATATCACCCACAACTTAATTATTGGGGTAATAATTACAATAAGGAAGGAGGAGATTTAGCATCTTCCAGAGTATTAAGGTTCTAGACTTTGTTTCCCTATTTCAAACAGGGTAACGAACATACATCACTGTCGCAGGAGAAGGAGGTGTCAGGAGGGCCTGGGCAAGGGGACTCTGCATACTTTTGCCAGGTTTTTGTGGCTATCACTGACCCTTTATTTCCTACATATTGAAAATGTGCATGCTGTAGAAGATACTGAGTCCTCAGCAGCAGCCAAAGAGGCTGGGAAAAGCTCAGAGGACCGGATCCTTCCAGCCTCACTGGGGAGAATGGTGTTTTCTCCACTTTGGAAGTCGAAAGGAAATTTCATTGTACTACTCCCTTTGACTTCAGTTAATTCTAATTTGTGTTCTAGATAAGCAAATAATCACCTTACTTGACTTTAGCAACTTTGCAATAAGAAACTTTAGGGTCAACATGGTAGATTGAGAGCACACATAGGAAAAACGCATTTTAAAAATATATTTTAAAATACAGCTGGTGTAAGAAATTATATTATTTACAGTAAATGGTACATCAATTGGATAGCCTTATTTTTTAATGGATGTTGGCCCCTACCTCACACTCTGTATAAAAATCAATTCCAGATGAATAGCAGATATACATATGAAAGATAAAGCTTTTAGAAAAAAAATATGGAAGGATCATTTCATGAGCTTGCAAAAAGCACACTTTGCGTGTCTAATCCCCAGGAGGAAAAGGAGACCATCCACGCATGAGGGAGCACCGGTATCATTGGCCAGAGCCTGGGACTGGCTGGTGCACAATGCCAGAGCCCGAGGAGTGGGAAGAGGTCCTCTACACATGGAGGAGGCCCAGCCCAGGGCGACGGAGCCCAAGCCAGGTGAGAACAGGGTCTGTACAGACGACAGGCCCAATATAAGGCTCAGGGTGCTAGTAGGATAGGAAGGAGGGACAGTGCAGGGCACTGGAACCTAAGTGGGATGACAAGGGTACCAAATGGGGACTGGGATGCAAGCCTGGCACTGAGAGAGTGGATGCCTGCAAGAGGTTTGCCCAAATACGTAAATCTATAAAGGATAATGGGAGCCACCTTTCTCATTTTTTGGTAAAGGAAATTATATATATGAAAAGTAAGAAAATTAGAAAGAGTGCTATGATATTGAACTGGAATTGGAGGTATCATGAATGTATAGTTCTCAATATATGTAGATAGATATAGAAATAAATAAGGATGTAATAGTGCATGTGTGTTTGTGTACATATGTTTGTATATGCATGTATGTACATATACATAATACATACACATACATACACACATATACTCATGCATATGCATTCAGACATTCCCTAGCTCTATCCACCAAGATGGCCTGGGAACAGTTACGCTCCTATAGCAACGTGTACACTTGGCCCCCTCATAAATGAATGTGAAATACCGTTAAAAGAAAACTAAGCCTCCTTGGAGAAATGGCTGATTTCAGAGTCAGGGCAGGGAAAATATAAGATGAGCCAGGAATATCTGCTTGTGTCAAGAAAACAAAGTGCTCCAGTAACGAAGGGGGGATGAGTCAAAGTATGCCGAAGCCAGCTACAGAAAAGGCCACTGACAAAATTGGGAAACTGAGCAATGATATCAATATTGTTAGCGACAGAAAACCCATTGTAACCCATCAAGTACAAGAAACTCTGTGTCCACACAGATAATTATAAATAAATGAACAAACTGAAAGTTTGATGAGGAATGGAATATTTACAAAGTACCTCTCCACAAAATACTTATTACATATGAGGCAAAAAAAATAACTTCACCATAGAGAAGCCTGGGAGACATCACCTTAGTCAAGTCATCAAATGAACATCATCTCTGATGGGACAAATCTAAATCACGTGCCACCTGATGGGATGCAATGACAAGGAACCAGCGTCACCTCTGATAGTCCTGACAAACATGCAGGATCTGAATCTAATCCCCAGAAAACATCAGAAAAAGCCGCAAGAAGGAATAGTCTACAAAATAACTGGCCTAGAATCTTCAAAAGTGTCAAAGTCTTGGAAGTCAAAGAGACTGAGGCACTGTTCAGATGAAAATAGAGACATGTCATGATAATGAAATGCAAGGCAAGATCTTCGACTAGATCCTTTTGCCACGAAGGACATTAGTGGAAGAATTGGTGAAACATGAATGGGGCCTGAAGATTAGATGGTAGTAATGTCTCAGTGTTAATTTCTAGATTTTGATGGCTGTATTGTTCTCCTGTTGGAGAGCTGGAGCGATTTCTCGTAAGATGCACACCAAAGTATTCAACAGTGATGGAATGTCATGTCAGCAACTCACTCTTAATGTTTCAGGAGAAAAATAAATGTGTGTCATACTGTGCTCCTGATTTTACTACAACTTGGTGAGCATGTCAAAGTTTAAAAATAATGGAGAGCAGGAGCCCAGCATGGTGGCTCACCCTGTAATCCCAGCACTTTGGGAGGCCAAGGCAGGTGGATCACCTGAGGTCAGGAGTTCAAGACCAGCCTGACCAACATGGTGAAACCCATCTCTACTAAAAATGCAAAAATTAGCTGGGCGTGGTGGCGGGTGCCTGTAATCCCAGCCACTCGGGAGGCTGAGGCAGGAGAATCACTTGAACCCGGGAGGTGGATGTTGCAGTGAGCCGAGATCGCACCACTGCACTGCAGCCTGGGCAACAGAGTGAGACTCCATCTCTAAAAAAAAAAAAAAAAAAATGGAGGCCAAAAAGACAAATACACTGGAAGAACAGAAAGATTGATCAAGCCCATTTTTACAATTGAATTAAAGATCTATTTTTAAAAATACAGATAGACCTAAAAAAAAAGTTGAGAAAAAAGAGCAAGCTGTAGAATAAAACATAAATTATATTATTTATGAAAATGTTTTAGACAAGAACAACTATTATATATTATTCACAAATATATATAATAACCATAAAAATATAAGAATGGACTGGAAGGTTGCACCCTAAATTCATAATAATGGTTTCTTGAGGGAAGGACGTGAGGAAGGAGGAGCAGGATATGAAATGCTGGGGAGTTCAACTCTACGTAATTTTAAAAAAATAATAATTAAAAATCAAATATGCCAACAGATGTCATTGTTAATTCTGGAAGATTGAAGCAGGGGGTTAGTTACATCACTCTGTACTTTTCATTATTTTTAGGCGTTAGTTACATCACTCTGTACTTTTCATTATTTTTAAATTACTCAAAAAAAGTAATTTAATAAGTAACACACAGTGAGAACTTTACTTTTTTTTTTTTTTTTTTTGAGATGGAGTCTCACTCTGTCACCCAGGCTGGAGTGCAGTGGCGCGATTTCGGCTCACTGCAAGCTCTGCCTCCCGGGTTCATGCCATTCTCCTGCCTCAGCCTCCCAAGCCCAAGTAGCTGGGACTACAGGCGTCCGCCACCACGCCTGGCTCATTTTTTGTATTTTTAGTAGAGACGGGGTTTCACCGTGTTAGCCAGCCAGGATGGTCTTGATCTCCTGACCTCTTGATCCGCCTGCCTCGGCCTCCCAAACCATAGTGCTGGGATTATAGGTGTGAGCCACTGCGCCCAGCCTTTTTTTTTTTTTTTTTTTTTTTTGAGACGGAGTTTTGCTCTGTCGCCCAGGCTCAAGTGCAGTGGCACGATCTTGGCTCACAGCAACCTCCACCTCCCGGATTCAAGCAATTCTCCTGCCTCAGCCTCCCGAGTGAGTAGCTGGGATTAGAGGCACCCACCAGCATGCCCAGCTAATTTTTTGTATTTGTAGTAGAGATGGGGTTTCTCCATGTTGGACAGGCTGGTCTCAAACTCCGCACCTCAGGTGATCCACCTGCCTCAGCCTCCCAAAGTGCTGGGATCACAGGCGTGAGCTACCGTGCCCGGCCGAGAAATTTTCATTTTATAGGCCATCTAAACACGCACTCACTGAGATGCCCAAACAATTTTTTTATTTTTAGAAGCTTGGCAAGTTCATCAAAGTTCACACACAATATAAACTAGACAACACATTCTACTATCTCTTTAAAATATACATTTTTTCTAATATTTGAGCTACAATAATTGAATCTTTTTCCACTGAAGTGTCAAGTTTTTTCAAAGAAGAACCACAGGAAAAAAAAATTTCAAAAGTGTTTATGGAATCCCACCCTAGACGGGGCTCTAGACCTGCCATTCACTGTCAGCCCCGTATGTGACCACTCTGCTTTCTCCTGGAGTAGGCCCTTCACCTGGGATTTCACTCATCCTCACTACTGGCTCACAGTTGTACAGATAAGGAAACTCCTTTTCAGAGAGGCCCATCATTCGGTCAGCCACGGAGTTCAAAATGCAGGTAGTTTCAAGCGCAGGTGAAAATGGTTTTAAGTGGCCATGGGTGATCAAATAAGATTTCTCCCTCAACATACATTTCACACTGCAGTGAATGTCCCTAAAGGGCTGTGACCACCTCCCACCCCCATTTTTTTAGAGACATGTCAATGCTCTAATTACCACTTCCAGATTCTCCCACCTCGAATACCAGGGTTGGCGCACGCAATGTTCATGTGAGGCCCTTCACGAGGGGGTTCATCTGAGAGGGTGATATTCAAATCATAGGCATCTTTATTATTGAAAACAGTTTTTAAAATATTATAACTGTTGGCTCCAAAGACAGCCTTTTTACATATTAATTGCAATAATTTTCTGACAAAATTTTTGTTTTAACTGAGAATATATATGTGATGTGCTTTACAAAAGAGAAATGAGTGTGATAATCAAAAGGCCTTATAGGACATCTAAAATAAAGTGTCCTTCTAACTAAAGAGCTGCTTTTCTGACTGATGAATGGATTAGGAAGTAGCTTAAAATGGAAGTAACTCTCTATTGAGATTAGTGCACTGGCTAAATCTGAGTTTGATGTTGTAGCATCTATCACCTGCTTTTTATATTCTACACTAAATGGTATGACTGAGTGCTCCCACAAAAATCCACAAGTAATTTCTATGTAATAACCGATATTAATTTGTCATCATAGTCCACAAATATTACATAGACAAATTAGAGTTATTACACATTATTACATAAATTATCAAATGATTAGATATTAATAATTAGCATTACATAAAATACAATATAGTAATTAATTGTGGAAACTTCAGTAGTATAAAAACAGACTTGCTAAAATGTAGTGGCTTTTTGTCATTCACCCTTTGAAGGAATGCAATTTATTTACAGTAGTAATTTCACAAACATATTGCTGAAAACTTGTGTAGCTCTCAGGAAAAAAATTAACTTTATCAATGAAGCAGCCTCATTGTGTGGGCTGACACCAAGGTTTGCTGTCTCACAGGGAGATCAAGGATGCAGACACACAAAGAGTGAGGTTAAGAGCCGAAATGTAATAGGCGACAAGAAAGGGAATAAGCTCTCCGCTACAGAAAGGGGTCCCCGGGTTGCCAATTCGCTGTGAAATATTTTTTATAGAATTTTATAGATGAGCTAATGGGGAGGCAGTCTGATCTACATAGGGCGTGAAAAACCAGTTAGGACCAGGTGTGCCATCTGCATAGGGCATGAATCTCTGGCAGCCCCCACCCCAATCTTTTACTACGCAGGTGGGTTCTCTGACTGAGCTTTTCCATATCGCCCATCTCTTTCTTACTGTACACGTGCTAACAAAAAAGGGGAGATGGAGATTCCATGGTGGACATGCCTGGCCCCCAGGTAGCCCTTTTCTATCAGCGCAGCTGCTGGCATCCACCCGCACGCTGCCCCCCAACCCCCTGCGCCCTGGTGTGCACGCTTCCAGCTTCCTGATCTATCTTTGCAAGGTTTGCAGGCTTTCAGGCTGCTCTTTGTTAGAAAAAAAAATGATTTCTTGAGCTGTTTTTTGTTAGAAGTTCTGCTGAAGACTCTTTTGCCCTATCTGCCTAAATAATTTCTATCTCCTGAATCATCAATATCAATCAGCAATGCAGACCATAAATTCTCAAAATTATAATTTATTAAAATTGTCTACAATGCCACAAGAAAGTCAAATCTTCTAGAGCCCATTTTTTTCTTTCTTTCTTTCTTTTTTTTTTTTTTTTTTTTGAGACAGAGTGTCGCTCTGTGGCCCAGGCTGGAGTGCAGTTGCACTATGTCGACTCACTGCAGCCTCTGCCTCCTGGGTTCAAGTGATTCTCCTGCCTCAGCCTCCCGAGTAGCTGGGATTACGAATGTACTCCACCATACCTGGCTAATTTTGGTATTTTTAGTAGAGACAAGGTTTCACCATGTTGGTCAGGCTGGTCTCGGACTCCTGACCTCAGGTGATCCACCCGCCTCGGCCTCCCAAAGTGCTGGGATTACAGGTGTGAGCCATCATGCCGGACCTAGAGCCCATTTCTTTTCTTTTTTTTTTTTTTGTTTGTTTTTTTTTGTTTTTTTGAGACGGAGTCTGGCTCTGTTGCCCAGGCTGGAGCACAGTGGCGCCATCTCGGCTCACTGCAACCTCCGCCTCCTGGGTTCAAGCGATTCTCCTGCCTCAGCCTCCTGAGTAGCTGAGATTACAGGCGCGTGCACTAGAGCCCATTTCTATAAGAAACAAATTAGAGGAAGTAAGCACTGAAACTATCATAAGAAGTTTCATTTCAATGAAAGCAAGCCATCATGTATTACTTATTATATATTATATGTTATTATATAGCAAATTATGATATCCTGGTGATTGTGATTTTGAATTTTAATTTTCTATGTGTGATGGTTTACTACAAAATAAATAATATATACTCGTTTAAAACTTTAAAGAGCACCATTTTCTGATGGGCAGGAGGATTAGCTGGGGGCACGCACCCAGTCCTTGGTTAAAGGAGGTCAGGTTTCCCGTGAACGCAACATCAATCCTGCACGTGATACACCAGGTGCGTAAAAATTAACATGCTTAGACAAAGGAAGCCCACCGTCGCTTCCCACAGCTTTCATGAGCATATTTTAATACATGTTTAGGTTAATTCATTATTGAAAAATAGGAGTCTTCTTTTCATTGCAGCAAACAAAAGTCCTTTCACAATATTGGTCATGGGCCGTTCAAATCCCCAAATGCTGAAACTCCTCTGAGGGATGCGCTGAAATGAGAGGACTAAGAATTAAAAAAAAAAAACAACAGCGATGAAGTGGAGATGTGGAAAGGCAAAGGGAAAGCTCTCAGGCGTGTGTCCGTCCCCGGGCGGTCCCTTTCTCCGCACCGCTTTGGTCCGGCGGGTACCGCAGCGAGTCCGAGTGTGAGCAAGCCCGTCCCGGACAGCCGCGCGCGTGTGCGGGGAGGCGCCCAGGTGGGCTGTCCCAGGCCAGGTTCCCAGGGAAGCTCTCGGGGAAGCGTCCGGAGTGAGGAGGGACCCACCGGGACCCCACCAGGGACCCCAGCCGAGCGCGCGCCGCCGAGGGTGGGGGTGGGGCCGGCGCCCCGGCCACCCGGTTACCTGGCGACAGGATGCCCTGCGCGGGGCGGCGGAGCGGGTGCGTGCGGCGGCGGTTGCGAGAGAGATGAGCCGCGGCGATGAGCCCGGGTAAGAGTTGGACGGGGCGGGGCTCCTAGGGGAGCCGCGGGAACGGAGGGCAGCAGAAGGGCATTCAGCAGGCGGCTCCCCGCTCGAAAACCCGGGACATCCCGGGTCCGCCCTTCTGCACTCGCCGCACATCTCCCGCTCGGCCCTAGGGCTGAGCACCCGCTGCGGCCCCCTGCGTCCGCTGTGGCTTACAGGCTGGCTACGTGGTCTGCCGCCGCCGCCCGCCCAGCGCGCCCTCGGGTGGCCGCTTGCGGAAAGCGCCGCGCCCCGCCCCAGGCCCGGCCTGATGCCGTCCCTCCGCCCCATCCCTCCGCCCCGCCCCAGCCTTCAGCCTTGACCCCGCCCCATTCCTCTGCCCCCACAGGTCCCGCCCAGTCTCTCCGCCCCATCCCATCCCTGCGCCCCGCCCCAGCCTTCAAACCCGCCCCCTCCTAATTCCCTCCGCCCCGCCCTCCCCGCCCTCCCCGCCCCCCCGCCCCAGCCTTCAGCCCCGCCCCCTCCTAATTCCCTCCGCCCCGCCCCAGCCGTTAGCCCTGCCCCGCCCCATCCCTCTGCCCCGCCCCCACCTTCAGCCCCGCCACGCCACGACCCGCGACAGAACAGCCCCGGACGGTTCTGTTACAGAAAAGCAGCACCGGGAAGAGGATGAAGTTGACTCCGTTCTCCTTTCAGCGTCCAAGATCCTAAATTCTTCGGAGGGGGTGAAGGAAAGTGGCTGCAGTGACACAGGTAAAATCGCCAGACCGTAAAAGGCTCCTTTAACTATACACAGGCGGCAGCATCTGGCCTGTGCCACCTGCTCACCTGGCGTGCTTCCCACGGCCGTGATGACACGGACAGCAGCCACCACGGCACTCGCGCTTTGTGCCAGTGCTGTTCTAAGCACGTAATGGATCAACTGTTTAATTCTCACAACACTTTTACGAGGTGGGTGCTACCACGATCCCCATTTTGCAGATAAGGAAACGGGCACAGAGAGGTTAACTCCCTAAGGTCACACAGGCAGCGAGGAATGGAGCGGGCATTCAGCAGGGCGGCTCCGGACTGCCTGTCTTCACCACCACGCTACGCTCCGTTGCTTCTCTGAATGCTAAGTAAGAATTGTTGAGTTTTTTGGACACACACTAAAACGATATGCAGTCAGCCCTCGGTATCTGGGAGTTCCGCATCCTTGGATTCAACCAACCACAGATGGAAAATATTCAGGGGGGAAAATTTTTAAAAATAACAGTACCACAATTTTTAAATGCAAATTTTGAACAGTATAACAGCCATTTACATAGCATTTACATTGTATAAGGTATTACAAGTAATCGAGAGATGATTTAAAGTATACAGCAGGATACACATAGAAGCTATGCAAATACTACCCCATTTTGTATTAGGGACTTGGGCATCTGCAGATTTTGCTATCCGCAGAGGCTCTGGAACCAATCCCCTGTGGATATCCAGGGAGGGGTGTATACCTTTTCTAAAGAAAACTACTTTTTATAGTAAATATTTACGGACTACAGGATATTATATGGGGAGGATGTTTGAAATAGCCACATAGCTAAAGCTTTCAAGCACCACATAAATTATGAATAAGATGGGGGTACCCAGCTAGGGGAATCTGAGGACATTGAAGGTGGAGTCCCAGGCGACTGACTACACGCCTCTCAGAGGAGCCTGCTGTGAGGGGACATGCCGGGGAAGGAGCAGAGCACGGGGCAGGAGAAGGGTCTAGACTGATGTGCCATGCCCGGACCCCCAGTTGCCCCTCTGTAGGATATGGGCAATCCTGATGCCAAAGTGCTGAACCACAAGAGGACTGAGGTTGGGACAGGATTTCTGCACCTCCACCATGCAAGATCTTCACAAAAAGCCTTGTCAGGGCCCGGAAAGAAGAGACTAGAGCAGCCACACCTCAGTAGACAGAAGACACCCGGGTGCCCAGGCACTACCAGGATGAGCAACACCCCAGTGGAGGCCAGCAGGACAGGCACTGGCCAGTCCCCTCTCCGCCCTCCTGCCTCCACCCTTGAGATATGCAGGTTTCCCTGGGCAACCAGGAGGGGCAAAGGGGCCCCCTGAACGAAGGAGAAAGAGTCCTCACAGAGAGTTGAGACATTGAGGTAGCTCCGTATTTACCTCAAAGAGAGCATGTAAGGTCAGAAGAAATAGAAGTACCTTAATTTGGCAAGATCACATGTTTTTTGACATGAATGAGGCTTAGGGTTCTGGAGAAAGATGCCAACATTTATAGAAAATAGTTACATGCAAAATAGCACATGTACATGTTTAAGAGTTACAGTCTTTCTTGCCAGAACACAGTGTTTACAGGTCTGGGGTTGACACAGGACAGGTTCTTAATAAACACCAGTTATCTTGAGTCAGGGGCCACCCAGGAATTTCCTGCCTGCAACTATAGGCAAAACTAGGAGGTATGGCTGGCGCCCTTCTCTCTACTCTCCTACTGATGCTTTCATTGTCACCAAGTGATCCATTCCCCGTGTACTGAGAAAATAATGACCTGATTTGCATAACTACTGCCAGGTTACAAAGAGTTATAGAATGTTCCCAAGGTGTCTCTGATTTCAGAACTAGTGGTTAACCTAATTAACCCTTATTGGAATGGGTTTGTGAGAGACTTTTGAATTTGAGGGTGTCCAGGGTGTTGTTCCCAGCACCCTGTTGTACCCGAGCTTTCATTCATTCATTCGTTTGTGGAGCATATTCTTTTGAGCACCTGCTAAGTTTCAAGTGCTGTTCTAGGTGCTGGGGATCCAACAGTGAACAAGACTTGCAAGATTCCCTGCCCACATGGAGCTTACCTTCTAGTGAGGGAACAGACAGACAAAGGCTATTGTGTGTAAGCGGGGAATAAATTCTATGGAGAACATAAGGCTGAGAAGGGGGGGAGGAATATTTGGAGTGGCAGAGGTGGGTGGGAAGTGTGTCATTTTAAACAGGGTGGTAGGAGAAGGGCTCACTCAGCAGGTCACGTCTGAGCCAAGACCAGAAGGAAGTAAAGAAGCAATCTGTGCAGATTTCTAGGGAAAGAGCACCGCAGGCAGAGAGAATGGCAACTGCAAAGACCCTGTGGTGGGAGCGTGGCTGGTGTGATTGAGGAACGGTTGCTCTTGTAAATGGAGCAGAACAAGTAGGGAAGGGTAGGCGGGAGGAACCAGGACAGGGCTTTGTAGTTCCATGGATGAATTTGGGATTTATTCTGAGAAAATTGAGAAGCACTGGAGAATTTTGAGAAGGCTTCTCTCCCCTCCGTCTTGACTAGAAATTTTGAATTTACCAAATTATCATCATATTGCCTCTGCAGTAATGAGTTAGTGTCTCTTGAGCATTCACTATGTGCCGTACACCTCGTACACCTCAGTAAGGGCTTTATCTACAAACTGGACACTCGCCTAGAGTTATCCCCTCACTGCGAGTGTGTGGCAAAGCTAGAATTCAAATCTGGGCGGCAGGCAACCTGTTGCATAGCTCCTTGCATAATGACTGTGACAAAGCCTCATGCAGAGGGTGCCACACCTCACAAAGCTTTGTAAGACAGGGACATCTAGGAATGAACTTGAATTGTCACAGCAGAACTCAGTATTAGAACCTGCGGCCAGGCATGGTGGCTCACGCCTGTAATCCCAGCATTTTGGGAGACCGAGGCAGGAGGATCACCTGAGGTCAGGAGTTTGAGACCAGCCTGGCCAACATGGTGAAACCCCGTCTCTACTAAAAATACAAAAATTAGCCGGGTGTGCTGGCACATGCCTGTAGTCCCAGCTACTCAGGAAGCTGAGGCAGGAGAATCACTTGAACCCGGGAGGCAGAGGTTGCAATGAGAAGAAACTAAGAATTACAAAGCTTGCAGAGAGCCTGACATCTTATATAGAATCGTTACCCTGTTGCATTTTCAGAATGTATTGGTTCCTCTTGGTCTGTTTGCTACAGGTATGCAGTTGGTACTTTTTGTATACATTGAATACAATATTTTTTGCAGGCTCAGAATAAAAATTACCTCAAAAGTCATCCCATTGATAACTACCTTGTTTTTCACTTTTGACAGAAATATGAAGCAGCTGGAAAATTTAAGTTGAATATGAGATGAGTAATATTCTTACATTCCCAATAAACTCTCATCTTGGTGGGTGGGACCATGCCTTCCGCTTTGTTTATGTGCCTCCCGATATTGTATGTTTAGCAGGGACTTGGTAAATGGTGAAGTGTGATTGTGTTTTATCTCCTGGGTTCTTTGATAATTTCCCTTCCAATTCTAGAATCACGTAATTCTGTGTGACTAAGTATTGCCTAGTTTTTAAATTACCTTTCCTTTGGGAATAAGTAGCAGCCGATGTCTCTGAAACTCATAAGAAAAACAGAAAGTTATGTTAATAGCTTTTAAAAATAGATGAATCCGACTCCCTGCCTACTCTCTGCCTGTGCAGAATCATCTGAACTTTGCTGGAGAAAAACACTCACTTTTGAGTCATACCATGAATCTAAAATGCACTCTCAATGCTATTGGGAAAACTTACTTTATTTCCACAGAAAATTCTTCTTCAAATCCTCTGCAAAAAAGCTATTTCACTCCTCCTGTTCTCAAATCTTGAACACGTTTCTCCCTGGCCGCTCCACTCATAACATGGTCCCACTCTATATGAAAAAAGTAGAAGCACTCAGACCCAAACTCCTTCATTCTCACCCTTCACATTTGTGAAACCCATATTCTAGGTCTTCTCCCATTTCAACGGAAGAATTGTCCTTGATCAATCAAAAGTGATTTCCTCTGGATCTCATCTCTTGTGGAATTCTCAAGTCCCAGCTTCTGCAATTAGCCTCCCTCATTGTCCGGAATTATTGCTTTTCTCCCTTTCTACTATGTGATTCCAGCAGCAAACAAGCATGTTAGAATGTCCTGTGGTTTAAAAAAAAAAAAATTCCTTCTCTTAGCCAGATGTGGTGGCACACACCTGTGGTCCCAGCTACTCCGGAGGCTGACATGGGAGGATCGCTTGAGCCTTGGAGGTGGAGGCTGCAGTGAGCCAAGATCATGCCACTGCACTCCAGCCTGGGCAACAGAGTGAGACTCCATCTCAAAAAAAGAAAAAAAATCCCTCTTGACTTTCACATCTCTTCCAGGATGCACTGTCTTCCCTTCCACAGTGAAACTAGAAACAGTGACCTATCCTCCATGCCCACCAATCTCCACATTCCATTCTCTCCTCAAGCACTTCGTTCGGGCTTCTATGCATGTCCTTCTGCATGGCCAGCAGTGACATCTATGTTTGTTTGTTTATTTATTTATTTTAGATGGAGTTTCGCTCTTGTCTCCCAGGCTGGAGTGCAGTGGCACAATCTCGGCTCACTGCAACCTCCACCTCCCACGTTCAAACGATTCTCCTGCCTCAGCCTCCCGAGTAGCTGGGATTACAGGCACATGCCACCACACCCAGCAAATTTTTTGTATTTTTAGTAGAGACAGGGTTTCACCATGTTAGCCAGGATGGTCTCGATCTCCTGACCTCGTGATCTGCCCGCCTAGGCCTCCCAAAGTGCTGGGATTACAGGTGCGAGCCACTGCACCCGGCCCATCCATGTTGAATGATGTGTTCATTGCTGCTCCCATGAATCATACACTGGTAGACCCACCTGACTATTGGATATCTCTTCTTTGATGTTTAACAGACAACCTAGCCTTAACATATCTAAAAATGTTTTTCTCCTAAAGTATGTTCCTACTCTACTGTTTTCCCCCAGTAAATGACATCATCCCTCATCCATCTGCTCTCACCAAAAAACAAGGAGCCATCATTCATTCATCTCTCCTGGCCCCAACGAATCCTCCAGCAATGCTGCTGGCTTCATCTCCAAAGTATATTCTGAATCTACCTGCTTTCCCCACCTCCCCCACCACCATTCTAGTCCAAGATATCTTCATCTCCACTTAGATTATTGCGGTAGCCCTGCAATTGCCTTCTCACCCCACCCCATACTCTATTATCATGTAGCAGAGTGACCTGTAAACTTTTCAGTCAGATCAAATCATTCTCATGATGGAAACCTTCCAAAGTTCCCCGTTTCACTTGAAGGAAAAGCCAACCCGCTCAGCTTGGCCTGGAGGCTCTGCATAACCTAGCCCCTGTCTCCTGCTCCGACGTGTCCTCATCTTGTGCTCCCATGGGTCCACTAAGCTGCTTAGTAACAGTGCAATCACGGTGAGGCCAAAAAAGGAAGAAGAGATGGAAGATGGAAAATATATGTAGACAACATGTATAAATCCCATTGCTTTCTTTGAAATCTTTGATTTACTGTATCCCTTTATTAAGTCTGTACATTTCTTTTGGTCTCATATTTCTTATTTGGTTTTAGCTAAAGGAATCTTATATTTAGCTTTGAACTTGCAAATCCTCCTAATGAAAGGAAATCTGTACAGAAAAAGGAAGCTATTCCTGTAGGTATGGGAAGGAGATAGAATTTTGAACAGTTACATCACTCAGAATAGAGTTGAAGGCTGAATACATTTATGAGAATGATATCCTATCTTCGTGTTTAAATAAAGAGCTGTGTGGAAATTACAGTTACAGAACAGAATGTAAACATAAACCTTCACAGTGTATAAATCACATAACTAGCAAATACCATGAAAAGAGGGAAGTAGGCATGGAAGGAAATAGAATGCTAATTTTCTCATCTCTCTTGGCAGGGAGTAAGTCAACAATGAATACAATAGAACTGTATGTTATTGAAACAATAAAGGTTTCAATCTTTAATTCTTTTCATGTTAATTTTCATTAGTTTACAGGGATCTCTTAGGAAATAATATCTCTCATGTAGTAAAAAAAAATCCAAATACTAGAAATAATTTCCACTACTTGCAGTTTTAAAAATTCTCTTAAATTCAAGTAAATATAGGCAATATTTATGTAAAATACCATTTATGTATAAAATGATTCCACTTCATCCACTTATGTGCATAGAGAGCTGACCGAAAGATGGCACCTAAAATTAACAACAGTTCGTTGTGGGTGGCAGGATTCTAGGTGGTATATTCTTCCCGATTTGCACTTTGGTCTAGTTAAGTTCATTAGAAGAGGTTACTTTAGAGTCTGAAAAACGTTGTGTTTCCTTCCTATGCTGGTCTGGGCCTTCCTTCAGTTCCTTATTTTTTAGATGAACAGTTCAGGATACCAGGAGTTTAGCTGCCATTTTATTCCCAAGAAGAGGCAAAGCTAAGCAAGATCCAGACAGCAAGATCCGCCCTCTGACTGAAGGTGGAGGCAAAGCTAAGCAAGATCCAGACAGACTCGCTCTCCCTCCCCACCCTCTGACTGAAGGTGGGATTCTTCAATAGCCAGGCAGCTCCAGGCTCCAAACCAGCGTTGCCCCTTTGGTGGTGAGGGTCAGAGAGCAGAAGGGGTGCCTGTACTTTGCAAGCGGCTTCTCTAACATCTGACAGCCTGCCAATCCAAAGGAGATTCGCTGACCTCTTTTAAAACTTAGGGCAGAAATTATCAGCCTAGGGGAACGTTCCATCATAGCTCTCATTTTACTTAGGACACTGAAAGCTTTTATGAATACACTCTTTAATAAAAAGTTTACAAAGCAAGCAGCCTAACATGCAGACAAAGAGGGATATAAGGGCATTTGCAAACATGATAGAGTCTCCCCCTGTTGCAGATCTATAATCTATCCAGGACGGTATCAAGCAAGTGACATTCTGCCTATTATCAAAAGAAGCTGGAGTACTTCTGTCTACTGTATCTTAGTATCGGAGTCGCCAAGCAAAACACAACAGTCAAGCACCGGATGCAACAACCCTTTACTCACAGAATGAAGAGACGGAGCAAGATCAGCCTCAGTAGTGGGTGTTGGTTCCCCATGGCCAGAGGGCCCCTTCTGGCCCATCTATAATCTAGCAGGGGACAGAGTAGCAGGGTTGGCCAGGTATCATATGACACACACACTTAAGCAGAACAAAGGAGTACACACTGAGTCTGAAGCGGGGAGTGCTATCCCCACACATGGTAGCAAGTCCAGCACAGGCTGTGAACGAGGACTTTAAAAAGAGTCCCCTTGGTAAAGAAGTGTTCCAGGCCCAGGCCCATTCATACATGGCCAAGAGGGGATCTAAAGACTGTGAATGTGAAACTGCCCTTCCCAAGGGAAGCCACAAGTGCGTACTGTGCTTAAGCCAGGACAAAAATTATGCTGTTGATCCAACTTGGTTTCCATAAGGGGAAAAATGTCACATGGAAATTTCACAGAAATTGAGGCCTGTATACTACTTTGCCAAGGGTCTCCCATAATATGAGCATTATTAGGTTTTTTTTGAATGCAGTTTATATCCCAGAAACAAAGATATTTGATATTTGAGTTTTTGAGAGTTCTAAGTGTGGTGTTGCAAATTAACGGTGTACTCTAAAAGTGAAGACACTATTACAACCTCAAGTGGATATATTAAGTCAAGCGAGAATTATCACTTAAGCTTATGTGACTAGCATAGTGTGAATATCAGAAGTTCTCATTATCTCTGCCTCACTATCCAAGCAAGTTAGGAGACTGCTTTCTATTACAGGTTTTAAAAAATAAAATTTAAGAATTAAGTCACATGGTTTTTCAATTTTGCTTCTTAGAATATGGCTGCATAGCAGAATCAGAAAATCAAATCCAACCACAATCAGCATTGAAAGTGAGTCTATATTCCATTTTATCATCTCCAAAATTCTGGGTAAAGGCTGATCTTTTTCAGAATAAATACTCCCTAAATGCAAACGGGTTCTCTCACTTTATCCTCACAAGGATCTCCATGAAAGCACATTGGGGAGTTAGCAAAATGCCTAAGAATGTGAACCACCTGACCCTCACGGGATCTTTTCAAGTAATAGGCAACTTTGGGAGACATAAAATCATAACAATTCAAGAATACGTTTACCTACCTAAAAATACTCAATTTCATACTTTACTTTTGTCATAGGTCCTTCAGCAGCAGTTGGAATCATTTCAGGCTTTGCGAATGCAGACTTTGCAGAATGTCAGCATGGTATGTTTCTTTTGATCTATATATGAAATATCTCACCTTGAAGTATCATCCCATCTTCTAAGCTGATGGTCACTAGCCAATGGATTAGCTGACACAGAATTTAATATAATAGAGGCCACAGCATATTCTAGGCTCAAAATTTATTTTAAAGAAACTACATTCTTCTCTCTGTTATACTTGTATTTGGAAACAAGCCCAAAGAGATAGCACTCGCTGATTTTTTCAATACACGTTTAAAGTCTATATATAGACTACAAATAGGGACCCTCATTATAGGTGACATGAAGTCTAATTCAAACTGGCTTAGGGAAAAAATACACTTTAATAGCTCAAGTAAATGAAAGTCCTGGAGAGAGCTCACTTCAGGATGGCTGAGTCCACATGATCAGGTCTTGTGTCGTCAAAATAGGTCTCACTCTGTATCCTGATTCTGCTTTCCACAGTAGGGGATTCTCAGACTCCCTGTGGTGGCAGAAGATCTGCTAGAAGGTCCAGTTCTTTCTCCTTCCAAATTCAAGTCAGAGAAGAGAGTACACTTTGCTTTGAGAAGGAGTTTCATTTTTGTCACCCAGGCTGGAGTGTGGTGGCATGATCTTGGCTCCCTGCGACTTCTGCCTCCTGGGTTCAAGCAATTCTCCTGCCTCAGCCTCCTGAGTAGCTGGGATTACAGGTGCCCACCACCATGCCTGGTTAATTTTTGTATTTTTAGTAGAGACCAGGTTTCGCCACATTAGCCAGGCTGGTCTTAAACTCCCGACCTTAGGTGATCTGCCCACCTCAGTCTCCCAAAATGCTGGGATTACAGGCGTGAGCCACCGCACCCGGCTACACTTTGCTCACAATAGTTTAGACTGAGGCTCTTGGCCTGATTCAGATGGATCCCGACTGGGTCACATGCAATGCTTGAACCAATCACTGTCAGGTGGCCGCTGTTCCCTGACTAGTTAGCACTCAGTCAGGTGCCCCTGGGAGTTAGAGGCAGAATCAATACTACCATAACCACGCTTCATCCAGAAGAAATAAGGAGAAGTATAAACAGAAGTCTAGAGTATAGATATTGGGGGTATGTAACACACACATATTCACTAAAGACCCAGTGTAAACTTCATCCCAATATTCTTATACTAAAAGCACCTGCAGGGAAATAGGAAGGGAAGATAACTCCTCCTAAGGGGGACAGAATAGATTCCAAAGGTCTCTTATTCAACAATGTAAAAATCAGACACCTAAAATCATTTGAATATAGTTCATAAAACTTTGTTTTACTAAATTGCTTCTGATTATAACAAGGCATAATTTTCTTAAAGATTAACGATAGAGATTACAATAAATTAAGTAGCTTTCATTTATATTCTATAAGATGGGAAAGACTGTTTATGGGCAGGAAATTTAAACACACCTTTTAATTATAATGTCTATTATTCCTGTACATTCATAAGTTTACAAATCTGAAATCAAATTTTTCTCAATTTATCTTTTAAAGGTACAGTCGGAAATCAGTGAAATATTGAACAAAAGTATTATTGAAGTAGAAAACCCACAATTTAGCTCAGAAAAAAATCTGGTGTTTGGCACGCGCATTGAAAAGGATTTGGTATGTTATTCTACAGAAATCATTTCTATATGTAGGTACTTCAAAACGTGACTACCATCAGTTCATTTCACTTTACATGGTCCTCTTTGTTACAGGAAAAATGGACCATCAGAGATGAAAATAAGGAAACTCCGGTCCTGAAAACCTTAAAAGATGTGTATTTACCTCTGTACTTTTGCAGTTTTCCCATTTCTCTTAAGAGTCTGTGAGGGACATTTGACTTAGTCCAGATCGTGAAAGATTCCCGAGTAAATTCAAATGCAAGGCAGTTTTTATAGCCAATCTATTCACTTAGGATTGACCTAGGTCTGGGGTAAATTCCCTAGAAAAGCTCCAAACCAAAGTTACCATCACTGTGTCCACACTGACTCGAACTCACACTTCCAGGATAGTCACAGTCCTAAAATCATCTGAAATGAGTGCAAGCTAAGGTTAACAAATAGCCCAGAATTGGAAACATTCATTTGCCTGAAACTCCCATTTGACCTATCGGTTCCATCTTTCCCACCTACCTATGACAGCCTCTTGAAGGACGCTAAATTTCTATATTTCTGAAATTGAGGGGTTGGCCCATGTATCTCACCCCAAAGGAAATAAGAGCAAGTTCTAAGCAAATTGTGAGGACCAGAGTTACAGATCTCAAAATAACTGTTGGAGAAAATAAATCATACTTGTTATGCTCCTTTGCTGTAGAAATGGATAAAATGCTTGTTTAGGGTACATAAATAAACCCTCCACAAAATATTATCTGTACTGCTTTATCATGTGGCAAATGACAATACATTTATAGTGTACTTCTTATTGTTACAGCCTACAGAGAATCAAGAAGAAAACCTTTCTATGGAGAAAAGTCATCATTTTGAGGATTCCAAGACACTTCATTCAGTGGAAGAAAAATTAAGTGGTGATAGTGTGAACAGTCTCCCTCAAAGTGTAAATGTTCCATCCCAGATACATTCCGAGGACACATTAACTCTGAGAACTTCAACAGACAATTTATCTTCAAACATAATTATACACCCTTCAGAAAATTCTGACATCTTGAAGAATTATAATAACTTTTATCGTTTTCTACCTACTGCACCTCCAAATGTGATGTCTCAAGCTGATACAGTAATTCTGGATAAATCCAAAATTACTGTGCCTTTTCTCAAGCATGGATTTTGTGAAAATTTAGATGACATTTGCCATTCTATCAAACAAATGAAAGAAGAGCTTCAAAAGTCACATGATGGGGAAGTGGCACTTACAAATGAACTTCAGACTTTACAAACTGATCCAGATGTTCACAGGAATGGTAAATATGACATGTCCCCTATTCACCAGGATAAAATGAACTTTATTAAGGAAGAAAACTTGGACGGTAACTTAAATGAAGATATAAAATCAAAGAGAATTTCAGAATTAGAGGCATTAGTGAAGAAATTACTCCCCTTCAGGGAAACTGTGTCAAAATTCCATGTGCATTTTTGTAGAAAATGTAAAAAGTTATCTAAGAGTGAAATGCACAGGGGAAAGAAAAATGAGAAAAACAATAAAGAAATTCCCATCACTGGCAAAAATATTACAGATTTAAAATTCCATTCCAGAGTTCCAAGATACACACTGTCCTTCCTCGACCAAACAAAACATGAAATGAAAGACAAAGAAAGACAACCATTTCTAGTAAAACAAGGATCAATAATATCTGAAAATGAGAAAACTTCCAAAGTTAATTCCGTTACTGAGCAGTGTGTTGCAAAAATTCAGTACTTACAGAATTACCTAAAAGAATCTGTGCAGATACAGAAAAAAGTAATGGAACTGGAGAGTGAAAATCTAAACCTTAAGTCCAAAATGAAACCTCTTATCTTTACCACACAATCTCTCATACAGAAAGTTGAAACATATGAAAAGCAACTTAAGAATCTGGTTGAAGAAAAGAGTACTATTCAGTCTAAGTTAAGTAAAACAGAAGAATACAGCAAAGAGTGTCTTAAAGAATTTAAAAAAATAATTAGTAAATATAATGTTCTGCAAGGCCAAAATAAAACTCTAGAGGAAAAAAATATACAACTTTCTTTAGAGAAGCAACAAATGATGGAAGCATTAGATCAACTAAAAAGTAAGGAACACAAAACTCAAAGTGATATGGCCATTGTAAATAATGAAAATAATCGAATGAGTATAGAAATGGAAGCAATGAAAACCAATATTCTGTTGATACAAGATGAAAAAGAAATGTTAGAGAAAAAAACACACCAGCTTCTAAAAGAAAAAAGCTCACTTGGAAATGAACTAAAAGAAAGCCAGCTAGAGATAATCCAGCTAAAAGAGAAAGAAAGATTGGCAAAAACGGAACAAGAGACACTTCTTCAAATAATAGAAACAGTTAAAGATGAAAAACTCAACCTTGAAACAACATTACAAGAATCTACTGCTGCCAGACAAATTATGGAAAGAGAAATTGAGAATATTCAAACCTACCAATCTACTGCCGAAGAGAATTTTCTGCAAGAAATAAAAAATGCAAAATCAGAAGCAAGTATTTATAAGAATAGCTTGTCAGAAATTGGCAAGGAATGTGAAATGTTATCAAAAATGGTAATGGAAACCAAAACAGATAATCAGATTCTAAAAGAAGAACTAAAGAAACATAGTCAAGAAAATATAAAATTTGAAAACAGCATCAGTAGACTTACTGAAGACAAAATACTTTTAGAAAATTACGTAAGAAGCATAGAAAATGAAAGGGATACCTTGGAATTTGAGATGCGGCATCTTCAACGAGAATATTTAAGTTTAAGTGATAAAATTTGTAATCAGCATAATGACCCTTCAAAAACAACTTACATTTCAAGAAGAGAGAAATTCCATTTTGACAACTATACTCACGAAGATACTTCTAGTCCTCAGAGTAGGCCTTTGGCTTCGGATTTGAAAGGTACGCAAGTCCTGGTAGATTAGTAGAGATGTGTTTAAGATTCTTTTAGCCTATTGGGCACTACAGAGTACAGAAATAAGGAGGAAACTTTAAAATGAATACAATTTTGTTTTGTAAAATTTGTATCCAATTTATTATACAGTGAAATTATTTAGGAATTTTTTCTAGATAAAATATATATTATTTTGTTTATATTATGTGCATTGTATGTGTACAAACCAAGTTTGGCAGTGAGCAAGAGGGAGTTAATTATTATTTTAAAGTATAAGTAGCACTCCCACCTTAAAAGAATTCTTTTTTTTTTCCCTAGGAATTCCAAGTAAACTGTATCATTTGCTTCCATCCAAGATATATAAATAAACTGCTAAAATCAATGTTTCAAAACCTTTGTCCAAGTACTTTTTCCCCCCACAAAATAATTTTAAATTATGTGATTACATTAACCTGGTAATTGATTAGACTAGTTTTTAAAATTAGAAATTGGAATTAAGTATATATTTTATACTGTCAAGAACGGTGGCGAATCTGAGATTTTACCCAACTAGTAAGCTCATATTTTAGCCTGCCACAGTTTTGTGGGTTCTAGTGGAAGTCACAAGACTCCTGAGCGAGAGATTAAGGAGAGTTTGTTACAATAGCAGGAGCCAGGGAATCAGCATGTTTGCATTGGTTGTCCAAGCCCCAGTTTCTACAGGCAGTGTAAAGAGGATCACACAGTGGATTGCATTACAGGAGAGAGTGAGCTTAGAAACCCGAGTATTATAACGGATAGTAAGATGCCTGCCCTTTCCTGTAGGTGGAAACAATACACATGCCTGCCCTGGCTCCAGAGGAAACACAATCTCTAGCTTCCAAGGTTGCAAGCACACCTGTTCTGTGCTCCAGAGACACTCTGTCTTCCAAGACTGCTATTCAAATATTCCTTGTTGAATTCTGTCCAAAGCTTTTTCTACATTTATTGGAGGTGATCCTGGTTTTTCTCCTTTAATCTGTTAATATGGTAAATTATGTTAATTTTGAAACACTAACCTTGAATTCCTGGGATAAACTCCACTGGGTGATGTTGTATTATTCTTTTAATATACATTCCTGGATTCAATTTGGTAATATTTTGTTAAGGATTTCTGCTTCTGTATTCAGAAGGATGTTGGTCTGTATTATTTTCTTGTAATGTCTTTGTCTGGCTTTGGCATCAGGAAAATCCTGTTGGGAAGTGTTTCCCCTCCTCTATTTTCTGAATTTGTGTAGGATTGGTATTATTAATATTATTCCTTCCTTAAATATTTAAATATGTAATACTCATACATATTTGTAAAATATATAATATGTAAATATTCACCAGAGGGCCTGGATTTTTCTAAATGGGAAGGTTTTACATTGCTAAATGATTTCTATTAATATAGAACTACTCAGATTTTCTATTTCTTGAGTTAGAGTTGACAATTTTGTATGTTCTGAGGAATTTGTACATTTCATGTAAGTTCTCAAATGTATTGTCACAAAGTTGTTCATAATATTCCTTATTAGCATTTTAACGTTCAAAGGACTTGTAGCGATGTCCCCTCTTTAATTTCTGACATTGGTAATTTGGGGATTCTTTTTTCTTTATTATTCTTGCTAGAGTTTTACCAATTTTATTTTTCTTTTCAAAAAATCAGCTTATTATTTCATTGATTTTTCTTGCTGCTTTGTTTTTTTCTTCCATTGATTTCTGTTCCTATTTAGTAATTTCATTCCTTTGGGTCGTCTGGTGCTACTTGGCTCCTTCCCTAGTTTCGTACCTGCATTAATAGCATCACAGAGTCTGGTATGTTTTCATTTTCATTCAGTTCAAAATACTTTCTTTTTCACTTGTGATTTATTCTTTGACCCAATGGATTGGAAGTGAGTTGCTTGATTTCTAAATGTTTGGAGATTTTCAGTTATTTTTCTTTTATTGATTTCTAATTTAATTCTGTTTTGATCAGAGAACATAATCTTTTTTAATTTATTGAGACTTGTTTTATTGCCCAGAATAAGGTCTGTCTTGGTTGATGTTTCAGGTGAACTGGAGTGTTCTATAAATGTCAACTGAGTAAACGTGGTTGACAGGTTTGAGCAAATCTATATCTGTACTGATCTTGTGTCTGCTTGTTCTAACAGTTACTGATAGAGGAACAGAGAAGTTGATTTGTTCATTCTATAAATTTGTTTAGTGTGTTTTAAAGCTCTTTTAATTTTTATTATTAATATTTTTTTTTTGAGATGGAGTCTCACTGTTGTCAGCCCGGGCTGGAGTGCAATGGAACAATCTCAGCTCACTGCAACCTCCACCTCCTGGGTTCCAGCAATTCTCCTGCCTCAGCCTCCCGAGTAGCTGAGATTACAGGCGCCTACTACCATGCCCGGCTAATTTTTGTATTTTTAGTAAAGACGGGGTTTCACCATGTTGGCCAGACTCAGTCAAACTCCTGACCTCAGGTGATCCACCTGCCTCGGCCTCCCAAAGTGCTGGGATTACAGGCATAAGCCACCGCGCCTGGCCAAAGCTCTTTTATGTATGCATACACATTTAGCACTATTATGTCCAGTTGGTAAACTGATACCTTTATTATTATGAAATAACCTTCATTATCCCTAGGGGTATTCCTTGTTCTAAAGTCTCTGATATTGATATAGCCCCTCTAGTTGTCTTTAGATTGGTATTTGCATAGTATATCTTTTTGCATCCTTTTATATTTATTTTGTAATGATGAATCAGTAGGAGAAACTCTGAATAGTTAAATAATAAATATATACCATGAAAATGGATTACTAAATCCTGAAAATCAAATATAAATCAAAGAACTAAAGTATTAAGAAAATAACTAATGGTGAGCACTATATCCATTTAAATACAAAATTAAGATTAAAGAACTGTTTGAATTATGGTTACAAAATAGAGTGTTAGTGTTAAAAAAACATTGACAATATAAAACAAACAATATAACTAAAAAGTTAGGTGCATCCTTTTACTTTTAACCTACCTTTGTCTATTTTGTTTACTGCTGAATCCCAGTGTCCAGAACCATGCCTGGAATATAGCAGACACTCAACATCTGTTAAGTGAATGATGAATGAACAGGCTGCCATTACACTAGAATATTAGGCAGAGGCTGGGCATTCACCTTGTACGAACATTATAAAGAGTTTTAAGTATCAAGAAGTTTAGACAAAATTAGCTGGGTGGGGTGGTACATACCTGTAGTCCCAGCTACTCAGGAGGCTGAGGTAGGAGGATCGCTTGACCCCAGGAGTTTGAGGCTGCAGTGAGCTATAATTGTGCCACTGCACTCCAGCCTGGGTGACAGAATGAGACCCCATCTGTTAACAACAACAGCAAAGCTTAGACAAGATGACATTTTAGGTCACTTTCTTTCTTTTTTATTTTTTTGAGATGGAGTCTTGCTCTGTGGCCCAGGCTGGAGTGCAGTGGCCTGATCTCAGCTCACTGCAACCTCCGCCTCCCAGGTTCAAGTGATTCTCCTGCTTCAGCCTCCTGAGTAGCTGGGACTACAGGCATGTGCCACCATGCCCAGCTTATTTCTGTATTTTTAGTAGAGATGAGGTTTCACTATGTTGGCCAGGCTGATCTCGAACTCCTGACCTTAAGTGATCCTCCCGCCTCAGCCTCCCAAAGTGCTGGGATTACAGGCGTGAGCCACCACGCCCGACAATTTTAGGTCACTTTCTAACAGTAGTGTAATGATTTCAAATTGCTTTATGAAGATTTTTGGAAATATATATAATATTGGGGGAGGGAGGATAATATATGTTTTTCTAGCTATCTCCCATAGGCTTATAGCCTGCCCCCTTGATAAGGTGTGAGGAGGAATAAACTGGAAACAGGTCTTCTCAAGTCTTTTTTCTTGTAAAGTAACGTGCGTTCTACAGTTGATTTCCTACAAGTAACTAACCTCCACCTTACCCTGCTCTCTAATTTTGGTAAAGGCTGTAGAGTGACTAATGTAACTGTTAAATGCAGCCAGAGGCTGGCCGTGGTGGCTCATGCCTGTAATCCCAGCACTTTGGGAGGCCGAGGCGGGTGGATTACCTGATGTCAGGAGTTCAAGACCAGCCTGACCAACATGGTGAAACCCCATCTCTACTAAAAATACAAAATTAATTAGCTGGGCTTGGTTGGCAGGCGCCTGTAATCCCAGCTACTCAGGAGACTGAGGCAGGATAATCGCGTGAACCCAGGAGGCAGAGGTTGCAGTGAGCCGAGATCACACCATTGCACTCCAGCCTGTGCAACAAGAGCGAAACTCCGTCTCAAAAAAAAAAAAAAAAATAGCAACGAGAAGGCTGAGGTGGGAGGATCGTTTGAGCCTAGGAGTTGGAGATGAGTGTGGGCAGCATAGGGAGACCTTGTCTCCACAGAAAATTTGAAAAATTAGCCAGGTGTGGTGGCATATGCCTCTGGTCCCAGCTACTTAGGAGGCTGTGGCAGGATTGCTTGAGCCTGGGAGGTTGAGGCTGCAGTGAGCCATGATCGCACCACTGCACTCCAGCCTAGGCGACAGAGCAAGACCCTGTCTCGGGAAAAAAAAAAAAAAAAAAAGCAAGACTGTGTGCTTTGCCACTGCTAGTTGTGCTAACTTGGACAAATTAGTTAATCTTTCTCTAACTCCATTTCATTGTTAGATGTAGATTAAGTGATTCATAATTGAAAACATATTAATATGGAATGCACATGGAATGGTATCTGGCACATCGCATTATATAAGTGTTATGTAATGCTACTATAATGCTACTAACTCACTTTTGGAAAATTAAGTTATAACTGATGAAAATTCAAATTAACAAATTACCTTACAACTTATTTACAACAAATTATTTGATGGATAATGATCTAGTGGTTGTTTTTGTTTTGTTTTGTTTTGTTTTAGTTTGTTTGTTTTTAGAGACAGGGTCTCACCATGTGGCCCAGTCTGGCCTCAAACTCCTGGGTCCTGGTGATCCTCCTGCCTTGGCTTCCCAAAATGCTGGTACTACAGGCATGGGCCACTGTACCCAGCCTTAATAGACCGATATATATTTTTTATTTATTTTACAGCTTATAAAATATTTTAAATTTGGTGTTCATAATAATTCTTCCAGGTAGATAATACAAATGACAGATAATGAAAGAGTCTTAAGAAATTAATTTTGCTCTAGTATAGACAGCTATAATAGTAATAGGTTGAACCTGGCTTTTTTTTTTTTTTTTTTTTTTTGAGTCTCACTCTGCCGTCCAGGCTGGAGTACAGTGGTGCAGTCTTGGCTCACTGCAACCTCCGCCTCACAGGCTCAAGCAATTCTCCTGCCTCAGCTTCCCCAGTAGCTGCGATTACAGTTGCCCACCACCATGCCTGGTTAATTTTTGTATTTTTGGTAAAGACAGTATTTCACCATGTTGATCAAGCTGGTCTCGAACTCCTGACCTCAAGTAATTCACCCATCTTGGCCTCCCAAAGTGTTGGGATTACAGGCATGAGCCACCGAGCCCGGCCTTGAACTTGGCTTATTATTCTTAATGCATGTTCCACATTTATATACAAAAGGAGCAGGCAGTCTCTGAAGAAGCAGGATAAGATTTCAAAAACTATGATTGTACTACTGCTTAACTTTCTTGAGGTGCTACTGCTTAACTTTCTCTCCAGTTCTTATCAGAGCTTCTTATTGATCTAAGTTTCCCTTAAAGTTAAGCCTTTCTTCCATGTTATGTCAACATCCACAATCATTGTTTCAGATTTGAGCCTTGAACAGATGTAAGCAGACAGTTTGTAGCAGAGACTGATGTCTGGCTGAGCAAGCTTATTTCTTCCATTACTCATTGACGATGGATGCAGAAAACTACCCAAGTCATACAGGCATCATAACAGGAGAGTAGATAACTAGATGTGTAAGTTGTCAATAGAGGACGCCAGTGTCATGGCTGAGTCTGAGGAATAAAACTGTTTTGTATTGTTACATTTTCAAAGTTAAAAGAAGAGACAACAATTGTAAGAAAACAATCCATGGGCATCATAACTAGTTTGCACCTGTCAGATCGAATGTGTGTGTATGATTTCCTCTACTGACACTTAGAAAAATCTTAATTGTTTTACATATTTCACTATTCCCATTACTGGTTTCCATATTTGGTTTTCTGTAAACCGACACAATACATTTATATAAAATCCAGATAAGGTCTGTCAATTGTCACACTACTGCTTAAACCCTTCAGGAAGGCATTAGGTTAGTGTTCCCATCTATGAATATGATATGAAGTGTGTTGTCTTAAAAAGGCACATTAATAAAAATTAACTATAAAGACAGATTAAAATGAACAATTATGATTTTGAAATCTAAAATAAATTTTGATAAACTCTGAAAATATAAAACTCTTATCTCAAAAGAATTGGGATTACAGGCATGAGCCACCACGCCCAGCCTAAGAATATTTATAAGGCTTTTTTGGTAACATTATTGATATATAACCGTAGATTTTATTCACCTATGTGTACTTGGTAAGGCCATTCCTATTCTGAAGACAAATGTATTCAATATTACTCTTTGATTCACATTATACCCTTGGTAATGTGTTTACAATATTAATTGCACAGTGTTAGTTATGAAGCAGGCATGAAAAATTCCTTTAAAACCTTAATTGTAAAAATTATCTGTACCATCTGCACTCCTCCTTCAAAAGCCAGCTATATGTCTGGCTTGACATAGTTCCCTCCACTTAAAAAAAGTGGGGAGGCCCAAAAGAAGAGTCCTGTAGCCTTCTACAAACTCATTTCCAGCTCTAGGCAGCCTGGACCGGCAGAAGGACAAGTTCTAGCAAAGCACCACGTATTTGTCCATTTTCACAATGCTGATAAAGACATACCCAAGACTGGATAATTTATAAAGAAAAAGAGGTTTAATGGACTCACAGTTCCACGTGGCTGTGGAGGCCTCACAATCATCATGGAAGGTGAAAGGCACATCTTGCATGGTGGCAGAAAAGAGAGAATCAGAATCAAGCGAGAGGGAAACCCCTTATAAAATCATCAGATCTCGGGAGACTTATTCACTACCACGAGAACAGTATGGGGGAAGCTGCCTCCATGATTGAATTAACTCCTACCAGGTCCCTCCCACAATATGTGGGAATTATGGGAGCTACAACTCAAGATGAGATTTGGGTGGGGACACAGCAAAACCATATCACACCATTATCAAAAATAACTTCCAATGTATTATTTGATATTTAGATATTTTACATTTCCCTTTTAAAATACAAACCCCACCAGCCCCTGCCCCTGGTGAATGAGGGCTATCAATACCTCACTATGAATTACAGTAAGATATTTAAATCATGTCTTTTAAGAGCAGATTTTTTTTTTTTTTTTTAGACAGAGTCTCACTCTGTCGCCCAGGCTGGAGTGCAGTGGCATGATCTCAGCTCACTGCAACCTCTGCCTTCCAGGTTCAAGCGATTCTCTTTCCTCAGCCTCCCGAGCTGGGATGACAGGCACACGCCACCATGCCCAGATAATTTTTGTATTGTTAGTAGAGACAGGGTTTCACTATGTTGGGCAGGCTGGTCTCGAACTCCTAACCTTGTGATCCACCCGACTCAGCCTCCCAAAGTGCTGGGATTTCAGGCGTGAGCCACCGTGCCTGGCTTAGAGCAGATATTTTTAAAAGAGATAGGGCAGGTGAAGGAGAAGAGATAACTTGGGGACTAGCGGGTAAGGCCTAGGTGGGATGCCCCAGGAGAAGCAGCTTGACAGCTAGAGAGGAACATGGGAGGACACGAAAGACTGACTTCATCCATCTATCCATCTTCCAACTTCAGAATTTTTATAAGATACTCAACTAACAAGTACATTCCCCTCAACCCCTCAAACTCATCTTGGGGCTGCCATTGGCTAAATAACCTGATGCTTTACATAAGTCACAAATACAGGGCATGTTATCATATAAGCTGAAGCATTTGCCTCACTATATCATGTGTATATATTGTATCTACGTAATAATATAAATGGATCTAACATTTATCTTTGATGTTAAGAATGCTTTAGTAGGCTATGACACTTGGATAGCTATCAATCCAATTTTCAATACTTCTGAGAAGAAACAGCAAGAATTTATTGTATACTTTCTACCCTTCCAGCAGTCTCTTCCGCTCCTCCCCTCCAACGCTGCAATTTTTTAACATTAGCAGTAAAAGCAAATGACAGATTGCACTCCGGGATTTTATAAAATGTGTAAACATATTCTGCTCAGAAGCATAGATCTAAAAACATAAATCAACAACCACGTGTTATTAGCAAATACTATTTATTAACTAGTAGTATTAAAATAAGGAAGAGAATTAGAGTTGCAGAATTTCTTTTAACTGCTTGAGCTATCTGCTCCATAACATCTTATATTTTTTCAAATAATTAGCTCTTGATAGTGAATTACTCATAGTTAAGATCTAGAAAGCTACTTGTCTTCCAGTTGCTAATAGGATGGTACTGAAGAAGTCTTGTAGTTCTTTGAATTTAGTGCCCTAAAATTGGAAAATAAACACACATTAATTTTATAGGTGCAAGTCAAATACCTGTACATTCTTTTTTTTTTTTAAGACCGGGTCTCGCTCTGTTGCCCAGGCTGGAGTGCAGTGGTGCAATCACAGTTCACTGCAACCTCAACCTCCTAGGCTTTTAGGCAATCCTCCTGCCTCGGCCGCCCAAGTAGCTGAAACTACAGGCATGTGCCATCATGCCTGGCTAATTTTTATATTTTTTGTAGAGACAGAGTTTTGCCATGTTGCCCAGGATGGTCTTAAAATCCTGGGCTCAAGCGATCTGCCTACCTTGGCTTTCCAAAGTGCTGAGATTACACACGAGCCAACACGCCCAGCCTATCTGTACATTCTTATAAAAACTATTTTCATTAAAAAATTTAAAACAAATATACTTTGTAACATATTAACAATCCAAAATCAAAATTTTCTCATCAACTTAAAACACTTCATTTTATTAAAGCCATATATACTTAGAAGATACAATTTAAGAAGGAAAACAATTACGGAATCAATTTTAAATTCTGGTGTCCAAAGGTTTACTGGTTTTAAAATTAGGGTAAAAGAAGCTAGAACTTGATTCAGGATAATGTTTTGATAATGTATTATAAAAAGAAAGAGATTTCAATAAATTCAAAATTACTAAACGGAAGATAAAATTCAGATTTTTCAAAAGAATAATCACTTATTCTTCTCTTTCTCCCTGTTCCAAAGTTCTAACAGCATCATAGAACTTTCTCAGGTTTATTCTCTGGATAGAAGAGGACACATAGAAAACCTGAAATACTGCCCCCTTCCCACACACAAAGTTCCATCTATCAGAGGGTGGGTGTGGTGAGGAAAATTCTAATTTTACTGTCTGTTTATTAGATGAGTTGGGCAGAGTAGCGATAGGTGGCTTGCCAGAGGTTAAAGGTTAAAAGGATAGAAAAAAGCTCCATATCTTTACCAACTTTACCAACTAGCCCACAGAGAATAGTATTCCTGTAGACAACAGTTTAAATTACATACATTTACCCTAATATCTAGGGGAATCGTGGTTCAGTGACATAGATCAGTTTTTGTTAATTCAGAAAATGTGAATTTTGCTAGGTCAGAATCAATTTTCCTTACTTATGCCACAAAATTGTCACCAAAGTGCTACAAAGAGTAGATAAAATATGCAAAAAACGGTCACCATCGTCATCTATATTAGCTTATTATAATAAAACCCATATGAGTTAAGCTACCATTCAAAATGTATTTCTGACCGGGCGCAGTGGCTCACGCCTGTAATCCCAGCACTTAATCCCAGCACTTTGGGAGGCTGAGGCGGGCGGATCACCTGAGGTCAGGAGTTCGAGACCAGCCTGACCAACACGGCAAAACCCCTTCTCTACTAAAAATACAAAAATTAGCTGGGCGTGGTGGTGGGCGCCTGTAATACCAGCTACTTGGGAGGCTGAGACAGGAGAGTTGCTTGAACCTGGGAGGCAGAGGTTGCAGTGAGCCGAGATCACACCTTTGCACTCCAGCCTGGGTGACAAGAGTGAAACTCCATCTCAAAAAAGGAAAAAAAGACAAAACGTATTTCCAAAACCTGTTCTTTCAAACCTATATATAGTATCAGCAAGACATAGTAGGCTTGGAAAACTTAAATTGGCTAATTATTGCAGCTAAGAAGGACTATTCATTTCACCTACATTACCTCACTTATAATAGCATCTCATACATTAGTGATTTTGTATTAATTGCATAGTTTAGCTTCTATTTGGTATCATAGCAATTTAGAGCTTCTGTCAAAGTAGTATTAGAGTTTGGGGGGTGGTTATTTTATTTTACATAAAATGTGAATGTACTATCCTTCCAGTTAATTGCAGTGATACTATATTACTGAAATTGAATTCATAGGAAAGACACTGGTTCTAATACTCCTAATGAGATGCATACATGGCTTAATACAGATGTCATAGTATTGGAGGCCACTGAAATACACACAGCATTCTGTAGTTAACGCTAGTGACACATACAAGTGCTCAAGAAAAAACTTCACTTGACAAACGCTTTATGCACTTGCCATTTGGGACATATTGAGATAAATGTTTTGAAAAAATATAAAATCGGCCGGGCGTGGTGGATCAAGCCTGTAATCCCAGCACTTTGGGAGGCCAAGGTGGGTGGATCACGAGGTCAGGAGATCAAGTCCATCCTGGCTAACACAGTGAAACCCCGTCTCTACTAAAAATACAAAAATTAGCCGGGCGTGGTGGCGGGCGCCTGTAGTCCCAGCTACTCGGGAGGCTGAGGCAGGAGAATGGCGTGAACCCGGCAGGTGGAGCTTGCAGTGAGCCGAGATCGTGCCACTGCATTCCAGCCTGGGCGACAGAGTGAGACTCCGTCTCAAAAAAAAAAAAAGAAAAAATATAAAATCAAACATAGCTATATGTAACAAAATAACTATCATACAAGGTATAACATATATGGAATGACTATAACACATAAAAGACAGGTTTGAGATAGAAGTTCAGTAGAAGCTCCATGTGAGGATATTAGCAGACTTTAGAGAAGAGATGATAGAAGATAGAAGGCAGAATGAACAACCTTACCAGCAATGTAGTAGAGTAGGTTAAAAGAAAGTACATGTATTTCATGAGGCTCAAAAAAAAGATGCATGAAAATAACAAGAAAGACAACAGGAAAGCAGGTTATAGCCACCTTACAAAGGAACTTCAGGTTTTTAAGCAAATGTTTGAAACTAGATGGCATCTCAAGCTAATTAGTCCCCATGAAACCAGAAGATAACTTCAATTTTTTTTATAGAAAACACATCTTAAAGTACATAAAATACAGTAAAATCATGTACATCACAAAAAATGTTGTGGGCTATAGATACTATGTCTGAAGTAACAAACTATATAACATTTAAAATTTTCCTTATGTAAAATCATTTTTTGCTAATCTTGCAAACTCTCAACATAAAATTTAGTACTAGGTAGTCCCTGATTGATATAAAGCTTAAGATGCCCAGAAATTTTTTTTCAACTTAAGCAACTGACTAGATCAAAATAATTCAGTCAGAAAATTGGATACATATTGAAGCTCTAAATGGATGTTGAGTGAGAGAATAAAGTGAAAAAAGGCCATTGTTAGGTATCCAGGGACCACAGAATCTTCTCAGTAGTCTCATGAGCAAGAAGAGTAGTACAAGTATGAACACCATCTAAGTTAGAGCACCCCAAATTATCAAAGTTTTAAGACAGTATCAACTTACTATGAAGTCTTCTTTCCCAAAAGAATTCATGTATTCAAAATCATATTTTGATTAGGTAAAAGTTAACACATAGCACTGGTATTTTTAATTCATAAAAATGTTAAGTAATTTGTCTTTAGCTGATTAGTTCTGCTGATAAATACATTGTTCTAAAGAACTTAACAAGTAGTCAATCAGAAATACACCTTTGTGCTGGGCGCAGTGGCTCACACCTGTAATCCCAGCACTTTGGGAGGCTGAGGTGGGTGGATCACCTGAGGTCGGGAGTTCGAGACCAGCCTTACCAACATGGAGAAACTCCGTCTCTACTAAAAATACAAAATTAGCCGGGTGTGGTGTTGCATGCCTGTAATCCCAGCTACTCGGGAGGCTGAGGCAGGAGAATCGCTTGAACCTGGGAGGTGGAGGTTATGGTGGGCCGAGATCACGCCATTGTACCCCAGCCTGGGCAATAAGAGCGAAACTCCGTCTCAAAAAAATAAAAAAGAAATACACCTTTGTAATAAAGGGCAGTTTTATTTTTGTGAAATAATACTAATGTTAGTATTATAATTGCTGTCCCCAAGTGTTAAAGATGTACTACTGTTTTTATAAAAGAATGTAAATTTAGTGTCCTTTAGACACAGAATAACTGATTGTTTTTACTCCAAAGAACTTTTTCAGTTTTGAGAGTATGCAAAACCTGGATAAAATTGAAGTTTTAAGATACCTTGATAATATACTTTTTCTCAAAGCATTATAGTTATGTTGGCATTTTTAATTAACCAGAATATTTTCTATTTTCATAGGTTATTTCAAAGTTAAAGACAGAACTCTCAAGCATCATTAGGATTCCTCAAGATTGCTAAGAAACTCCCTTCGAGAAATAGCCAATGTTAATTGTACTGCTAACTGAACTATGCATATCTAACTCATCTCAAATGACTCATAATGAGGCGCTATATATTTGCTTTAAAAATTATGCACAGAATGGTTTGGTGCAGATAACTTAAGCTTTCTCAGCTGGGAATTTCAGAAGATGGGGGAGAACTTCTACAAGGGAGGGCAGGTACCTGTACATGGAAGGAGCTGAGATGTCTAAAGTCACCCACATTTGTCATTTAAAAAAGTATATATAAATAAAAGATACTATTTTGAAGAAGTATAAAAGTTGGAAACAATTTTTTCTTAGTTTGTAAGCTAAGTGTAAGATATTCCCACCTTCTGACATTCAAAGTCATTATACTTTCAACTGGTCTGCTTTTTGGTCCACTTGGTGGGTGGAAAATCTTATCATCTTTGCCAGAAATATTTGCCAATTTAGCCACATAAGGGTCAGCAGAATGTGATGGGTAAGGATCAAATGTTCCTGCCTTCATTCCACCAGGCTGCGAAGAAAAACGAGACAACTTAATGTGATTTTGTAAAATGCCTCTACAAAATTAGCTTGTGAAGAAGTTCATACATATTTTTGTAGTCTGTGGAGTTGGTTTTAAAGAAAATGATACTGTTTAATTCAAATACCACCAAAAGGTCTCCCTACCACCAACTTTATAGGGTCAAAACATCATAATCCAAAATCTCTCTATAAAAATGACAATGTTTATAGTAAGGTAACAGTCTAAACTATTGCCAAGCATTAATATTTTAGAGTTTATCAGACTAGGCTATCACTTAGTTAGAAAGTGAGTCTATTAGTAAGGGAAATCCTAGGTCAGATGTATTTTGATAGAGAATGGGGAACAAGGAGTATGGCACAACATGAGTTTACTAAATGCCAGTCAATGATGGAGAAGATACTTTAAAAAAAAAGTAATAAGCAATAGCACAAAGAAATAGAAAGTTGAGAGGAAAATTCGATCTACTTTACTTTTCTTGTAGTCTATCAAGAGAAGTCAATCAAAATATTTTTCAACCTGTACACAAGACAGAAATATTTGCTTTGACTTCTTAAACTGATTTGACAGAATTTTAAGCTTTATATTCTATATAATCACAGGAAAATTCTATAGAATCATAATAACCCATTTAATTAGGCACCTTTTCTTGTAGTATCTATGCCAAATATACATGAAGATTTAATTCATTTGAAAGATACAGGCCGGGCGCGGTGGCTCACGCCTGTAATCCCAGCACTTTGGGAGGCCGAGGCGGGTGGATCATGAGGTCAGGAGATCGAGACCATCCTGGCTAACAAGGTGAAACCCCGTCTCTACTAAAAATACAAAAAATTAGCCGGGCGCGGTGGCGGGCGCCTGTAGTCCCAGCTACTCGGGAGGCTGAGGCAGGAGAATGGCGTGAACCCGGGAAGCGGAGCTTGCAGTGAGCCGAGATTGCGCCACTGCAGTCCGCAGTCCGGCCTGGGCAACAGAGCGAGACTCCGTCTCAAAAAAAAAAAAAAAAAAAAAAAAAAAAAAAAAAAAAAAAAAAGAAAGATATAGTTATAAGTTTTCAGGTTTTCCAGATTGAAGACACATGGATTATTTTAAAGCTTACAATAACAAGAAAACTTAAGAAAGTTTAAATAAATTAATTTACAAGTATAAAAGCAAAATGAATGAATTAAAAATAGAAATACATAAGTTAAATAAACCCAAGTGATGCTTTAAAAAATAAGTTCATAGCTAAATCTGTAATAGAATTAAGAATGAAAAAGAAGTGAGGAAAGTCTATACCTATATTTAATATCAAAAATATAAAATAGGCCAGGCACTGTGGCTCACGCCTGTAATCCCAGCACTTTGGGAGGCCGAATCAGGTGGATCACCTGAGGTCAGGAGTTCAAGACCAGCCTGGGCAACATGGCGAAACCCTGTCTCTACTAAAAATACAAAAATTAGCCAGGCGTGGTGGCACACTCCTGTAATCCCAGCTCTTAGGGAGGCTGAGGCAAAGGAATCGCTTGAATTGAACCTGGGAGGCAGAGGTTGCAGTGAGCCAAGATCGTGCCACTGCACTCCAGCCTGGGCAACAGAGCAAGACTCCATCTCAAAAAAAAAAAAAAAAAAATATATATATATATATATATATACATAAAAAATAATATTTCTGTAAACCCCAAAAACCTGAATGAAATGACTGATTTTCTAAGAAAATATAAATAATCTACATTGACCAAAAAGAGATAGAAAACCTACACAAAACAGATGGAGAAAGAAATGTAAGAATTGAGAAAATTAGCAGAGCCACCCTGTAATACGGCTAAGCTCAGAACGCTTCACTGTGAATTCTTTCAAGTCTTCAAAAAGCTGATATTTCTAATGCTATTAAACTGCTATAGAACATAGAAACACAAAGAAATTACCCCCATTGCTTTAAGATGCCTGCATCCACTTGTACCAAAATAGAACAAGGCATATACATAGTCTTAAAAATACAGACCAATCACACTTCAAATTATTCCTGCAAAAATACTTAATAAAATATTAGCAAATAAAACACAGTATTATATTTTAAGATTAATACAACACAGCCAAGTGAGATTCATTTCAGGAAATATTGTTATTCAGCTTATGACAAGTAAAAAGTGGGGAGTGAAGGGATAGTCTAAATAGATTACACCATTTGATAAAATTCAGCGTATATTCAATAAAATTCAGCATACGTTCCTGATGTATTCCTATTTTTGGCATCTATAAAAATGAAAAACTAAAGGTATCCTATTAAAGTCAAGATTAAGGCAAGGATGGCCACTACTGCTGGCTTAAGGAATTGGGCATGAGCATGACATAAAAAAATACATATATATGAGAAGCAGGGGGAGCAAAATTATTTGCAGATAATATAGAGCTGCAAAGCAAAAGAAAGTCAAGAAAATAACCATTAGGACACAAAGTTTAATGAAGTGGCCAGTTATTTTGTAAAAATCAAATGTTTTTATAATGACAAATAATATGAAGGAAAATATGATGGGGAAAAATACTTATTGACCAGAACCTTAAAATAACTAGGAATAAATATAAGATATAATATAACCTATGCAATATAAAATACAAAACTCTACAAGGGAGATAGAAGGTTAAGGAGCTTATTCCTAGATCTGAAGATTCAAATTATAAATATGTTAATATATCCAAAAAAAGAGTAAATTTTATAACAAAATATCAAAGTTCTTTCCCTTTTTGGAACTTTAGAAAATAATTCTGAAGTTCTGGAGAATATGACAGAATAACCAGCATAACTTTTTTAAAGAGTAAGAAGAGACTTGACCACTTACTATTAAATATAATAGAACTTAAAAGGGTTTTTTGGGCAGAAATAAACAAATAGATGAGTCAAATGGAATGAAAACTCAGAAACATAACTTCAAAAATAAGAATTTTGGTTTGATAAACATGGCATTTCAAAGTAATGGTGTTAAAAATGAATTATTCCATCAGTCATATTGGGAACAGCTTGATTTTTTAAAAATCAGTTTTATTAAAGTGTAATTCACCTACAATAAACTATACCCATTTAAAGTGTACAATGCTATGAGTTTTGACAGATGTCTACAACCCTTGAAATGACTACCACAATTAAGATACGGAACATTTCACCCCCTGCCCAAAGTGTTCTCATGCCCCCAAACTAAATAAAAGCTGGATTCTTACCTCACTCTTTACATCAAAATGTGTTTTAGATAAATATTTAAATGCAAAAGGATATTTTAATATTAAAATTATTAATTTCTTTTAATTAAAAATTAATTAAAAGAAATTAAATTTTTAGTAGAAATTTTAATTTAATTTCTTTTAATAGAAGAAATTAAGAAGCCACATTATTCTAATATTGGTGGTAAAGAGAGCCACTCCGAAAATGACATAAACCTTACCAACAATGGACTGATAAATCTGACTACATCCAATCATTAAGTTCCTGAACAGCACAAAACATCATAACCAAAGATCCAACAGATTAAAAAAATTATTTTCAACACAAATAACAAAACAAGACTAGTACCCTTAATATATGAAGAGATCTTATAAGATATCTTACAATATTAAAAACATAAACTTTGAAATACAAAGTCCGCAAGAAAAATGAAGAGGCAATTTACAGAAAAAAAAAGTATTGACTAAGGTTTATAAACTGCTGGAGCATTTTAATTTTTATTCTCACTTATTAACTTCTGCAGTAGGAAGATAGTTAATTTTAATTACCATTTCAAAAACTAAAAGATGGTTTGGCTTTTTATGGTTTTAAGAAAAACTAGACCTAGGGTCTAGAGAAGCACTTCAAAAATTCATTATGAATTCACCAGGCATGGTAGCACATGCCTGTAATCTCAGCTACTCTGGAGGCTGATGCAGGAGTATTGCTTGAACTCAAGAGGCGGAGCTTGCAGTGAGCCTAGATCATGCCACTGCACTGCCAGCCCGGGCAAAGAGTGAGACTCCATCTCAAAAAAAAAAAATTATAAATTCAAATACATTTGAAGAGACTAATAATTACTTCATGACAAGGGCTTCATTATCCCCTACACTATTCATACTTGGTGATTTCATGTAATTTTGTAAAAATGGGTCCAATGATTCTTGGTATCCATACAAACAAAAGTTTATTATTTACATGGGAAAAAAAATCATTTGATAGCAAGAGACAGTATTTCTTTATAATACTTAATTTTTTCATCCTAAAATTGTAAACTTACCTTTTTACCAGGAGAAGACGGTTTAAAAGTATTTGAAATTGTTTTCTTCTTCTCTTCTTTTTTAATTGGTGGTAAAGATTCCTCAGAAAAATAAGGATTAGCGTCAAAATAGTCCCTTGGGTGAAGATTTAACTTAAATGGTGCTCCTTTAAGTAAACGATGGTGCTCTTCATTCGCTTTCTGTGAATTAAAGAGTTTGAAATTACATAGCACAAATTTCACAAATTGAAAATAACCCAGAGTTAAATCTTTTACATTTTAATATAAATATGATTCTTAAATCTATCCTGCTGGGTGTACTTTTTTAAAACATTAATTTACTATGTTCTATTTTTATGATACAAAAGATATGCCTACTTACAGACAAACAGAACTATGCTTATTCATTTTGGATACAAATTTATTTGCGATACTGAGACCTTATCACCTGAACGAATCTATATTAACTATCTGTGCAGTATGATGCAGCATAACAAGACTTGTCGCTAGTTCAAGCCCTTCCTGCTTTTAGCATTTCTCAGAGACTCTGGGAAAGTTACATTTCAGTGTCACATCTTCTTCAACTGTAAATGAGGACATTATTATTCCCCACTTAATGCTGTTGTAAAGATTACATGAGATTATGTATATATATGATTTTATATGTATATATGAGATACGTATATAACATTTTTATAATTAAAAAAATTATATGTATATATGAGATTATCTATATCTCATATGTGTATATATCTCACATATACACATATACATATATGTATATATCATATATATGATACATATATGTATATATATCATATATATGAGATATATATGTGTATATGTGAGATATGTATATATAACATTTTTATAATTTAAAAAAACATTTTATATGTATATATGAGATTATGTATATACATATATGAGTATATGTATATATCTTACATATACATATATATGAGATATAGATACATATATGTATATATGAGATATGTATATATTATATATTACATGTCTATAATTTTTTTGCTATCTAGTATTCAAAGCAAAGCAGCAGTCATGTTTTCCTCTTATGTTGTAATCTTTTCTATTAGACAATATTAAGTATAAAAATCACTGGCTATTAATAAAGTAGCAAAAAATCAAATTATGAAATATAGATTCAAAAAACTATACAGTGAACATTGATACTTTTTTCACTTTTGCAAATATAAAATCTGATATTTCATCATTCAACAAACTGAACTGAAAACACTTGATAAATGAAATCTAAAATAGTTACTTGAGAAAAGACTAACTTTCGCTACTAGGAACCTGCTGTAGCACTTTCAGAATCCTTTCTTCTTTTGGGATTTTTCTCTTGCCCTTGCTTGTCCTCTTCCTTTCTCCAGCTTGTAGGACATTCATTCATTCTTGGTGATCTGCTCTCCACCCTTCCATATCACAACAATGGTACTGAAAATTTATTCTATTGATCTTTTTGGACAGTGTTCCCACAAAATTTACTTGTCATGGGAATCACTTGATAATTTATTTAAATTACAAATCACCAAGCCCTTCCCTCAAAGATTTCTGATTGCATTGGTCTGCTGTATGGCCTATTAATCTGCAGTTTTAACAGTGATTCTCATGCATGTGATTATAATGTAATGTTTTAGGATCACTTTTTGCTACAGCATGGTCACCTTTTACCAGAAGAATACTCTATTTGTCTTACCAACCCCTGCCCTAGAATGTTCAGTTGAGTACTGGTCAGCAGACGTATGAGAAAACTATTCAAAGCCAAGAAAAGAACCACCTGAAAGAATGTGAGGTAACAGTGTCTGGCTCTCACACAGAGCTGGGAATTGTGGTGGTTGCCATCAGCTGTGCAAGAAAATGTCCTAATTCACAGGGCATCGGACGGAGTACCTAGACAGGTCTTGCCCCAGTAGTGGGGAATAAACAGCCCTAGATTGAGCATAGCTCCTATCACACCTAACAAATCTTAAATGCAAGAACTGAAAAGGTAAAAACCATTTCTAAGTAATGTGACAGCACTCCAGAAAAAGCCCGAGAATATTTATAAGAATACAAAAATATACAGCACTCAACGAAGTAAAATTCCTAGTATTTGACATCCAATAAAAAAATTGCCAGTAACTCAAAGTAGCAAAATATGACCCCCATACTGAGAAGAAAAATCAATTATTTAAAATCAACCAAGAACTAATATAGATGTTAGCATTAACAGAAAAGGGCATTAAGACAGTAACTATATCCTGAATGCTCAAAAAATTAAGTAGAGACAGGTAAGACATTAAAAATACTCAAACTTCTAGAGAGCAAAACCACAATGTATGAAATTAAAAATATACTGGTTGACATTAACAGCAGATTGGACATTACAGAAAAATAGATTGGTGAGTTTGAAGATGCAGCAATAAAAACTAACCAAAATGAAATACATAGAAGGAAAAAAGGACTTTTTTTTAAGTTAATAGGGTGTTGGTAAATTGTAGGACAATTTCAAGAGACCTAATGCACATGTAACTGGAATTTCTGAAGGGGAAGAGAAAGACAGATAAAAATATCTGAAGAAATAATAACTGGAAATATTCCAAATTTGATTTGAAAAACTATAAACCCATAGATCCAAGAAGCTCAATAAACCTCAAGCACAAGAAGGATGAAAGAAAACAACACAAAGTCACATCATAATCAAACTGCTTAAATGAGTCATAAAAAGAAAAAAAAAGTGGCCAGAGGAAAGGACATAGTGCATGCAGAAGAACAAAAATGAGCATGACAACAGGTTTCTCATCAGAGACAAGTCAAGCAGGAAGACAGTGGAGTAACCTTTTTTAAATACTAAAAGAAAAAGCAAGATAAATTTTTCAAAATTACTTTTAGAATATTAGGAAATCTAGGAACATAAAATTTCTGACTTATGTATAAGTTCTAAAAATGAGGATAAAAGAGCTTTTTCTGTTAAGAGAGAAAAGTATGTTATACCCAATAAGTATAGGGTAAAAGATTAATTACAGAGCCACTATAAAACTCCACTGTATGTAGTTATGTAGTATGTATGCAATATTATCCCTACAGATGAAAACTAGCTTATATACAATTTTATAAGAACCAAGGTTTCTGCCCAATTTAATAGAAAACTGTTCCTGAGTTTGGACATGCCCATCAGCATAATGGTCCTTATTCTCTCACATTCCACTGGTATTTAAAATTTTTTACCATAGCAAAACTGCTAAAGCCTGCATGCCTCTAATAACAAAAACAAAAAACTACAAAGTGATTGCCATTTAATGCTTAATGTCCAAATTAAGTTGACTTTTCATTACTACCTGCTTTCTTTATGTTATGCTGATATTGTGAAATTATGTTCATATGGTTCTAAGATTTATAAGGGTTCCTTTATTTATTTACAAATAGACATTCCGCATATAAGTGAACAGGTCTCATTACAAGTCAAATATGGTACACAGTGAGTGTAAGAGGCATATGCTAGCACATTTTAGTTTTTATCTCTGCCATTTAATAAAGTGAGCAGTTTTCTCCTATCCTTTCACTCTGTCTACTCACAGGATTCATCCATTCTCTCACCTCCACCTTTTCCCATCACGCCTCCACTCCTCCATCCCATCTGCTCATCATAATGGCTTCTTGATCAGCCCAAAAGTATTACAATTCCTTTTGCAGGCACAGATAGTAGGGTATGGTGGGAATATGGCTAAGGGTCAGGATATGACTCTTTATTTAAAATAGAACATAGTTCATCAGGCCAGGCTAATAGAAGTTTCACAGCTAGTTTACAGAGATGTAAAATAGATGTGGTAAACCATAGCAAGAGATAAAATTCATCCTGGAAGGAGCTGAGAGGATATACAGCAAGACATGAAAATCTAATAAAAGGGTAAAATTATCACAATTCATAAACATGAGTTTGCCACTGCCCCAGTGATACAAATAGATAGAACAAAACAAAATTAGATCTCAAGTGAATTATTATTATTATTATTATTATTATTATTATTTTTGAGACGGAGTCTCGTTCTGTCACCGAGGCTGGAGTGCAGTGGCGCGACCTTGGCTCACTGCAACCTCCGTATCCTGGGTTCAAGCGGTTCTCCTGCCTCAGCCTCCTGAGTAGCTGGGATTACAGGTGCCCGCCACCACACCTGGCTAATTTTTGTAAGATTAGTAGAGATGGGGTTTCACCATGTTGGTCAGGCTGGTCTCGAACTCCTGACCTCGTGATCCGCCCATCTCGGCCACCCCAAGTGCTGGGATTACAGATGTGAGCCACCGTGCCCGGCCTCAAGTGAATTATTAATATCGAGTTAGCTAAATAAAAGAAAGGTTGAAACATTCAAAACAGATTTTTTACCTTATACTTTAGTTTTGCTGCATCATAGAAGTCGGCAGAGTGTGAAAACTGTTTACCTATGGTAATATTTGCATAGCTAAGAAAGCAAAGTAAGTAATGGTGACTTCAGAATTCAGAAATTTAATTTTTTTAAATTTCAAAACAAACGATATGACAAAGTATTAAAAATATCTTACCCATATCCAGTTCCTTTCTTTCCCGGGTTTGTGTATAAATTCTTTCCAGGTGCCTTGTATTTTTCTCGAGGTTTTGACTGTGCGCTGAAAAATGGGACTGGACCACCTATTGTTCCATAGTAGCTTCCTAAGCCACATCTTAAATACAATTTTTTGATGTTTTAAAAGAAGGAGGTTAAAATGGCAAAGTTTAAGTCTATTTTATCATAATTTTTAAACAGATTGAAAAAAAGAGAAAAAAATGCTAGTTTTAATCTAATTTCATTTTCCTCATTCTTCAGTCACAGATTTTGACATAAGATATGTTTTTAATATTTTTATTATTATAAACATTCTACAAAAAATAGAACTGCATAATCCTTAGGAAGTTAGAATCATTCTCATTAATTCAGTTAACTGTAACAATAAACAGAGTCTTTTGTGTTTTTAGATTAATTTATGGATGCTTTATGGCAAGTTAGCTAATAAATGGCTAATTACTTCTGACTATCCACCCACAAGAAACTACACTTGCAAAACAAATATTTAAGACTGCTGTTTCCACTACTGACAGAAAGTGACTCATGGAATTTGGGTGCTAATTTTCTTCTGTTTGCTGTAGAAAAAATTAACCAAATATTTTCTTTTCTTCCATTTTAATGTTAAATTTTCTGGGCACACAGTATCTATGTAAAATCATCAAAGTATTTACTATCCAGCACTTTAACAAATTTTTCTTAAAACTTCCACAATAAGGGTAACTATTGTCAGCAACAGTCATAGTCTCTAATTCTTAAGTTACCATTGAAGTAAACAAATTTTAATAATCAGAAAAAGGTCTACAAGACACATGAAACCTTATTACTATCAAAACTTGACACTGTTCATACATCTGAGTTAAAAATTTCAAAAACTAGAAAGACATCAACACCGATTGCTTATTGTCAATACCTTCAGTCTACAAATGGTAGGAAAGCATATTTTAATTAATCCCTCTTTATGAACCTATATAATGAAATTCTAAAATACAACAAGGAAATAGAGCAGGGATAATGCAGATAAAGGAGAACTATTCACAGACAGGCATAATTTACCCAAAATGTGATTTAACGCAAGCACTAAAAGTCATTCTATTTAGAATGTATTAAATGCCTACGGTTCCGGGGGTGGGTGTGGTGGCTCACGTATGTAATCCCAGCACTTTGGGAGGCTGAGGTGGGCAGATCACCTGAGGTCAGGAGTTTGAGACCAGCCTGGCCAACATGGCGAAACCCATCTCTACTAAAAACACAAAAAACTAGCCGGGCGTGGTGGCCTGTGCCTGTCATCCCAGCTACTTGGGAGGCTGAGGCAGGAGAATCTCGCTTGAACCTGGGAGGCGGAGATTGCAGTGAGCTGAGATCGCGCCACTGCACTCCAGCTTGGATGACAGAGCCAGACTCCATCTCACAAAAATAAATATATATATAATAAATGCCTACGGTTCCATAATTTGGTGTTCAATAAGTGTCTTATAGGGTTTCTTACTTAAAACACTAGTCTCTCTTTTTGGAAACACTTTCTGTATCCACTAAATTATAGATGTTTTTCACATATCTATGAATTATTTTAAAAAAGGAAAGCTAGTCTAATTATAAAACTGTTATTATTTCTTGGCTGACAGATGAATATAAGCCTATTATAAACTAATGTATCAAGGTAGCAATTTCCAATTATTACCACATGAGTCAAAGTTTATCACAGGCAGGAGAAAAGACTGAAAACTAGGAAAAAGTTATTTCACATATTCCATGAAAAAGAAAGTAGTGACAAAAGGAAAAAAATCACATTTTTAAATTTATATCCAAGAAAATGAAAGATTTCAAGAAACAGTAGTAATAATAAGAATAAATAATTCAAATCTATCCAAAGTGTCAAAAGGTAGAAAAAGATGAAATTAAAGAAGAAAACCCTCACTCTTTTTTATTTTTTTGTTTTTTTTCAGACAGGGTCTCACTCTGTTGCCCAGGCTGCAGTGCAGTGCAGTGGTGCAGTCTCAGCTCACCGCAGCCTCAAACTCCCGGCTCAAGTGTTCCCTGCAACCTCCGCCTCCCGAGTAGCTGGGACTAAAGGCATGCATCGCCACGCTGGCTTAATTTTTGTATATTTTGTAGAGATGGGTTTTTGTCATGTTGTCCAGACTGGTCACAAACTCCTAGACTCAAGCAATACATCCGCCTCAGCCTCCCAAGGTGCTGGGATCACAGGCATGAGCCACTGCACCCACCGAAAATCCTCAGTCTTTTTTTGTTTTGTTGTTTTGTTTTTGAGACAGAGTCTCTGTCGCCCAGGCTGGAGTGCAGTGGCACAATCTTGGCTCACTGCAGCCTCCGCCTCCTGGGTTCAAGTGATTCTCCTGCCTCAGCCTCCCGAGTAGCTGGGATTACAGGCGCCCACCACCACGCCCGGCTAATTTTTATATTTTTAGTAGAGACGGGGTTTCGCCATGTTGGCCAGGCTGGTCTCAAACTCCTGACCTCAGGTGATCCGCCCGCCTCGGCCTCCCAAAGTGCTGGGATTACAGGTGTGAGCCACCGTGCCCGGCCAAAAATCCTCACTCTTAATAGAGACAATAATTTTGGCTGACGTTGCCTACTAGAATTAGAAGGAAGTATAAGTTATACAAAGTAGTTTTACTAGTATCAAAAAACACAGTAAATAAGCACAAAATTAGACTTCGGTTATCATCTATCAAATTAATAAACTGAGAGACTCAAAGCTTTGAGTGTGAATGAACATTACTTTTCTTTTCTTTTTTTTTTTTTTTTTGAGATGGAGTCTCAGTCTGTCACCCAGGCTGGAGTGCAGTGGTGTGATCTTGGCTCACTGCAACCTCAGGCTCCGGAGTTAAAGCGAGATTCTCCTGCCTCAGCCTCCTGAGTAGCTGGGACTACAGGTGCATGCCACCATGCCTGGCTAATTTTTTGTATTTTTAGTAGGGATGGGGTTTCACTGAACATTACGTTTTAAGTCTCAGTTATATAACATTACATTGACTTCATGGTCTAATGTTAAACTAACTTAAAGGGAACATTGACAGTTGTCACAACTAAGATACTGTTAAACCTCATGAGTATATCTTCATAATAATTTAAAAATAATGAATTTTTGATCAATTATTTTCTTCATCAAAAAAGAATTTCTGGCCAGGCGTGGCCCAGAACCCTCCTCCACTTGAACCCAGGAGGCAGAGGTTGCACTGAGCTGAGATCATGCCACTGCACTCCAGCCTGAGCAACAGAGCAAGACTCTGTCTCAAAAAACAACAAAAAAAATGTATCCTAATTCCACATTTTTTTTTTTTAGACAAGATCTTGCTCTGACATCCAGGCTGGAGTGCAGTGGCTCAATCATAGCTCACTGTAACCTCAAACTCCTGGGCTCAAGGGATTCTCTCACCTCAGCCTCCTGAGTAGCTGGGACTACAGGCACATTGCTACCACACCTAGCTAATTTTTTAACTTTTGTAGAGATGGGGTCTCTCTATATTGCCCAGGCTGGTCTCAAACTCCTGGCCTCAAGCATTCCTCCTAGCTCGGCCTCCAAAAGTGCTGGGATTATAGGCATGAGCCACTGCACCCAGCCTCATATTTTTATCTATACTTCTTTAACAGCAGAAAAAACAGTCAGGGGCATAGACATGATAATTCAAGGCAATTTTTTCCGCCAATCTGACTTTGCAAGGTTTTTGAACAAATTTTATTATTTAGGTTGTTTTTATTATATCAACAAATAGAGCATAGTGATATAGATAATCCAAAATTTAATATGATAATGAGAATATATTTAATCAAGATTACTTGTCAATCTAAATCATCCAATACAACTATCTCCACCTAAGACAAACTAAGAATAATACTTAAAAATTCATCTTACATAAGTAAGTCCTACAGAAAAACAAATATTTAATTTAGGGATAAAGGTACAGGAGGTATATTTAAGACTTTTCCCAAAAAACACTTACGGCTTTTTCTCTCCATTACTAGGGAGGAATGCTTTGCCTAGATTTTTTTTGGCTGCTTCCACCATATCCCGTCTCCTCACTTGATTCAGATTTATGTAGCCTTCACCTTCAAAAATCCTTACAAAATGGGGATCAAAATAACCTGCCTGAAGATCTGACATTTCTTTGGACCCTCCAGGTAGCATCTGTTTATTTTTGCTTGCAGCCTCATTAAAGGGTCCTTTAAAGATAAATTAGGCATATTATAATTTTGAGCTGACTAGCAATTAAAGGACATGAAAAATAAGATAACAATTTCCAAATATGATTTGGGCCAATTATGAATTTTGAGCTCTAAAGCACTGTTTCAAAACATTCCCTGAAAGCTCTGTGTGAATGGCTATCTTGACAATAAGACCTAAGTGGTTTTCATCAAAACATGTTAATATGTAAGGTCTTGCTTATACACTCTGAGTTTTAGAGCTGGTAGAGACCTTAAAATGATCTAATTCAATGTTTCTCCAACTACAGACTAGAAAGCACTGTGTGAGATGTCAGTAAGGGTGTGCGCGTAGGTCATGTGTGAGATGTCAGTGAGAGTGTGTGCGCAGGTCGAAGAGAAGGGTGTTTCACACTCAAATTGAAGCAATTCCTCTCTGGGGCATATATTCAAGATGCGTGAGTGTCTATGGCCACTAAAAGACATTAACAAGAATGTTCATAGCAGTTTTATTCATAATAATCAAAAACATAAAATAGCCCAAATGTCCATCAACAGGAGAACAGATTTTTAAGCTGTGGAATTTATACAGTGAAATACTAGTAGCCCAGTAATTTTTTAAAGGCTGTTTTAATAAGTATTTAGAACTTCTTTCATAATTTAGATCTAGGAGAGCTCTATTTGAGGAGAGCTTTGGAAACATGGAGAAGTTTTTGAAGTGCACACAATCCTTAATTCACCTGGCTACTAAATGTGAATCTGTATCACTGACTTTTTTTTTTTTTTTTTTTTTGAGACGGAGTCTCACTCTGTTGCCCAGGCTGGAGTGCAGTGGCACGATCTCAGCTCACTGCAACCTCCACCTCCCAGGTTCAAGCGATTCTCCTGCCTCAGCCTCCCAAGTAGCTGGGACTACAGGTGTGCACCACCATGGCTGGTTAATTTTTGTATTTTTAGTAGAGACGGGGTTTCACCATATTTCTCAGGCTGGTCTTGAACTCCTGACCTTGTGATCCACCCACCTCAGCCTCCCAAAGTGCTGGGATTACAGGCGAGAGCCACCACGCCTGGCCAGTATCACTGAGTTTTTTAAACTTTTTTTTTTTTGACAAGGTCTCCTTCTGGCACCCAGACTGGAATGCAGTGGTGAGACCATGGCTCACTGCAGCCTCAACCTCCTGGGCTTAACTTCCTGCCGCAGCCTCCCAAGTAGCTGAGACTATACGGGCAGGACACCATGCCCAGCTAATTTTTGTATTTTTTGTAGAGACAGGGTCTCACTATGTTGTCCAGGCTTGTCTTGAACTCCTGGCATCAAGCAATCCTCCTGCCACCACCTCCCAAAGTGCTGGGATTACAGCTGTGAGCCACCACACCTGGCCAACTTAAATTTTTGAAAAGGTAATACATTCAAATAGTTCCAAATTCAAAAGTATAAACATTTTCACAAGAAGTCTTCTCCTATACTTGGCCACCCAATTCTTCTTCCACAGGCAAAGAGATAATCATTTTGTTTCCCAAAGAATGTTCAGGTATGTTCAAGTGAATATTTTCATAGATATCCTTTTTCATTTTTTTAAATGCTGTCTCAGAAGAATCACATTGTTCATGCTGAGCACACTATATAGACTATTCTGCACCTTGCTTTTTTTATTTAACAATGTATCTTCGAGATATCTCCAAATCAGTGTTTTATTTTGTATTATTATGTAGAAGTAATTGGATATCCAAAAATTGAACTGAGACATTTAAATATTTATGTATATTAGCTCTTTTTATTATTTATGACTTTTGTAAAAATCCCTCAGCCATTCACTTAGCATTTCATTTCTCAGGAAGGTAACAATGGATGGCCTTCTTGGACGCAAATGTAAATGCTGTTTGCATAGGGGAGTGTCCCATCTAACCAAAATATTCTGGGAGAAAACTGCCAGGCACCTTTGAAAAGAAATCAAATTACCTATGAGGACAATAAATTAGGATAGAATACCCTAATAAAACGAGATTCCTATTCTCATAAAATCACCTTCTTGCTGGGTGCTGTGGCTCATGCCTCTTAACCCCAGCACTACGGCACGCTGAGTGGGGAGGGTCTCTTGAGGTCAAGAGTTCAAGACCAGCCTGGGCAACATAGTGAGAGCTCCCCCGCCCTACTCCACAAAGTATTTAAAAATTAGCTGGGCATGGTAGTGTGTGCCTGTAGACTCAGGAGGCTGAAGATGGGAGGAACCCTTGAGCCCAGGAGTTTGAGACTGCAGTGAGCTATAATCAGGCCACTGGCACTCCAGCCTGGGTAACAAAGATCCTGTTTCTAAATAAATAAATAAATGATATCGCTTAACTTCATTGAAATTTTACACGTTAACAAACTTTAGAACTAAATGCTTTAAAATATAAACCATTAAAAAATCATTTGACTTAAATATTAAATTCTAAATTTTATATAGAAAATACCCACTATTCGTCCATAGAGAAAAGCAAATATACTTACGATTAAATTGTGACACATATTTATCACCCACAGTAATATATTCCATCTCACTAAAGAGGCCAATCCTTTCCATGTCCGTTTTTCCTCCTTCCGCAGGCATGGTGGCGTCTGGTGGTGGTACTCTCTATACCGCTAACTTCAAAAGTTTCCCTAGGGTCACGTGTTTTATAGCAAAGTCCTACTTTACATTGAAAATAAAAATAAAGGGGAAAAGTTTAGAAAAAAGTGGTTACTAATTTCCAGTTCTAATTACTTTCAGTCTGAGAGTTTAAGGTTTACTACAAAACAATAGCCTCATACTCCATGGGGAAAGAACCTACTCTGCGGGGTGGGGGAGAATACTGGGATTCAAAATTCTCCAGATGAGCCCTCCCCCTTGACTCTCCGTATGAAGTGCTCACAAATTACAAAGGAATGTACAAGATCTCATCGATTACACTGCCATTTATCTGTTGGAAATGATAAAATTATTACTGTACGGTGTATTATAAACAAATCCTTCTTTTGAGAAGTTCAGGGTAGATTTTAAAATCATAATTATATAAGGCAGACATTTTTACAGTTTAAATACAATGATTTCAGCATCCTGCATTGTCCCTTATGTTGAAAATATAACAGCTTTTCAGGATGTACAACACATTGAGGTATTACCCTACAACTCTTGAGGTTTTTTTCAAGTTTAAATAAACATAATAAGTGTGTCACTGGCAAAATTATAAAGGGAATGGGGAAGAGAACAATTATTTAGGCAAGATAAAAACGAGAACAAAAACAAAAATTCTACAATGAATTCTGAGTATTTGTTAACAGGTATACTTCAACTCTGAGCTTTCTTTGGAAATGACCACTTCAAACAAAGGTGAAATATTAAACATGCAACTCTTTATTTAGAAATTAATTGTTTTAAGACAGAGTCTCTTTTTTTTTTGTTGTTGTTGTTGTTTTTTTTTTTTTTAGACAGTCCCAGGCTGGAGTGCAGTGGCATGTTCTTGGCTCACTATAACCTCCGCCTCCCAGGTTCAAGCGATTCTCCTGCCTCAGCCACCTGAGTAGCTGGATTACAGACACGCGCCACCATGCCCAGCTGTTTTTGTATTTTTAGTAGAGACAGGGTTTAACTATGTTGGCCAGGCTGGTCTCGAACTCCTGGCCTCAAGTGATCCACCCACCTCGGCCTCCCAAAGCGCTGGGATTACAGGCATGAGCCACCGCGCCCGGCCAGAAATTAATTTCTAATAGTAGACATGTTATTTTTAAAAAGGAAGAGGCCCAAGGAGCTAAGAATACTTACCTCTATCCCATTCTAAAGTTTTTAAAGCACCAATTATGAGCTAAGCACTGGGCATACATAAGTGAAGAAAACAAACATTGGGTTAGTCCTCACAGTTTGTAATCCAAAGTAAGAACCATTTTTTTTTTTTTTTTGAGACAGAGTTTCGCTCTTGTAGCCCAGGATGGAGTGCAATAGCGCGATCTCGGCTCACTGCAACCTCCGCTTCCCAGGTTCAAGCGATTCTTCTGCCTCAGCCTCCCAAGTAGCTGGGATTACAGGCGTCTGCCACCACGCCCAGCTAACTTTGTATTTTTTAGTAGAGACGGGGTTTCACCATGTTGGCCAGGCTGGTCTTGAACTCCTGACCTCAGGTGATCCACCTGCCTCGGCTTCCCAAAGTGCTGGGATTACAGGAGTGGGCCACCGCGCCCGGCTGGTAAGAACCTTTTACCTTAAATTTATTTATTTCTTTGCTTATTAAGATGGAGTCTCGCTCTGTCGCCCAGGCTGGAATGCAGAGGCGCTATCTCAGCTCACTGCAACCTCCGCCTCCTGGGTTCAAGGAATTCTCCTGCCGCAGCCTCCCAGGTAGCTGGGACTACGGGCACCTGCCACCACGCCCGGCTGATTTTTGTATTTTTAGTAGAAACGGGGTTTCACCATGTTGGTCAGGCTGGTCTCAAACTCCTGACCTCAAGTGATTCACCTGCCTCGGCCTCCTAAAGTGCTGGGATTTCAGGCGTGAGCCACCGCGCCCGGCCTTTTACCTTAAATTTAAAGCAAGCTGTTTGAGTGCCTCTCTGCAAGCCTGCCTGAAACTGGCTCACCTGAGCATGAATCATTGCTAATACGTAACACCAAAGGGGCAAGTGAAGATTCATTTTAAACTGAAACATAACTAAATACAACGCCCTTCCCCACATCCTACCTCTTCCATTAATCAGAGATGCTTTAAAACCAAACTTCAGTCAAGATTTAGTACTTTCATTTACCTTATATTTCAAAGCTCCACGGCACAAGGGCAGGAGCTGAGACAGGTTCCTCCCTCTCACGGTATCCCCGCATCTGCGCAGCTCCCGGCACACAAGCGAGCCAGGGAGGAGGGAGGGAAGAAATTCTTGCCTAGAACTTTCCCATCACTTAACTTTTTTCTTATTAATTTTTTTTTTTTTTTGAGACGGAGTCTCTCTCTGTTGCCCAGGCTAGGAGTGCAGTGGAGCTGTCTTGGCTCTCTGCAGCCTCCGCCTCCCGGGTTCAAGCGATTCTCCTGTCTCAGCCTCCCGAGTAGCTGGGACTACAAGCACCCGCCACCATGCCCGGCTATTTTTTTTTTTTTTTTTTTTTTTTTTTTTTTTTTTTGGTATTTTTAGTAGAGACAGGGGTTTCACCATTTTGCCCAGGCTGGCCTCGAACTCGTGAGCGCAGGTGATGCGTCTGCCTTGGCCTCCCAAAGTGCTGGGATTACAGGCGTCAGCCACCGCGCCCGGCCCGCCACTACTTAACTCTTATTGAGCAACATTTACAAAATTATTCATTCACTTATTTAACAGATATTCTGCAATCCCCTTCGGGGCAAGCTTGCTGGTAGAAACTAGAAACAGATTTAAGAAGGCATAGATGCTGCCCGCAAGGAGCTTACAATCTATTAGACAAGAAAATAGAGCATAGCCGAATTATGGCACGTTCCCTTGCAAAAGGTACGGATGGAGCGTCAGGAGAGGTGAAGAAGGGGCAGAAAACTGGAGGAGGTGATGAGGAGTCTGTTTCCCAGAGAGGAAACGGAGGCTGGGAGGTGGCAGGTATCTAAGGGGCAACACCTGGCGTCCGCGAGGACCAAGTCACCTTTCTTGAGGACACCCACTCCGACAGCCGAGATCAGGTTGCCCCAGCTCGTCCAGGTTGCCCCAGCTTGTCCACGTTAACTGCGCTGCGGGAGCGGCGAGGGTTCCCAAGCGCGCGACACGCCTGGGCTGCGCAGCGCCTCTGCACGTTCCACCACAGCTGGCGTTTATTGTGTGATGTGTTGCCCCGGGTACGGGAGAATCCATTCCAAGCACGCTGTGGGAGGATACGAGGAGATTCGAATCCGCATCGAAGAACACACAGAAGGATGTGTGAGCTTCTGTAGGACAGAAAAGACTTAACTAATAGAATTTACCAAACATAAGTCTTCGGCTACCCGCCCCGCCTCGCCGTCCGCGAGGGACTGCGGTGTGGTACGCTCCGTGACGTCATGCCGCCGAGCATGTCGGGAGTTGTAGTTGGTCCGCCCGGGCCCCGCCCCTGGGCCGTGCGGTGACACCACTTCAGGGCCGGCCCCCGGAACTTTTGGGCAGGCGTCAGCGCCCGTGTCACCGCCACGTCGCGGACATGGTGAGTATCTCTGCTCGTCACCGACCCCTGTGTTTTTCCCCGGACTTTGGCAGCCGCCACGAGCGGGCTTCACAGCGCCTGAAAGGAGCTGGTCCTGCCGGGGTCCAAGATGGCAGCTGCGAGCTGCGTGGGCAGGGCGGCTCTCCAGTTCGCCTGTCTCCGCGCTGGGCCGGGGGGAAAGTGCCCTACACAAGTGTGCACCCCGCCTCGGCCACCTTGGACACGCACCCCCTGCTACTTCTCTGTGTGAAAGTATTTTGAGAGACTTCGGCGTTTTTGAAGCCTTGCAAGAAGGGCTTAACCTGGGACAGGCGCAACTTTCTTCGGATATTATATTCCCCTAGTTCCCGTGGTATTTCCCTCCCCTGGTTTCTCTCCTGTCTCATTGCTCAGCAAGGTTCTCCAATCCCTATCCTAAATGGTGGTGCTCTTCAGGGACGCTTTACACCCTATGCGTTCTCCTAAAATTTTATCTCTAAGTTAGACCTTTCTTCTGAGCTCCAGACCCACAAATCTGCTAACCGTGCCTCCACTTGGATAGCTCATATGTATTTCAAGCTCAGCAAGTTCCAAACTGAGCATTTCCACTTCCCCACAGCCCACACCTGCTCTTCCTCCAGGAACCCCCAACTCTGTAGATGGCACCACCATACATCCTGTTGTGCCTGCCCAAAACCTGGAAATCATCCTTGACATCTCCCTCTTCTCAACTCCCCGACATGCAGTCAATAATCAAGTCCTATAGATGCTACTTCTAAATGTCTGTCTGTTGTCACTGTCGCCACTCTTACCATCCTTGGCCTTGAGATCTATCCATCTGGGGTAGTCACCTAAGTGGTCTTTTAAGCAGATCTTCACTCATCGATGGCCCTGCCTGGAATGGGCTATTGCACCTTCACTCACCCTTCAGATCTCAGCCTCAGTATTATTTCTTCAGAGAGTATCTCAGCTAATTCGGAAGTCTAGGAAGACTAGTGCTTTTATGAATGATGTCTTGTGGAATCTTCATAACAACCCTGGGAAGTTGTGTATTTTTCCAGTTTTACAGAAGAGAAACAGACTTAAGTGATAAGTTAAATTGTGTAAAATTGTACAGTAAGTAGCAGAGTTAAAATTTGTTCTTTCCTGTCTAACTTTTATCTTCAGTATCTTTAAATATTTTTTATTTAAATGGGTACATACTAGTTTGTTTGGTAGTATTCTTTATTTAACTGATTTCTTATTAATAGCTATTTAAGTGGTTTCCATTTATTTTTCTGTGATGAACAACGGTAGAATAAATGGACAACATGAAGCTAAATTTGTCCTGAACTTTCTTGATTGTTTCCTTAGAATAAATTCTCAGAAGTAGAATTGGGACAAAGGGTATATGATCTTTCAAAAGATTACAATTTTAGAATAAATAAAAACAGTGACCCTTATAGAAATGTGACAAAGGATTTGTAAAATGAGAAAAACTGTATTGGTACCTATTTAATACTGTTCTGAGGATTGGAGTAAGTATGTATGTTTAGCATAGTGCCTTTTACATGTTTTTGTTTTATTTTATTTTGTTTTTTGGAGACAAGATCTTGCTCTGTTGCTTAGGCTGGAGTGCAGTGGTGTGATCATGGCTCACTGTAGCATTGACCTCCCCGGCCCAAGCAGTCCTCCCACCTTAACCTCCCGAGTAGCTGGACTACAGGTGCAGACCACCACACTCAGCTAATTTTTTTTTTTTTTTTTGGTAGAGATGGGGGTCTTCCTATGTTGCCCAGTCTGGTCTCTAACTCCTGGGCTCAAAGTGATCCTCCTGCCTCTGCCTCCCAAAGTGTTGGGATTACAGGCGTGAGCCACTGCACCCTGCCTGTGTTTTACATTTGAAGAGCTCAGTAAATGTTAGTACTTATTCATTTATTTCAAAATAGGGGTCTTAGTGTGTACTATGGTTCTTCAGCCTGTTTGAGAGATATGTTTTGAGAGTCTCATGAAATTTTTGAAACCTCTTCCCAAAAGAAATCTCCCGCTCTCTTTCTCCCTTCCTGTCTCTTTCTCTCGTGTGTGTGTGTGTGTATATATGTATGTATATATGTATGAATATGTGTATCTGTGTGTGTATATATGTGTACACAAACAATGATACATGTCATTTGTGATATATCATCAACTACCTGAAACAGTATATGGATCCAAGTAAAGAACTGATTAGTTCCATTTTGCAAGTGCTCTTTTCCCTTTATAAGTTGTAAGCATTGTCCTGTGCCTTTTAATTTTCAGCAAAAACATGATTTTTTTATGGCTATATGATATTCCTATTTTTTTTAACCAATCTATTGTTGGCAGTTAGGTTAATATCCATGTACCCGAATCTTTGTGTGTTTTTCAGATTTTTCTTAGACTAAGTCTGAGATTCTAAATGCATATCACTAGATCAAGCCTATGAATATAAACCTTTGATTCTTACTGCCATATTCTCTGAAGGATTCCACCAGTTGATATCCCACCCTCAGTATGAGTTTCCTCTCATTGTCTTGACTCCCTGGTATTATATTAGGTTCAGTGCCTTGTCACATTCTTAAACTAGTTCTTTACTGTTGATGTTTTATTGTCATTGTTAAACCTGTCAAGATTATAATTTGGAAAGATTGTCTTAAAGCAGTAGTTCTCAACCATTCACATTAGAATCACTGGCATGGGGGCATAGGATACTTTTAAATATCCCTGTGCCAGCTGGGCGCGGTGGCTCACGCCTGCAATCCCAGCACTTTGGGAGGCCGAGACAGGCGGATCACTTGAGGCCAGGAGTTCAAGACCAGCCTGGCCAATATTCTGAGATCCCGTCCTTACTAAAAATACAAAAATTAGCCAGGCGTGGTGGTGTATGCCTGTAATCTCAGCTACATGGGAGGCTGAGGCAGGAGAATCTCTTACACCCAGGAGGCGGAGGTTGCAGTGAGCTGAGATTGTGCCACTGCACTCCAGCTGTGTGACAGAGTGAGACCCTGTCTCCAAACAAAAAACCAAAATCCCTGTGCCTAGGCCTTAGACCAGTTAATCAGAATCTCTGGGGGTACAGCCCAGGCCTCAGTATTTCAAGCTCCCCAGGTGATTTCAGTATAGAACAAAGGTTGAGAACCCCTGATTTAAAATTTTGGGGTTGCTTTTGTTTTTGTTTTTTCTATAAAACAAGGAATTAACTCATGAAATAATTTGAAGAATCAAGGTTAATTAATGTCTTAACACTAAACTTAGATTCTAATTTATATGAATATGAGTTTGTTTTGTTTTACAAGGGAGTTTGTCTTTATCTTTATTTGTTCTAGGTGATTTCAGAAAGTATGGATATACTCTTCAGAATAAGAGGAGGCCTTGATTTGGCTTTTCAGCTAGCTACTCCTAATGGTAGGTCTTCTGAAAAATTCTTTTTTATTAGAAAATTGATAGTGAAATATACTGAGATTATTTCCACTTTGCAAATGAAACTGAGAGAGAGATAGGATGAACTAAGATTATATTGTTAGTAAGTACATTAAATGGGACTTACACTTAGACACTGTGTTCCAGCACACCCACCAGCCCATGGCGCACCTCTGTGCAAATTAGAAAAAGATGTTCCCTTTCTTAAGAGACTTTACTCCCCTCTTCATTAATTGTTACAATAAATGTAAATATCCACAATGAGCACGTTGTAAATGTGCGTCGAGAATTGTACATGACAGACTTGCAAGTGTATGTACAATCCTGAGTCTCCAGAACCTACTCTCTTAAATACTACATTATATGGGGATGAGTACAAGAACTCTATGGAAGAAAAATCAACAGGGTTTATATGAAGCAGATTCTAGGATGTCTTCCTGTTGCTGACTTGAACTACAGCCACAAACTGAGATAAAGAACATCAGAGGAGGAATGGGATGAGCTGTGTTTGAGATTTGTTTCATTTGATGCCAGTGGAAGGTCAAGTACAAATTCCCAACAGGCATTTGGCTGAGTCAGAAATTTAGAAGAGTGTGGTCAGAGTTGGAGCTAGAGAATGTAATGTCTCTGAAGGGTGATAGTTAACACCCTCATTATAAATGAAATCACTCATGAAAAGTACGAGTAGTGGTGCCAGAAGCCACAGAGCCGTTCAGAAAGATCAGGAATTAAAAGTACTGTATTAGTCTGTTTTGCATCTTTCTAAAGGAATACCTGAGACTGGGTCATTTATAAAGAAGAGGTTGATTTGGCTCACAGTTCTGCAGACTGTACAAAAAGCATGGTGCCAGCATCTGCTGCTGGTGAGGCTCAGGAAACTTTCAATCATGGTGGAAGGCAAAGGAGGGGGCAGTGTATCACATGGCAAAAGAAGGAGCAAAAGAGAGGAGGAGGTGCCAGGCTCTTTTAAAGAATCAGCTCTTTTGTGAACTGATAGGAGTGAGAACTCACTCTTATTACTGTGAGGATGGCACCAAGCCATTCATGAGGGATCATGATTCAAACACCTCCCACCAGGCCCCACTTCAAACATTGGAGATCACATTTCAACATGAAATTTGGAGGGGACAGACATCAAAACTATATCAGATACCAGCATTCCTTGAAGGAGATTGCAGCTGGCCATCCTTTACTAGCCCCGTGGAAGGGAGGGAGAGGGTGCAGAATATTCTTTTCCACCCATCCCTTCAACTAATAAATTGTTCTCAGTTTTGGTCCACATTTGAATCCCTGCCACCAGACTACATTAAACTACATTTCTGGGACAGAGACCCAGGCATCAGTCAGCTTTCTAGGTAATTCTAATGTGCCATTAAGATGAGAACCATTTTACTAGGACTAAATCACTCATTTTCAGGCCTATGTTATTAGTAGAGTGTAGCTGTTCCTAAAATGTTACTTTATGGATAAAACCTTACATTTCACAACTTGATATAAACTGAAAACATACTTTACTATAATCTTATTCCAAAGTAGAATTAATCCATTAATCAGTAGATAATCCAATAATCAAATGTAAACAAGGACTACAGATACTTTTTACCTAGTAATTAATATATTTGAACTTGTCTTCTGACTTGATTGTATTCCTTCTCCTTTATCAAACTCTGTCAACACTCAACAAAGGGCTTCTCATTAATCAGAAAATATAGAGAATGGACATGCTTAACTTTAAAGGCTTCACAGTTTTTTTTAGGTAACTTTACCAAATAGTCCTTTAGGGATAAACAGAAGCTAATTTAAGAATTATGTTTGTCTTTTGTAGTGCAACTGAAAATCTTTAAATTCTGCTTTCTGAAACATATCAAAATATTTTAATATCTGATTTGTTATGAGTAATCTCTACAATAGCTCCAAAGTATTTATTTATCAAGATACCAGTATGGTCGTTGTTTATTTATTTATTTTTTAAATACTCTTTCAGCAGAATCAGGTCATTGAATAAATATTTACAAGGTTAAATAGGCTTAGGATTTAGGAATGTAAGGCTAAGATGAGTATTGAAAGATTGTCTTCTTTGACTATATCTTCTTATATTGTTTTGACTTTGGAAACGTAAAAATGTTTCCAAATTGAATGTGTCAAATATTCAAAAATATTAAAATACTCTAATTTTTTGAATATTCAAACATATTTTTTAAAAAGTCTATTAAAAGGAAATCCTTGAAAACAAAAACAAACTAAAGCAAATATGTTGGTGACATAACCATACAGAGGAAAAAAAAACCAACCGTGACTTTAGAACACAGAGCTTTGATTATATAGGCCTAGTGGGATATAGTCCAAAGAGAAAAAGAACTAAGAGGTTTAAATTTCACTCAATAGTTTTATTGCTATAAGTAATACATTATTTTAATAGTAATTGGAATCCTTATAGATTACTGATGGGAATATAAAATGGTGCGGCTGCTGAAAACAGCTTGGCAGTTCCTGAAAGTGTGAAATAGAGAGTTGCCATGTGATTCAGAAATTCTATTCTAGGTGATCACCCAAGAGAATTGAAAACACATCCACACAGAAACTGAACTTATGCACAGATGTTCATGGCAGCATATATATGATAGCCAAAAAGTGGAAACAAATGTGCATCAATTTATGAATGAATAACAAAATTGGTGTATCCACACAATGGAATATTATCCTGCCATAAAAAGGAATGAAGTACTGATTCATGCTACAATACAGAAGAAACATTAAGCTAAGTGAAAGAAGCCAGACACAAAAAGCCATGTAATGTGTGATTCCACTTATGTGAAATGTCCACAGCAGGCAAATCCATAAAGAAAAAAGTAGGTTAATAATTGCCATGGGTAGTATGCTGAAATTCTTTTCATTTTGCAAAGGAAGCTGGATGAGAGATAAAAACTGTGAGATCATATAGTTAGTAAGTGGATTGAATGGGATTTAAACTTGGATATTGTGTTCCAGCACCCCCACCAGGCCATGGGGTACCATGTGCAAATTAGAAAAGATGTAGGAGGGCCAGGCGCGGTGGCTCATGCCTGTAATCCCAGCACTTTGGGAGGCCGAGGCGGGTGGATCACGAGGTCAGGAGATCGAGACCATCCTGGCTAACGTGGTGAAACCCCGTCTCTACTAAAAATACAAAAATTAGCCAGGTGTGGTGGCGGGCACCTGTAGTCCCAGCTACTCGGGAGGCTGAGGCAGGAGAATGGCGTGAACCCGGGAGGCGGAGCTTGCAGTGAGCCCAGATCGCGCCACTGCACTCCAGCCTGGGCGACAGAGCGAGACTCCATCTCAAAAAAAAAAGAAAAGATGTAGGAGGTAAATCAGAAAATTTTCAATTAGAGAAAAGTAGGGGGAATGAGAAACGACTGCTGGTAGGTACAGGGTTTCTTTTTGGAGTGATGAAAATGTTCTAGAATTAGTGATCATTATGAAACCTTATGAATATACTAAAAGCCCTAAATTGTTTGCTTTAAAAGAATGAATTTGATGGTCTGTGAATTTTGTCTCACAGACTTTTTTAAAAAGATAGGCAAAAAATTTTGAAATTATTATTGAATATGGGGAATAGGTATTGAGAGTTTTACTATGCTCTACTTTTGTGTATGTTTGGAACCATTCATGTTGAAAAATTTGTTTTTCTTAACTTCTATTTATATTCTTTTAATTTAGAAATTTTTCTCAAGAAGGCACTGAAACATGTGTTGAGTGACCTGTCAACTAAGCTGTCTTCAAACGCCCTTGTGTTCAGAATTTGCCACAGTTCAGTGTATATATGGCCTAGCAGTGACATAAACACCATTCCTGGAGAACTGACTGATGCTTCTGCTTGTAAGAACATACTGCGCTTTATTCAGTGAGTATGTTTGAAGATTTCTAGAAATGTTTTCAAAACATCATTTCATATTATAAATGTCTGTGTATTAAAAATTTAGATTTGAGCCAGAAGAAGATATAAAAAGAAAATTCATGAGAAAGAAGGACAAAAAGTTATCAGACATGGTAAGCAAACTATCTGTCTTCTGTACTGATAAAAATGTTAAATCTTTGGATTTGGAACTGAGTGCAATCTTAGAAATAATTTAACCCTCTTATCATAGGTCAGAATATTGATGTCCAAAAAGATTAAATGACTTGCCAAAAGTTATATGTTTGTCTTACTTATCTAAGTTTTTGTCTGATTATAATACATAATCTCAAAAGGGTTTTTTTATAATGCTTTCTTTGCTCCCACAAAAATAAAACAGCCTAAATACATTTATAAATTACTTAAATTAAATCGCATTCTGAATCATGACAAAGTGACACATTGTGCCACATAAGACAAATAGTAAATGATTTATTTTTCTTCACACTACTCTTGGTTCTGTTGTTTGTGTGTGTGTGTGTGTGTGTTTTGAGATGGAGTTTCACTCTTTTTACCCAGGCTGGAGTGCAGTGGCACGATCTCGGCTCACTGCAACTTCCGCCTCCCGGGTTCAAGTGATTCTCCTGCCTCGGCCTCCTGAGTAGCTGGGATTACAGGCACCTGCCACCATGCCCAGCTAATTTTTGTATTTTTAGTAGAGATGGGATTTTACCAGGTTGGCCACGCTGGTCTCAAACTCCTGACCTCGGGCGATCCACCTGCCTCAGGCTCCCAAAGTGCTGGGATTACAGGTGTGAGCCACCGCGCCCGGCTGGTTCTGTTGATTTTTGAACTGATATTACTGAGTACCTGCCATGTGCCACAAACTTTAACAGATATTGAAGATAGAAAATGGAGATGCGTCTTCAAGGCACGAAGTTGTATGAAGTTAATGTGACGACAGTGTTTCCAGGCTGGTAGAGGAAGAATGGGTGGACATAAGGCTGGAGAGGTGGGCGTGGGCCTCTTTAGAAGAGGCCTAACTAAACCACTAGCTATGGAAATAGAGAAGAGGGATTGCATACAAGAGATATTTAGGGATACAATGGATTCTGCTTGGAAACTAACTGGCAAGATCAGTTTCTTGTGTGGGTAAAGATGGAAGGTGAGGAGGACATGAAGTTGGTTTGGGCCATGTTTAAGACCTCAGTAAGATGTACAGATGAGCTGTTAGATTTACAGATGTAGAATGCATAAAATAATTGTGGGCTGGATACAATGATTTGAAAATTACCAGTAATTGGAGCTTGACATTTTGAGGGGTACAGGTGAGTTCTTTTTAAGACTGTCCCTCCTTTTGGATTTGTTTTATGCTTCCTTGTTATTAGAGTTAGGTCATGCACTATTGGCAGGAATACCACAGAAGTGATGTTGTGTCCTCAGCACATGGTATGAAAGAGACAGTTATCAGTCTGTTGCTATTATTGGTGAGGTTAACTTCACTTACTTAAGATGGTATCCACCAGTTTTCTCCATGGTAAAGGTACTATTTTTTCCCTTATAATTAGTATCTTGTGGGAAGAAACTACATATGTATCTTACTTTAGTCCTCATCAGATTTTGACCCACCACTTTTAGCATCCATTGATAATTTCTGCCAGAATCCAATATTAATCTGGTGATTACAAAGTGGTGATTTTTCTAAATCTGTCATTTCCTTTTGTATTATCTGCCATAGATGCTTATTTTATGCAGTGGTTTATAATCTGGTACTATCATTAGTTATTTTGATGCTCACATTTTCCAAGATTTGGCCAATAGAAGTTTCTTCAAGCTGGCTCCAGTGCCTTTCTAACATTGTAATTTTGGGCACTTCCTACCCATCAGATGTTCCAGGTGCAACATGTGCTTTCTCTGTTCTAGCTGGAGAATCAGTCATTTTTCCATGGGCACACACTTTTATACTTTTATACTATCCACACACACACATAACACGTTCATTTTTATCTGTGTAAATCACATTGATACCTCCAGTTCCACTTCAACCCTAGAGTGCTTGACCTTTTCCCAGTGAGAAGTCTGACTCCCAGGATCCTCAGTATTTTGCGAAATAAGTTTAGTGTAAATTTCACAATTGTTCATACCCCTGTAAAAATCAAACCTACAAAGTAGAGTTCAGTATTTGATTATAGTTATTTATGTATTAGACCAGGGGTATATAGTTATATGTTTAAAAGTTCCTTTGGTGTGTGGTTATTTTATGTTAATTTGATTTTCTAAACATTTTAAATCAGTACAAAAGTGGAGAGAATCATGTAACGAACCCCAGTGAACCTATGCGTGGCTTTAACGTTTATTCATGGCCAGTCTGATTTCATCTTTACTTCTTAATCCCTCTCCCCATGTTATTTTGAAGCAGAAAATAATTTCTTTTTAAAATAATATTTGTGCTTTTAATCTTTTTACTGTAGTACAGCTTTATATTCTGTCCTTTAAAAGTCCTTCTACTGGCTGGTCTGAGGGTAGTGAGTTATCTCAGTTGATCATTCACAGCCAGTTACAGATTGAACTCCTTGTTCTCTACTCTTTCCCCCTTTTCACTACTGTACTTGGCTAGTCTTAAATTTTTTTCTTAATAATAAATACATTTTTGAAAAGTCTTTTTACTTACTCTTTATATTTAGTGTTTAATGCACTACAAGTTGACTATTACTGTTTATCTATATAGCATCAAATAGTAAATATAGATCTTATGCTGGAAATGTCAACCTCCCTGGCAGCTGTAACGCCCATCATTGAAAGGGAAAGCGGAGGACACCATTATGTTAATATGACTTTACCTGTCGATGCAGTTATATCTGTTGCTCCAGAAGAAACATGGGGAAAGTAAGTATTTTTATAGTACCACTGCCACATTTGAATGAGGGCCCTTCCCCAAACCCATGTTTGTATATCCTGTAGGTATACCTAAGGTGTGATTTTCTCCTTGTTTATTATTAACCTAAGAGCCATCTATTAATTAAATGGTTATTTGGAGGAAGTAGGGTAGCATGCTAAAACCTGGAGGATTTCCCTTTATCCACAAAGAGCAAATACACAGTTTCTTTTATAATGTATAATTCAGACTTCCTTTAGCAAACCTGGTCCAATCAAGTTTTTTACTATACTAAGGATATATTAGCTCTGTACTTTTCTTTATTGTAGTCACTATAACTTTTGTTAATACACTTATATATTTCCCCCCACAGAGTTCGTAAACTCCTGGTTGATGCAATTCATAATCAACTAACTGACATGGAAAAATGTATTTTGAAATATATGAAAGGAACATCTATTGTGGTCCCTGAACCACTGCACTTTTTATTACCAGGGAAAAAAAATCTTGTAACAATTTCATATCCTTCAGGAATACCAGATGGCCAGCTGCAGGCCTATAGGAAGGTAAAACCAGTTCATCTATTCTTAGAAAAAACAATAATGACTATCATTCATTTTGTATTTAATTATATATTTCCACTAAATGGAAGGTATTTTGTGATTTAACTTAAAAGTGTGGAATTTAGACTATTCATTTTACACATTATTTAATTTCTGTTCTCATGAAACTTTAAGTAGTATTAATGACAAAATGTTATGTTGAACCTATATGTAACATTTTAATTTTAAATGCTCGGTGTGGTTCATATATTCTGTGAAATTTTAATATTTTTCCATAATGAAATATAGAAATGGTGCTTACATGCCTAAAGTTGCTGGTATTAACAGATTTCTATAACTTTCCGATTTGTGAAAGAGACAAGATTACAGTTAGGGAAGGAAAATGATAACTTATGCTAATTCTGAATAGGATTTATGGTAATACTCCACAAGTAAGGTTATTTGGGCTTTATTAGAGGAATTTTGGAGAAAACATGACCAGCATTCAAAGTAATGAGATTTACTCATGACTGGTTTTGGAGTGCATCTTTTTGATATGTGGACTCGCTTAGAACCTATCAAATTAGACCGTGGAGCATCTTCCTAATTTCTGTCCTTAGGGAGAGCGAGAATACCCTGACCCTCTGTATGTGGAGGTGACTTGGTTTGTAGAAGCAATAGCTACAGGAGCTGATCTTTTAAAACCACTGGAGTACAAGATATGATAAAGAACATGTCAAACTTTTTAAAATACCTATTACATGTTTTTATATAGTTGGGAAAATAACACATTTTAAACATATATGTGTATTTGTTTTCCTGCCATATTGGTTGGCTTTAGACCACTAACTTCTACTCTGTAGTTTAATCACTACCACTTACAATATAAAATATTTGTAAGGCACTCGACACAATTTTGCAAAATACTTTGATATAATTATTGTTAATTATAATTTACTCATTTACAAGGCTATTTCAAAACCAGTCTTTAGCCTGGATGTATTTTAACAGACTATGTTGTAATAAATAATTATTTAAAAATTAGTTCTCTTACTCTAACAATTTATATTCATTTTTCTCTGTTCCCTTCCAGTTTCTACCCAGATACAGACGTAAACGAAAATAAATCTTACTTGGTTTTAGTTCAGTTTTCACCATCTTTGATGTTAGTGAATTAAACCATAAGTGTTTGGAAACTTTTATAACCTATATATAATTTTCCATGTTTAATAACATCTTTATTTATTGACTAGGAATCTAAATCACCAACATTTTTTCTTTTTCTGTTGATTCTGATTTATTTTAGGAGTTACATGATCTTTTCAATCTGCCTCACGACAGACCCTATTTCAAAAGGTCTAATGCTTATCACTTTCCAGATGAGCCATACAAAGATGGTTACATTAGAAATCCACATACTTACCTTAATCCACCTAACATGGAGACTGGTATGGTGAGTTTAACTAATTATTTATGGGAGTCACTGGATCAGTAATGTTATTAGTTGTTTTTTGTTGGTACCCAGTAGGAGACTTGATTCATTATGTATTCATTCCTAAAACATGATTTATCACCCATCTCTGTTAACAGACATTGCTTAAGATAGCAGTAATTAAAAATGGTCTAGAAAAGTTAGTAATAGGTAGATATACCACATTTATCTTACTAAAATTCTCTTATTTCTTTAAAGGCTTGTCCCATTTTTTTTCATTCTGAACCTGAGAAATCATGCTAATTAAGGGCATAGTCTACCCAAACCACACTGTAGGATAAATCTTTTTTTGTTTTTTTGAGACAGAGTCTCGCTCTGTCACTCAGGCTGTAGTGCAATGGTGTGATCTCAGCTCACTGCAACCTCCGCCTCCTGGGTTCAAGCAATTCTCCTGCCTCAGTCTCCTGAGCAGCTGGGGTTACAGGCACCTGCCACCACACCTGGCTAATTTTTGTATTTTTAGTAGAGACAGGGTTTCACCATGTTGGCCAGTAGCTAGGGTTACAGGCACCTGCCACCACACCTGGCTAGTTTTTGTATTTTTAGTAGAGACAGGATTTCACCATGTTGGCCAGGCTGGTCGTGAACTCCTGACCTCAAGTGATCCGCCATGTAGGCCTCCCAAAGTGCTGGGATTACAGGCATGATTCACCATGCCCAGCCACTGTAGGATAAGTCTAATGAGGAACTAGACTTATTTTCCATGTAACATATACCCGGTTGCCAGGGATAGATCCTCCCTAAAGGTAGCTCAAATAAGAGTGAATTGGCGGAGGGTGGTGGAAGGGTTACTTTAAGGATACATGGAGGCCAGTGAGAAAGGACCTTATAAGGCATCCAAGATTAGGAATACCAATAGAGCTGGGCCTCTTAGAAACAGCAGCCCTGTGACTAGCAGGTGTCTTCAGTCTCTCTCAAGGACTCCGTGGATACCTTGGTGGCATTGCTATTGCTTTCTGTGTATGCTTGTGATCCTAACTGGCCTGTTCTTAACTTTTACTCTGTCTGCTCCACCTCATACCCTCTGTATCCTCACTGTTTCAGCTTGTGTGTCACTTTTTCCTGTTCTTCCTCAGCTGCCCAGTGTATGCCTCATTCCAACTGCATTTCCTGCTCCTGGCTGCCTGGCTAACTCTGCACCTCTCAGTTCAGATTCCCAAGAGAAAGAAAACTTGGCTATCGTATGGTGGCATTTATTAATACCTTCTGAGCGTCCAGGACTTTTGAGGAAATCTTAAGAATTAAAAAAATGCATATACGATACAGTACGTACCCTAGATGAGTTAGGGGCCCACTTGTGGTCTTGGTCATTAGAGTGTACTCAGGGCAGCAGATCATCTGCAAAAGCTGTGGGCCAACCAGCTTCCATAGAAAGTTCCTCACAAAAAGAATAGTTCCTTAGAAGAACCTGGACACACAGAAGGTATTGAATGAGTACTGATTGCTTTTTGACAATAAAATAGGTTCATTATATCTGTATTACAAGGTCGTAAGAAAAATATATACTTTACATATTTATCATGTAATATTTGATATGTACATATAACATATGCAAATTGTAAAGCACAGTGGGGAAATGAATACCAGGGAGCTCCTCCCTAATTTAAGAAGCAAAACTTTACCAGTCTGTGCTCTTTCCCTACCCACTCCTCTGCCTCCTCGACACAGTTCCAGGAGGAACTATTATGGGTTTTGTGTTCATCATTTCCTTCCTTTTTAAAAAGTAGTTTCAGCGTATATGTTACATATCAATCTCAGCAATGTCGCTTTTAGTATTGCATAGTTCTGAGTTTTATAAATATGGTATCATTCTGTACGTAGTCTCTGCAGCTTGCTTTTTCACTCAATATTACATATCAAACATCTCTGGTATTTTGTCTAACCATAGTTAATTATCTTTATGATTTTTTCCAAGTTTTTTTGCTGTTTAGACAATGAACATTCCTATACCTCTCGATACATATGTGCAACAGTTGTTAACATTTTGCTATATCTGCTTCATTTCTCCCTCTTTTTTCCCCCTCTGAACCATTTCAAGGAAAATTATAGATATATTATTTACCCTTAAATACTTTGGCACAAATCTCTCAACAATATAGATGTGCATTCATGAAATAAACTCGGTTTGGTTATGACTCATTATTTTTTATTCCCCTCTGGATTCCATTTGCTAATATTTTACGATTTTTGCATCTATGTTCGTGAATGATACTGGCTTATAATTTTCTTCTCTCATACTGTTCTTATTTTGTTTTTTTATTAGTGATATACTGGTTTACTAAATTAGTTAGGTTAATGTTCCTTTTTTAGTTTTTTAGAGAAGTTTATATAAGAGTGGTATGATCTTTCCTTGGTCATTTGGTAAAACTTGCCTGTAAAACAATTTTGGCGTAGCATTTTCTTTGTGAGAAGATTTTTAGTAACCAATTTAGTTTTGGTAACAGCTTTAGGACTTTTTGATTTTTATAAGTTATTTACCTAGGTTTTAATATATCTTGTAGTCATAATATTTTCTTTTTCATTCTTCATATCATTTTTATGCCTTGTGTCTTTTAAAAAAAAAAAAACTTTTGGCTTTGTTGGCCCCCTCTATTATAACTTCTGTATTTGATTTTATTAATTTTTGCTCTTTACTTTCTTTTTTTTTGCTCTTTCTTTGATTTATTGTCTTTCTTCTAACTTCTTAAGTTGGACATGTTAGCTTATTGCTAATATTTCTTTCTTTCTTTTTTTTTTTTTTTGAGATGGAGTCTTGCTCTGTTGCCCAGGCTGGAGTGCAGTGGCACAATCTTGGCTCACTGCAACCTCCGCCTCCTGGGTTCCAGCGATTATCCTCCCTCAGCCTCCCAAGTAGCTGGGATTACAGGAGGGTGCTACCACGCCTAGCTCATTTTTGTATTTTTTAGTAGAGATGGGGTTTCACCGTATTGGCCAGGCTGGTCTCAAACTCCTGACCTCGTGATCTGCCTGCCTCAGCCTCCCAAAGTGCTGGGATTACAGGCGTGAGCCACTGCGCCCGGCCTAATCTTTCTTTTTTTTGAGATGGAGTCTTGCTCGGTTGCCCAGGCTAGAGTGCAGTGGCATGATCTCAGCTCACTGCAACCTCTGCCTCCCTGGTTCAGGCAATTCTCCTGCCTCAGCCTCCCCAGTAGCTAGGATTACTGGCAATAGCCATACGCCTGGCTAATTTTTGTATTTTTAGTAGAGACAGGGTTTCATCATGCTGGCCAGGCTGGTCTCGAACTCCTGACTTTAGGTGATCTACCCACTCGGCCTCCCAAAGTGCTGGGATTACAGGCATGAGCCACCGTGCCTGGACAGCTTTCTTATTTTCTAATGTAAGCTTTTAAATTTCAAGCAAAGCACTGCTTTTAGTGTATCTTATAGGTTTAATTTGAAGGATTTTAGTTTTGTTCACTTCTAAGTATTTTTATATTTTTCTATTATGGTTTTTCTTTTGTCCATGTATTATTTAGAAGTGTTTGTTAATGTCCAAATATGTCAGAATTTATTTTTCTTTTTTGCTTTTTTTTTCTTCTTGTTTTAACTGGTTTCTGACTCTTGCCTCCTGGTCAGAAAGAATTCTAAGTGAAACTAACTCTGAAATTTATTGAAACTTGTATTTGTTCCCTAAAAAATAATAACATATTTGATGGCTTAAAACTACAAAAATGTATTGTCTCAGTTCTGGAGTTCTGAAAGTAGTATCACTGGGCTGACATCACAATGTCAGCAGGACCACCTTCCCTCCATAGGCTCTTGGGGAGAATCCATTCCTTAATCTGATGGCTGCCAGCATCCTTTGGTTTGTGGCCCCATCATTCCGATCTCTGCCTCCTCAGTCACATTACCTTCTCCTCCTATGCCCCTCTCTTTTAAGAATATATGTGATTGCATTTAGGGCACACTAGGATCCAGGATAACCTCCCCATCTTAAGATCCTTAATCACGTCTATGAATACCTTTGCTTTCCTTTTTTCTTTTACTTTTTGGCACAGAGGGTGCATTCACAAGTTCCAGGGATTAGGACATACATACCTTTTGGGAGCCACTTTTCAGCCTGTCACAATGGTCAAGTTATAAATTTTTCTATCTGTGCTTGGGCAGAATATATATTCTCTAATTGTTGGGTGAGGGTTGGTTCTATCTTGTCCCTATCTCCTCTCACTTAATTTTTTAAAAATATCATCAGTTTGGAGCCAGGCATGGTGGTGTGCAACTGTAATCCCAGCTACTCAGGAGGCTGAGGCAGGAGGATCACTTGAGCCTAGAAGTTCAAGACCAACCTGAGCAACATAGTGTGACCCAATCTCAAAAAAATAAAAACAAAAACCCAGTTCTTTAATAAAAAAAGACATATACATTCTTAGCACTATAAGTAAGAATTTATATGATATTAGTAATTTATTTATCTTTATTTTTTGACCCTTAACTTAGCGTCATCAAATAACATACTTGGGCTGTAATCATAGCAGGTTTATAAATTTAGACACATTCTTCCTGTGTCCCATGATATGGACCCTTCATTTGTTTGTTCATTCCTTTATTCCTTCCTTCATTCATTCAGCATTTATTCAGCAGCATTTATATTAACCGTGTGCCAGGCGTGTTGTAGAAGCTTGGGCCCAAAAATGGATAAGACACAGTGTATGTACTCACTGAGCTCACATATTAGTGTAAGTAGGCAGATATTTTTTAAATGATAAGTAATGTATCATTTAAAGTATATCAAGTCATGATATACTTTGAAAAATAAAAACATAAAGAGGACAGAGATGACAGGTGAGGCAGGGGGTGGGGTAGTGAGAGAATGAGTGGGCCGTTTGTAGACTGGATGGTCAAGGAAGACCTTTGACATCTAAATGGAAACCTGAGTGAAGTAAGAGTGCAAGCTGTACAATTAATTTGGGAAAAGAGAGTTCCAGGCCAAGAGAACCATGAGGCTCCAAGGTCATATTGCCCCTGGTATATGGGAACCGAAAGTAGAGGGAGCAATAGGGAAAAGTTTAGGAGATGAAATTGGAGAGGAGGCCAGAAGGTAGGTCCTGCTGGGCCCTGTGGTAAGGACTTTGAACCTCAAATAAAAAGCCAAGAAGGTATAATGTTAAACCATAGATCTGTGAAGGCATTTTTATAAGGAACTAAAGTAACAGTCTAACTCTAAGAACATTAAACATAATTCGGGAGCATATATAGAATATGTACTTCTATCCTAAGTTAATATTTTACTGTGTTTCTTCTCTGTATATAGATTTATGTGGTCCAGGGCATATATGGCTATCATCATTATATGCAGGATCGCATAGATGACAATGGCTGGGGCTGTGCTTATCGATCTCTGCAGACTATCTGCTCTTGGTTCAAACATCAGGGATACACAGAGAGGTCCATTCCAACACACAGAGAAATTCAGCAGGTACAGAACATACCGTTTTAAATTATAATCAACTGTATGTTTCATTAGCCCTTAATATACCATTGATAATTTTTGTTACCTCATGGTGCAGACTTATTTCTGTTTTGAAGAAAAAAAAATTCTTGTACTGGTAATCAGGGAAAATGCCCTAAACATCGTTTTTAATAGCTGTCTTGTGTATGGATGTTTTATATTTTTAAATACATCAAGGCTCTAGTCGATGCCGGGGACAAACCAGCAACATTTGTCGGATCGCGGCAATGGATTGGATCTATTGAGGTGCAGCTGGTACTAAACCAATTGATCGGTATAACGTCAAAAATCCTGTTTGTCAGGTAAGCACACTTTAAGAAATTAGATAAATCATTTCAAAGTGACAGTCTGTCATTTTAATTAAAATAATAGAAAAAATGGTATCTTCCCTTATTTCTTTTTATTCCTTTTCCTTCTTCCTTATTACTCATTGCTTTATAAATCTCATTTTTTAATCTTAATTTTTTTTCATTTTTTTTTGGAAGGCTCTGATTTTATGAATAAACTTTGTGATGTAATGTATACTTGTATTATTTAGGCCTAATTTTAGCCTAGAAGAGGAAAACTTAAAAATATATTAACGTTGAGTAAAGTCATAAAAATTATATTAACAGTTTCTTTATGCTCCAATCTTTTAAAAAGTCTTAAAAGGCAAAACTCAAATGTTGAACTATGACTGACCTTTTTGTTTACCTCCTGCTCTTTTTCTTTCTAAAACGTTAATAATCTAGTAATGTGTTCAAATAATGTATTCATTTTGTCTTTTCCAATGATCTTAACCATAATTCTAATATTAAAATGAGAAAATATAAATTAATTATTTTCTATGACCATAACTAGCTGACTCCTGATTGTATGAGCTTATGTTTTAAAATACATTTTCTAGCCAGGTGCAGTGGCTCACGCCTGTAATCGTAGCACTTTGGGAGGCCGAGGTGGGTGGATCCCCTGAGGTCAGGAGTTTGAGACCAGCCTGGCCAGCAGAGCAAAACCCTGTCTCTACTAAAAATACAAAAAAAATTAGCTGGGTATGGTGGCGCATGCCTGTAATCCCAGCTACTTGGGAGGCTGAGGCAGGAGAATCGCTTGAACCCAGGAGGTGGAGGTTGCAGTGAGCCAAGATCATGCCACTGCACTCCAGCACAGGCAACAAAGCGAGACTCCCTTTCAAAAAAAAAAAACAGAAAAATACATTTTCTAAAAAAAAAAAAAAAAAAAAAGAAAAGCCAAAAAACAAATAAAATACATTTTCTATTGTTAATTACAGTAACATCGTCCTCATTGTATCTTTTATGTGTTAAAGATGTAATTTTATCCTTTCCTCAGTGGTTATGGAAATCAGTGGTAAAAAAATGACAGACTGGCTGGGCACAGTGGCTCACGCCTGTAATCCCAGCACTTTGGGAGGCCAAGGTGGGTGGATCACCTGAGGTTGGCAGTTTGACACCAGCCTGGCCAACATGGTGAAACCCTGTCTCTACTAAAAATATAAAAATGAGCCGGGCATGGTGGCACACGTCTGTAATCCCAGCTACTCAGGAGGCTGAGGAAGGAGAATCGCTTGAACCTGAGAGGCGGAGGTTGCAGTGAGCTGAGATCGCGCCACTCCACTCCAGCCTGGGCAACAGAGCGAGCCTCCATCTCAAAAAATAATAATAATATAAAACAATGACAGACTTAAGTAGTGAAGAACTTTTTTTAAAAGTTACAGTTTTGGTACATTAAAACATACGTTCCTCATTAAGCAAGAGCTAAGGTTTAGCACCACCGGGCACCTTCCCCCAAAAAATACCTCCCTTCATTATCCCATCTATCTTTCTCTTTTCAAAAGTAAAAATTCTGAGATTCCCTAAAAATAGTATGTTGCACTTGAAAACATTTTGCAGTTTTCACATTGATTTCACAGACATGTATTTTAGGCCTAGACTCTCCTCTGTTATGTAGACAGGTCAGCGTTTTGGGTCCCAATTTAAAGATGAGGAAATACAGACTAAGAAGTCTACCAGCAAGAAGGCAAGAACCCAGGACTTAACACTCATTCTTCTGATTAATCCATCCATAAGAACTCCCTGAGCACCAAGGTGATGTTTTAACTTCATGTTAAAAACCCAGGCCTCCTTTATACAGTTCAAGAAGCAGAAAATCAAGGTCTTTTAGCGTCTTATCTAGCACACTTGGTGGCCTTAAGTATTTTGAGTTTATGTTGCTTTAAATTGCACAGTTTAATTGCTCTCAGTTCCCTAACACTTAATTTTTTTACATTTATATATTTTTTCAGTAACACCCGAAAAAACAAGAAAGTAGGAAACATTGTCTCCTAGCTCATTATTTGACCGTAGTGTTGGAAGTAGTTCATCTGATAGAAAATGGTTTCTTTCTAGCCAAGGTTCAGAAATTGCCTCTCAAGGACGGGAACTGGCTAATCATTTCCAAAGTGAAGGAACTCCAGTTATGATCGGTAAGCTGTTTCAGACACTGTTTTTGGTAGAGTGAGTAATATGCAAAACTTATCATTGATATAAATATTTAATGTTGCATAAAATCAGTCATTTAAAAAATTTTGAAATTAACTTTTACACCATATGTATGGATCTCTGGATATTGAAAAAAATTTCTAAGGTGGCTTAAAGGTTACAAAAAAGATTATAATAACCAGAAGAAGTAAAGGCTGAGAAATGGTAGCTATGTTCAAACATTTAAAGAGCTGAGAACAGTATTAAAAAGAGGAAACGGTCACTCAGCTGAGCTTCGTAAGTCATGACTCTGTCATAACTGGGCTGGCTTTGTGAGATTTTGCAATTACTTACCTCTGTGGATTTTATTTGTAAAATAAGAAGATTGGATTAGCTGATCTAAAGATGCTTAATTCTTTGAAGAACAAGACCTGTCCTGTGATGACAGAAGGCAAGGTGAGACTAGTGTGTAAGAAATGGAGGTAGAAGCTGGGCATAGTGGCTCACACCTGTAATCCTAGCACTTCGGGAGGCTGAGGCAGGAGGATAGCTTGCATCCAGGAATTCAAGACCAGCATGGGCCAGACCGCGTCTCTACCAAAAAAAAAAAAACACACAAATTAGCTGGCATGGTAGTGTGAGCCTATAGTGCCAGCTATTCAGGAGACTGAGGTGGGAGGATTGCTTGAGCCCAGGAGGCTGCAGTGAGCCAAGAGATCCACTGCTCTCCAGCCTGGGTTACAAAAGTGAGACACTGTCTCAAAAGAAAAAAAAAAAAAAAAGAAATGGAGGTAGGCTGATGTCAGCAAAATATCAGAAAGAACTTAATGAGTAGGCCGGGCCCAGTAGCTCACGCCTGACTCCTGATTGTATGAGCTTATGTTTTAAAATACATTTTCTAGCCAGGCACAGTGGCTCATGCCTGTAATCCAGCACTTTGGGAGGCTGAGGCGGGCGGATCACTTGAGGCCAAGAGTTCGAGACCAGCCTGGCCAACATGGCAAAACACTGTCTCTACTAAAAATACAAAATTTAGCTGGGTGTGGTGGCACACACCTGTAATCCCAACTACTTGGGATGCTGAAACAGGAGAATCGCTTGAGCTGTGAGGTGGAGGTTGCAGTGAGCCGGGATTGCCCACTGTACTCCAGCCTGGGTAGCAGAGCAAGACTCTGTCTCAAAAAAAAAGACTGGGCACAGTGGCTCACGCCTGTAATCCCAGCACTTTGGGAGGCCAAGGTGGGTCGATCACGAGGTCAGGAGATCGAGACCATCCTGGCTAACAGTGAAACCCCGTCTCTACTAAAAAAAAATACAAAAAATTCGCTGGGTGTGCTGGTGTGCGCCTGTAGTCTCAGCTACTCAGGAGGCTGAGGCAGGAGAATTGCTTGAACCTGGAAGGCAGAGGTTGCAGTGAGCCGAGGTCACGCTATCGCACTCCAGCCTGGGTGACGTGAGACTCTAGCTCAAAAAAAAAAAAAAAAAAAAAAACTTAATGAATGGAGTGCTATATCACTGGAGGTACTCAGAGGCAGCAGGACCATCTGCTGAGAGAGGCACTACAGCAGATTGTTACTCTGTTGGGAGGAGTTTATGGCCCTTTCTAAATCCATTTTAGGTAATTATATGGATGTGAATGTAGAATATAAATTGTATGTGATTATAGATATGATTGTATCTTTTGTGTTAAAGATGTAATTTTATCCTTTCAGAGTATATCTGACATTGTGTCTTTTATAGTGTAGGGTAGTCCATTTTAATGCTATTTTAGATCAGTTAATAAGCAAAGTAATGTTGTTTTTTTTTGTTTTTTTTTTTGAGAGTCTTGCTGTGTCGCCCAGGCTGGAGTGCGGTGGCATGATCTCGGCTCAGTGCAAGCTCCGTCTCCCAGGTTCATGCCATTCTCCTGCCTCAGCAGGAGCTGGGACTACAGGCGCCTGCCACCAAGCCCAGCTATTTTTTTTGTATTTTTTTAGTAGAGACAGGGTTTCACTGCATTAGCCAGGATGGTCTCCATCTCCTGACCTCGTGATCCACCCACCTCCCAAAGTGCTGGGATTACAGGTGTGAGCCACCACGCCCGGCCGTAATCTGTCTATTTAAATTGAATAGGCATTTGACATTTGTTTATGCCTTCATTCGTATTTCCTATTTTTTCTTCTATAGGGGGAGGAGTTTTGGCCCACACAATACTAGGAGTTGCATGGAATGAGATTACAGGGCAGATAAAGTTTCTGATTCTAGATCCACATTATACCGGTGCTGAAGACCTGCAAGTTATTTTGGAAAAGGTAAGTATCCATTTAACACAAATTGAGACAAAAGGCAAAGAAGCTAGAAATGAAGGATCACAAACTGGCTGGTAACAGAAAGACAATAAGCTGAGGGCAGAGATCTCCCTGTGTGGAGGCCTTCTGAGGCTGTTGTAAGTAGCCGTCTCTGTATAGGGAATGTGCAAGAACAAAGCACATTGCAAAAGACAAAATTTAGGTTTATAGAAACTTTCTCAGCTATTAAAATTAATAATAGGACACACACTCATAAATATATTCCTTTGGAGATTTTAGAGCTTTCATAAACAAATGTATCAAAGTTTATCAATGTCTTAAAATAGATGAGCAGAATATATAAACTTTTAAAATTTTAGAATTAACCAAAAGATAGCTAAGCAGTATGCTAGACATTATGGAGGCTTGACTAATTTTAATTCATTTACATATAACCTAATCTCATTCTATAAAGGGTTTGAAGTTGATACATATTTAAGAGTATTCTTACTTACAATAGCAGATAAAGGAGGTAAAAATTTGTTAATTCATAGGCAACTAATTCTCACATATGAAAACTCAGTACCAAGTCTTTAGGAGAAAGTATTGTAAAACATAATTAACTTGAATTTTAAGTAACATTTATATTCGCTGCCAAATACATTGAAATTGCAGAGAATACATAACCACCTTTTAAACTATAAACTAAAGATAAAATGTTTTAATATGTTAAAGAGTTTTAAGCCAGGCGTGGTGGCTCACACCTGTAATCCCAGCACTTTGGGAGGCTGAGGTGGGCAGATCACCTGAGATCAGGAATTCGAGACCAGCCTGGCCAACATGGTGAAACCCCATCTCTACTAAAAATGCAAAAATAAGCCAGGTGTGGTGGTGGGCGCCTATAATCTTGGCTATTTGGGAGGCTGAGGCAGGGGAATCACTTGAACCCGGGAGGCAGAGGTTGCAGTGAGCTGAGATGGCGCCATTGCACCCCAGCCTGGGCAACAGGAGTGAAATTCCAGCTCAAAAAAAAGTTTTTAATGTGTGTAGTCCAACTCTGTTATATCCTCAGTTTACTGAAGTCTTTTGTTTATGATAAGGGTATAAACACTAATAGGATAGAAATGTGTTGTTACAGTTTTAAGTGTTTTTTTTTCCTTTTCTCTTTCACAGCATTTGGAATTTGAAGTCTATAAAAGGTTTTTTGACTGGTGCATGTATCTTACTGAATATAGTAGCAATATTCTTGTTCTGTAGCAAGGTGTTCATTCCATTCAGTATTTATTAAAGTACCTAACAAGTGCCAGGCACTGTCCTAAGCACTAGTATTACACGAGGTTTTTCGGGAGCTAAAACCTTTAGGGTAGGACAGAGAAGGAGAGTGCAAAAAGGACTCTCGAGAAAAAAAAAATGGTATCTCAGGTGCTTCTACGAGGCTGGTGCTGTGGTGGCCCCTGCCTTGTAGAAACAGTGAAAGCCGCACTGCAGGTAGATCAGTGCGTCCAGAGCTAGGCGAAGAGGTGAGGCTGGAAGGACACACCAAGCTCAGTCAGAAAGGGTGGTCTTTGTGAACCAGGCATTTCGATTTTTTCTTAAAGGCAGGGAGAAGCCTTAATTATTTTCATCATCAAATTTCTCTTTTCTGGTTGACTCAAGGGGCTCTGCACTACATGGCATTATCTAGGTAAGGTTTCTGAACAATTAGAGTAAGGGATTGTCCCTGATTTCTTTCTCTGAGAATTGCAATCTCCATCTTTGCTAGTTCTATTTCTATAGAACTTTTCAACAGCAGAAACCTCCTTGCTCTATTTGTATACACAAGAAACTGTGCAGCCAAGGTCCTGCCATTAAAACTATTGATTCACTTGACTCCAGGAACCCAGGAGGCCAGAGGAGAGTTCCATCTCTGCCTGACCTCTTTGCCTTCTTGTGGTGCTTTCCTGTTTGAAGTTCCCATGCTGGTCATCTCACAGGAAAGAAGCATGTCCTATGCACTATGTCCCTATGCAATCCCATTCTGACACCCTCTCTACCAATTTCTCCTTTAAAAAATCTGGATCTGGTTACCTGGACAAGGCCTTCATGTGTAAAAGGATCAAAAAAAGGTTAAAACAGAATGAGCCTTTTTTCTCTGTCTGTTAAGAGAACAGATTTTAGGACATTAAATTAATAGAGAAAGTTTTGCTGAAAAAATGAGATGATTAATAGAATGCTGGTTACCTAGGGAGAGTGGGGGATTACCTAGGACTGGTAGAGGATTTTTTACTTTTATCTTGTTTTTTGACAACGTGTATCTTATTAGGAGGGAGTCAGACCGCTGCTTGTCACTCACTTCATGGTATTTTCAGAGTCTCAGCCTCCTTGCAAGGATTTCTCAAAGCATTTAAGAATCATATAATACAGACCAGTTATTGGCTTTTAAGTTTTCTTCTTTAATAAAATAACTCAGTGGCCCTAGGAGAAATCTGAGAAATTTTCATACTCTAAATGAGATTTTGCTTGAAAGTAATTTTCTCTGCTGGCAAAAAGGATTAATACTGACATGAAACATGGGAAGTAGAATTGAGTAACACCTGGAATTTGAAAATGAAAGGGCACAGAGTGCCAGGCAGGGGGCAAGCTGAGGTTTCTCACTACAGTACTTCAATCCTAAGATGCCACTGAATGGTCTCTTACAGTCCTTTATGGACTATTAAGAAAAACAGATTGCTAGTTCAATTGTCACATGCTATCAGTTGCAAGTGGTAAAACTATACATCTCAGAATCAGTAAAGTGTGGTATCTGGAATAACAGTTACAGGTAAATTTTTTTTAATGATTTTTATGATGAATTACATACATAGAATTAAAAGTTCAAAAACCTACCTTAAAGGGTAAGATACGTTACTTTTCTATGCTAGTAGGAATTCAAATCCTTGAATGATAAAGCCATTTAGAGTCTTATTCCAAGGTCCTGCTGACAGAGCCTGATGTCACGATTTCCATGACATAATCTTGTAACTTTGTAAAAGGCTTTCCTTTCCCGTCTTCTCTATCCAGGGCTGGTGCGGATGGAAGGGCCCAGATTTTTGGAACAAGGATGCATACTATAACTTATGTCTTCCTCAGCGACCAAATATGATTTAAAATATCTTGGAGTCAAAGACTGCAGTAGAGTGGTATTATAAATTTGTGAATAAAGAATCAGTTTAATTTTTCACATTAAATCCTGGTTCTAGTTTGACGATTTAAATTATGACCTTTTTCAAAGGTTGTAAATACTGCACGGAGAATGTATTTTTTAGACGTTCCTTTAATAACTTAAAAGACAAAGCATACACAACCAGCATATTATAGGCATGTAAATACATGTGTTCTTAAATGGATCTTCACTTGGAAGAAAGTTTTTCGTCCTTCTCAGAAGGAGATTAGACACAACATATGGTAAAGCCAAAAGCAGGAGCTTATAGATTTGCATGAAATGAAGGCGTTCTTCAGACTTCTTCATAACCCACGTGACATCTGTTTTTAAAAACACGTTAACATTAAAAACTTTTTTTTAAAAAGAGTTTTATCCCCAAACTTCCACCATGCAGTCCCATTTTTGGTCTCTAGACTCTGGTAAGTATAACCAGTACTAAAATGTTAATGAGAATGAAACAATACTACTAGAAATACGAGTGTCAGTATTAAATGGAATAATAAATGCTATGCAAACAAGAGATCACTGCGGGAGGAAAAAAGCAGCAGCTCTGAGTTACTTACCAGCACTTCCTTTTCCCACTGGTATTTTCTACACTTCCGAGACTCCGTTTCTGTCTGAGCACGGCAACACAATCATTCCTGTCAGGGTGTTCACTTGCTTTTATTGTCTGCATACATTTAATTGTTGTAAGAAACTTGGCACAGTCTGGAAATCCACATGACCAAGCGAGATCTTCAGCTGTTTGCCCGTTCTTATTACATAAACTGAAAACAGGATAAAAACGGAGTGAAATGAAACATTGAACTTAAGTCTTTTTTTTTATATCTTACAAGGGAATTTTGGGCTCATACAAATGTTGGTTGCAGAACAGAAGAGGTAAAGGATGCATAAGGAAATTGCATTTTTGGTCACTATTGTATCCTCAGCAACTAACAGAATCCAGCATAGAGCGGGCATTCCAGTTCTGAATGAATGTTAGAATTATCTGATGTTTAATACAGTGTATGAGTACCCAAAGGTAGTCAATGGGAACTATAGAATGGGTTTTCCTGAACCGAAACTGAAGTAGAATACAGTCATAATGAACAAAATTGCACCTCTGATTGCTCAGGATCTGACTTTTTACTTACTCGAACTGAGTATTATTCGATAGCACCAACAACCTAAGTTAACATTTAAATGATTAACACTAAATTATCAATTACGCAAGCATTATTTTTAAAAGCACATGTAACTAAGCTTCAGGAGTCTGATTAGTTTAATCCAAGAAAACATAAAATGTGAAGCCACTGTTTTCATACTCACTCAATTTGGGCATCACTGGCTACAAGCAGGCTTAGGCACTCCAGGCTTCCAACTTTTGCTGCCTTGTGTAGTGGAGCTTCTCCTAAAACATCCTTAAGGTAAGATGGTGCATTTTAGAGTCTCCCAAAAACACTTTTTGTGAAAGTTGATGAGTGACATTTAATATTAGCTATTTAAGGAAGCTAGTTAGAACTGCATTGTACTGGACAGGGAATTTTTTTTTTTTTTTTTTTTGGCAGAGAACACCAAAAACTTTTCGTGGGTTTATTTTGTTAATATTCATTCTCAGTTCCGGTTTTGGGTTTGTTTTCAGAAATAAGAAGTCTTAGTCACTTTTAAGACTAAGAAGTCATGTGTTTTTGATACATATAAACCTGCATCAACATCTCTTCTAATTAAAAACACTACTGATAATCGTTTGCAAGTGCAACACTTCAGAAATGCAGAATTAAGTAACTAGTGGACTATTATAACTTCAGCATTCTAGCATACGCTCTGAAATGATCATTCCTTTATTTAGATCTTCTAGATACTTTTAGTGATTACATTAGGGATAGCCAACTCCATGGGCTAATTTGAAACATAGAAATGTACTATGCTTGCATATTCATTTCAGTATGGAACCTTCTAAAAATCTCCTCCTTTGGACTGAATTTTTAAATTCAAGCTTTTTATTTTTGTTTTTTTCCTCGGTAAGCTGCAAAAGCTTTTTATTTTTGATTAGTTCTTTTAGTTTGCTTTTTCATACCGTTTTCATTAATAAAAATGTGTGGCTGGGCGCGGTGGCTCACGCCTGTAATCCCACCACTTTGGAAGGCTGAGGCAGGCGGATCACCTAAGGTCAGGAGTTCGAGACCAGCCTGGCCAACATGGTGAAACCCTGTCTCTACTAAAAATACACAAATTAGCCGGGCACGGTGGCGCGTGCCTGTAATCCCACCTACTAGGGAGGCTGAGGCAGGAGAATCTCTTGAACCCAAGAAGCAGAGGTTGCAGTGAGCCGAGATCGCGCCATTGCACTCCAGTCTGGGCGACAAAAGCAAAACTCCGTCTCAAATAAATAAAAACGTGTAGCCATATGCACATACATTAAAATGTAAGCAAATAAAAAGAGTTCTTCCAGAAAAGTTTACAATTTAAAATTCACCATGCTTTAATATTCAGTGGAAGATGCAAACTACAGTAAGAAAACTCTTTAGGAAATTAGAATGCTTGTGGACATAGCTCCTAAGTATTTCAATTGCTGCAGGGAGACTTTTGGTAATGTAGCAATTACTTCTTTTGAAATAAACTAGATCTGTGCTGTTCAATATGATAGTCAACAGCCACTTAAGGCTAGAGTATTTGAAATGTGGCTAGTCTGATTTGAGATACGCTGTCACACCAGATTGTGAAGACAGAATAAAAGAAAGTGTAAAATATCTAATCAGCAATTGCTTTGATTACATATTGAACTGATAACATTTTGGACAAATTGGGTCAAATACTAAAATTTCATGTTTCGTTTATTAATGTGGCTACTTAAAAACTTCAAATTTCTCATGTCCTCACATCAAGACTGGAAAAAAACTCTTAAATTACATCTGTGTCTTGCATTATATTTCTGTTGGACATCGCTGCTATAGACATGTTTTTAACAGCTGAAACAACTCTTGGCGTCTGAGAAATGTTTGTGTGTGTCTGGGTTGGAGGGGACGGCTGTACACAGCAACAGTTACCTAGTTACCTGCTGGTTGAGGTCAGCGCCCGTTTGCAGCTGCCAGAGAAGAAAGCAAGCAAGGCCGCTTCCTGCGGCTAAGTGGACAGGCGACTGCTTGCAGGGATCCGGGGGTGCGTTGACCGAGGCCCCTGTCTCCAGCAAATGCTTCAGACCATCCACCTGCAGGAAGAGAACAGATCCAGCACCCTTCCCACCTTTGTCCAGTCCCGCGCCCCTCCGGGCTGGAAACCTCCCCGCCCTTCACAACCAGCTCTGACCAGGCAGCGCCCAGTGGTCCGTCCCCGCATTAACGAGAAGACGAATCTAGAAGCTTGAGCCTGCAGGACAAAAGCTCGGGCTCTGTGAGCCCGAATCTCACCTCGGGGTTGCAATCCAGCAACAGCATTTCCCGCCTAAGGCAGATGACAAGAGTCCTTGGAAGTGCAGAGAGGTGAGACACTCGCCGCACCCCGACAGGTAAGAATGCGCAGGCTGGCCCTAGCACGGGAGAATTTAAAGACCGCTGGGACTTCCGGGCCGGCCCTTGGCAGCCGCGCCCCAGCTCCGGTTACGCCCGAGCAGCCTAATCCTCAACGACCCGGACCCTGTCCAGCCCCGCCACGGCCGCACGTACACAAACACTGGCACGTGGAGCCCGGCGCCGGGGGCAGGGGGAGGGGGCGGGCGCGCGAGGCCATCCGCCGATTGGCCAGCTGTGGATGCGTCAGGCCCTCCCACCTCGGGGCGGGGCCCGCGGCGGCCCCACGGAGCCTCAGCGCGCGTGCGCAGGGTAAGTCAGTGGGCGTGAGAGGACTGGAGTAGGAGCGGGTGGGGCTCCGCGGCCGCCATGAGGCGCGCTGAGTTTGACACGTCTCCCGGTAGTGCGCCCGCCCTTTAATCCTTACGGAGAAGCGGGAGTTTCGGCTGCAGGTTTTGGCTCTGCCGGCGCGCACGTAACCAGGAAACTGGGAGCCACGCGCAGCTCCCCGTCGACGCCGCCTTCAGAAGCCGCTGTGCACTGCGCTGCTGCCGCCTCGGCGCCGGGGAACGCAAGTTCCTTTACCTCGCGCGCAGTCGCCCGCCTCCCAACCCGGGAGGTGAAGGCGGGGACGGCGAGCGCGAACTCGAGGGGATGGCTGTCCCGAGTGGCAACGGCCGAGCCCGGCCCGCGCAGGGACCCTTGTGGAGGGGCCCTCGGGGAGAGGCCGCAGCACGCTGGGGTCGTCACGCTGGTCCACGCCGGGCTCTCCTCCCGGGAGAGCGGACCCGGCCGCGTGCGATTCGGACCCGCGGGGCTGGTGAAGCCGCTGTCCGGCCCCGCGGGTGCTGTCGGGCGTGCGTCACTGCTTTTTGTAGAACATGACCTGACTTCCGATGGCAGCTACTGACGTCAGAGCTGCTCCCTAGACTCTCCCTAAGCGTCTTTCCAGAAGGATCTGCTTAGAAACCAAAGCTCCAGCCGAGTGTTTCTTTTCCCCTACATTTTTAGTGATTCCCTTCTGTTGATGCCTTTGAAAGCTCGGAGAAATAAATACGTTTATTGTTATGCTGTTAGAAAACAAGTTCATGCTTGTCCTCTAAAGATAAGTGGTCTTTTCATTCTACTTTTTGTTTTGTAGTAAGAGCCATAAAATTTGCAATCGCAAGTTTATGTTGTTATACTTAGTTACCCAAGGGGTAGTTTTAAGCATTTTTATTCATATGAATATTTGAATATAAATGTGTGTTCAAATATATAGAATCGTTCTTATATTCCACATTTTTAATATTTAAACTATTCACAATATCTTTTAATGATGTTTAAAGAACGGCAGTGTAGAGATACTGTTGTCAGATTTGTGAGGTGAGCACACGTTGATATTGCCAGTTTCGCTTTTGTTTATCAATTCAATAAGCACTGCTTTTTAAAACACGTGTTGAAGCTTCAGGTTTGCACAGAAGTTCATTTTCAGGAATTCCTAACTAATAAAGGGTATCAGACACGTTCTTACAGTTTTGAACATAAATACTGCAGTTAGCATATGTAGTGGGATATTTGTGTGGTGAAAGTGCCTCCATATTTCATATCTTTTCTTTGAAACAAGATTCTGTTCAGTATGCATTAAGTGGTAGTTATTTTTTAACTTCCTGTTACATACGTAAATTTCATAAGGAAAGGAAATTTGGGGAGTCGTTACAGCTTTTCTCCCTTTAATCACAGCGTACCTGTCCATTGCTCACATTGTTTTCAGAAAAAAAAGTTGTATCTCAGCTGGATATCTGACTTGACTTTAGTAATGGGCCTAGAAACTATAAACTGAACAAAGCTTATAATGCACAAAAACAGGATAAGTACATTTGGGGGACAATATCTTACTGGCAAGTAACTGGAGTTTCACCAGGCGTGTAGCAGGTGGGATCAATTTTCTAAAACGGAAGATGATCTAAGATGCATATTTTATAGGCGTTCTCCTAAGCAGTGCTAATTCTACATGTTTTAATTGCTGGTAGATGCGTTTCCAGAACGAGGATGCCATTTACAGCGAGTGTTAAAAAAAACGTTGGATGATGAGTAAGTGACCGAATAGATGAGAGATGTGTGGGCTGAATCTTGAGTAGTAAGAGTTTGCTAAGGAGTCCAGGAAGGGAAGAGTATTTCTAAGAAGTGTAAAATATCTTCCAGTATTGAGAGCACTATATGTAGTTCAGTCTGGGGGCAGTGTGTGATACACATGCAGCTGTGATGTGAAATAGAGAAAGGCCGACAAATGAGAAAGTATTAACCACTAACGTCTATTCCAGTTTATTATATTACAAATTGACATTAATTGAGCACTTGTGCCTCAAGACTAACGCTCATAGGTATTATCTGCATTTTACAGAAGAGGAAATTGAGGCTTAGGGAGATCCATTAACTTGTCATGTAATTATTAGCAGGTAAATCAGGAATTTGAAGTCAGTTTGACTCCAGAGCCCACATTCTTATACCTATGTGTTTTAAATAATTTTGGTCACCTCTGGTCAATTCAGGCTAAGATTGGTTTCTTTAATGCAAACCAAAGGCCTTTTTTTTTTTTTTTTTTTTTAACTCTGAAACACAATCTCGCTGTCTTGCCCAGATTGGAATGCAGTGGCGTGATCTCAGCTCACTGCAACCTCCGTCTTCCCGGGTTCAAGTGATTCTCGTGCGTCAGCCACCCAAGTAGCTGGGCTTACAGCTATACGCCACCACACCCAGCTAATTTTTGTATTTTCAGTAGAGATGGGTTTCACTGTGTTGCCCAGGCTGGTCTCAAACGCCTGACCTCCAGTGATCCACCTGCCTTGGCCTTCCAAAATGTTGGGATTACAGGCATGAGCCACCATGCCTGGCCGCAAAAGAGTCTTCAGAGAAAATTATTGTAATCCATAGAAAAAACAACTGTTTTATTTAATAATGACTGTCAGTGTAGCCTTGTTCCTGGAATTGAATCTCCCGCAATACTAAACCTAGTACTTCTTATTCAAGTAATTACTCTTGAGGGTCAGGCGCGGTGGTGGCTCACGTCTGTAATCCCAGCACTTTGGGAGGCTGAGGCAGGCCGATCGCCTGAGGTCAGCAGTTTGAGACCAGAATGGCCAACATGGTGAAACCCCGTCTCTACTAAAAATAGAAAAATTGGCCGGGCGTGGTGGCAGGTGCCTGTAATCCCAGTTACTCCGGAGGCTGAGGCAGGAGAATCGCCTGAACCTGAGAGGCGGAGGTTGCAGTGAGCCGAGATTGCGCCACTGCACTCCAGCCTGGGTGACAAGAGCAAGATTCCGTCTCAAAAAAAAAAAAAGGAAAAGAAAAAGTAATTACTCTTGCATCAGTGAATTGTGCCAGGTGAAAATTATTAAAAGTAGTTGGTGGAACCGATAAGCTAATTTTATCTATTTCTTGCTTGCTGTGGTTTTCCTGTTTCTTATTGACCAAGAAAACACTGGAAAGCATTACCAAAAGGCACAGTATTGAAAGGAGGAGTAATTGAGAATACCTACTCATTCCTACTTTAAAACATTAATTGGATTGTATATGTTTAGTAATGCCATAGAAAACTTCAGCTCTAAAGCAAGTGAAATAATGTAAAACTAAAAATCTCACCAGATGCAGTGGCTCACGCCTGTAATCCCAACACTTTGGGAGGCTGAGGCAGGCAGATCACTTGTGGCCAGGAGTTCGAGATCAGCCTGGCCAACATGGCGGAACCGTCTCTACTAAAAATACAAAAATTAGCCAGGTGTGTGGTGCGTGCCTGTAATGCCAGCTACTTGAGAGGCTGAGGTGGGAGAATCACTTGAACCCAGGAAGCAGAGGTTGCAGTGAGCCGAGATCGTGCCACTGCACTCCAGCCTGGGTGACCGAGTGAGGCCTCATCTCCAAAAATACTGAAAACTAAAAATCCCAGTAGCTGGCCTGGTTTCACATGTATTTTTTAAATCCCTTGAGAATATCATAACGCCAAAGCATTGAAGTCAAACGCATCAAGCATTTCTGAATATGATGTCTTGTTTATTGCCAGCCAGGCACCCATGGTATATCAATGCTGACCAGAGTCCACTGAGCCTTAGAAGTAACGATATTTTAATTAATAATGATATTATGGCAATAATACTTCTATCGTTCATACACTGAAGGTGATAATATTCCAAATATGACAACTTTTCAAAGACAGAAGGTTATAACCAGATCTGGAATTTCCATAGATTTTTTTTAAGTTTTTTTTTTTAAACATCTACAGATTTAAGATGACTTGAATTAATCAAATATAATTCTGGGCTTCATTGCAATGCCACTGTCAAGAAACCCATTACCCTAATAATTGTAAAAACGGAAGAATTTCTTACAAAGAAATTCTTTCTCTTTAACATAAATTCTTCCAGCCTTGATAACTCAAACTTCTTGGGGAAGATGATAAATTGGATAGTTATTCTAAACAACTGCTGCAACAGGATATTGTGGCAAAAAGAAAAGGCAAAGTATAGTTATCCTCTTTTGATGATGTTTACTTTCCTGAGAGCCTGTAATCAGAAGGGTCCAGTGGTCTCAATGGTGACTAGATTTAAATGTTCACTTCTTCACTGTTGTGATAAGAACTTGGAGAACTTGAAAGGTATTTCATATTTTTGTTATTTCTCCTCCTGGTTATATATTCCTTTCAATGAAATGTGGAAATTACAGATGATAAATTTGTAAAATTAGATGAAGTAGAGAAAAAGGTAGAAAGTTAGTCCTTAATATTAAACCAATTGATGGAGGGAGCCAAGTTTCTTATTGTTGGAGAGGGAAGTTACAGATTAGTAGAAAAGGCTAAAATGAGCCAGGTAGTAATGGATTTGTCCAAGATGTCAATAAGAATTCATAGTTAGCTTAATATAGATTCAGATGGATAGAAGCAGAAATAATTATAGGTGTGTGTGTATACATGGGTTATGCATATACATATGTCCTAGCTCTGCCTGCTGTGAGAGGGCCTAAAGCAGTGACACCGCAGTAACAATGAACACACCCAGTACCCAGATCCGGGTTTCTAATACCATTCTCTAGTGAAAGAAACCAGGGCTCCTTGCAGACATTGCTGATTCTGGGGCTGGGGCAGGGAAAATACAAGATGAGCCTAGAGCATCGTGTAGTACCAGAACAAGGTACTGGTACTTGTTCCAGTAAGTGGAAGGATAGGACATGTGAAAGGGACCCAGGAGCTAACCTGAAAGAGCTCCCAATGGCCAAAACTGGAACTAACTCAGGTACTGTTGGATTATAACTCAGTACATAGTTATCCATGAGTCTATACTGATATAAACAACTGAATGAATAAATAAATAAATGGGAGATGGGAGACAGAAGACAATGCTTCTTTACAGAAGAATTTCAAATGTTTAATGTAGATATTCCCTGGTGAAGACGATTCCGCCTCCAACGCCTTCTTGAATGTGGGCTACACATAATGACTTGCTTCCAAAAAGTAGAGTATGGGAAGGGGAAAACGAAGCGACTTTACAGTGGAGAAGCCTGTTGGATGCTGCCATGGCCAGTAATTGTTCACATCCTCAGTGGAAAGTCCTGTTGATGATGTGATTGTTGACACGATGTGATGAGAAGGCCACTTCACCTCTTCGGTATTCTTCCCTAAAACCCATAGCCCAGTCTAATCATGAGTAAAACAGATGAATGTTGATTGGGGACATTCTTTAGGATACACGGCTAGTATTCCTCAAAACTGTGAAGGTTATGAAAAACAAGGGAAGTTTGAGAAACTGCCGCAGACCAGAAGAGGCTCAGGAGGCATGGTGACTGACTCTAGTGTGTTCACTTGGATGGGATCCTGGCACAGCAAAAGAACGTCAGTGGAAAGATGAGTAAAATCCTAATAGAGTTTTAGGTAATTTTCACGAACCAATGTTGGTTTCCTAGTTGTGGCAAACATACTATTATAATGTGATGTTAACAGTGGGGGACACTGAGGGACACTCTGTGGTATCCTTGCAGCTTTTCTGTACATCTCAAATTATTGTAAAACATAAAGTGTACTTCAAAAAAGAGGAATTGAGGCCACTTAAAGCTCTCACAGTGGCAGCGTTCTCACAGCTGTTTGGTCTGCTTATCCAACACGCTTCATTTCCTCGTAAGACGTGCCGACTGCCCATTGCACTGACCGTTGGAAGACCGTAGGCATTCTCTAGAATGTCAGTCACTTGGGCTCACACCAGTTGAACTGTATGCCTACCAAGAGTCAGTTTTTCTACACCTGTAAGGATTATTATAAAATGTAATTCAATTAAATATTTTTTCTTTTTTCTTTTTTTTTTTTTTGAGACGGAATCTTGCTCTGTCACCCAGGCTGGAGTGCAGTGGCACCATCTCAGCTCACTGTAACCTCTGCCTCCTAGGTTCAAGCGATTCTCCTGCCTCAGCCTCCCTAGTAGCTGGGACTACAGGCATGGGCTACTACGCCCAGCTATTTTATTTTTTTCTGTATTTTTAGTATAAACAGGATTTCACCATGTTGGTCAGGCTGGTCTTGAACTCCTGACCTCAAATGATCCACCTGCCTTGGCCTCTCAAAGTACTGGGATTACAGGCGTGAGCCACCCTGCCCGGCCTCAATTAAATATTATGTAACTGATGAGATATGAGTGAGACATGAGAGCTTGTTTTTAAGAAAATGAATGCTTTCAAAGTCAAGTCACTACGAAAACTTGTTTCGAAGTAGATGAGAATATTAAGTCAACTGTAAAATATGGGGGAAAGAATTCTGTACTTGGATTGTTTATGGGCATTTTAAAATTTAAACTCCATTTTAAAGAAACCTAATCTGGAATTCTTATGCCCATAGTTTATGCAAGAAAACTCTAAATTCTCACGGTTGAACACTAGTTAAATCACTTCTGGCCCTAAATGAGAAGATTGGGAAATAACTTTTTTTTACACGTTTTGGGTATAAAGTGCACATGGTATTTTTGAACACTCTTTTATTAATCTCCACTGTCATTCTTGTTTGACCACCTGCCACTCCCAAGAATGCCAGGTCAGAGGGGTCCAAATGTGTTTACTGTACAGTGTTTCTTTCACTTAAAGAAGGTAAGGACTGCAGATGAACAGATACGAAGGTTTGTATTACCAACTGCACCTGCATAAAATTGGATAACTAAAAATGATTTACTGGATGATTTGAGACACTCAAAAGTTTGAAACTCAGTTGTTTTTTTTTAGTGAAGGTCATTTAAAGTGCCTGGAAAATGTAGAATACTAGATATATACTCTGAATAGAACTTAGCATCATATATTACATTGTTATTCACTTGTTTTAATTATTATTTTAGGCTGGGCACGGTGGCTCACGCCTGTAATCCCAGCACTTTGGGAGGCTGAGGTGGGCGGATCACAAGGTCAGGAGTTCAAGACGAGTCTGGCCAACATAGTGAAACCCCGTCTCTATTAAAAAATACAAAAAAATTAGCCGGGTGTGGTGGTGTGCGCCTGCAATCCCAGCTACTTGGGAGGCTGAGGTGGGAGAATCACGTGAACCTGGGAGGTGGAGGTTGCAGTGAACCAAGATTGCGCCATTGCACTCCAGCCTGGGCAACAGTGTGAGACTCCGTTCTCAAAATAAATAAATAAAATAAAAATAAAAATAAATAAAAATTAAAAAAGGCCAGGTGTAGTGGCTCACATCTGTAATCTCAGCACTTTGGGAGGCCAAGGTGGGGTGGATCACAAGGTCAGGAGATCCAGACCATCCTGGCCAACATGGTGAAACCCTGTCTCTACTAAAAATACAAAAATTAGCTGGGTGTGGTGGCAGGCACTTGTAATCCCAGCTACTTGGGAGGCTGATTCAAGCAGGAGAATTGCTTGAATCCAGGAGGCGGAGGTTGCAGTGAGCCGAGATCGCACCACTGTACTCCAGCCTGGCGACAGAGCAAGACTCTGTCTCAAAAAAAATAATAATTATTATTATTTTATTAGTAAGATTAGCATTTTATACTTTTTCTCCTCTTAGGAACAAAGATTAATTTGAGTAGGATGTTAACACATTTTGAGAAATTTGAGTTATTGTAAGGAAATGTTTGTTGTGCAACCTATTTTCTTCATTTAAACAATATAAAGACAGTAGATGAATACATAGCATACCTTCAGAAACAGCATGTACATATATAATTGAAATATTATTTTTCTGTATAATTTATCATTTGAAACATTTTCTTTCAACTGCTGTGAGAACACTGTCAGGTAGAAGAAGAAAAAGCTTAAGGTTTATTCTTACCGAACCTGTGTTTACTAGAAGTCCTAGATAGATAGATAGGTAGGTAGATAGATAGCCTAGGTAGGCCTGATAGGTAGGCAGGCTAGGTAGGTTAGGCAGGTTAGGTAGGTAGGTAGGCAGATAGGTAGATAGATAGTAAAAGGAAAAGGAAATCTGGGAGCCCAAGATCTTGAGTTAGTAGGTAGGCAGAAATAAGACCCCGGGACATGGCTATATCAAAGGTTTAATTAATATTGGGAATAAGGATGAGATGTTGCTTGTACAGCAGACTTGATGGACTTGTCCCTCAGGAAACCAGCCTAACACGTTCTCATCAGATCAGAAGACCACTGCGCTGCTCTCACCTCAGACTTCATCTCCTACCATGTGGGATGTGAGAAGCCACCTCCCTAATTTCTGAGTCCGAATCTCTGCCTTACACGCCGTGGAACTCCTCCATCATCTGGGTTTCTAGCTGTGCCACAGGCCTGAAAATATTAGCTTAGGTTTAAATTCAGTGAACTTAAGGGGCAGTCTACACACCACGGGGGCATCCCCTAGGGCCGGCCTGTCCTCGGCCTACTGCGTCGCTTTTCCTGTCGAGGGCTCGTCACACAGCCTTTCCACTTCCACGGGACAGTGGGGAAAAGGAGTTAGAGAGGGAGGAATCATATCCAGAGGCCTTCATTCCACCCCTGCCTCAGAACCCAAGTTGGGAGAGAGCTTTCAAGGCACGGAGACGTGGGAGAAGGCCCGGGGCTGGGGGCTGGCTTCTCGAGCTCTGGTGTGAAGACGCTGCCCACCTCTGCAAGAACCCGTTATCCAGCGGGGTGGGGACCTTGTGGGGAATATGGAGCTGCTGTAGGCAAGGACAGATAGCCTTATGGCTGTCCATCTGTGGCCAATGGCAGTATGTTTGTAACCTCACCACAATATTATTACAGAAAATTTGAGAAATAGAGAAGAGAAACATGCAGGTCCACAGTCTCTTACTTGCAATTCAAAAAGACATGAGGGTCTGAAACACAGTATGTTTATAATTCTTAAGGCAGCAAGATCATCTTAGCTGCACACGCCTGAGACTGTATTTAGTGTTTATTCCATTTTGTGTGAACAGTGTTATATTTTACTGCAGAAACACAACTATGGCAAAAGGGTGCAATTCTAGACCATGCCCAGGCGGTTCTGCAGTAGGGTGTACATGTGTTATATGTTATTTGTACATTGTGTGGCATTTCCAAAATCCAAACACGTCTTAATTCTAAAACATTTCTGTTCCCAAGGTTTCGGATACGGCCTTATATACCTGCACATAATCCACAGTTCACACGGTGGTTTTTTGTTGGTTTGTTTGAGACTGAGTCTCGCTCTGTCACCCAGGCTGCAGTGCGGGGGCGCAATCTCGGCTCACTGCAGTCTCTGCCCCTCGTCTCATGCCTCAGGCTCCCGAGTAGCTGGGATGACAGGCACCCACCACTAGCCCAGCTAATTTTTGTATTTTTAGTAGACACGGGGTTTCACCATGTTGGCCAGGCTGGTCTCGAACTCCTAACCTCAGGTGATCTGCCCACCTTGGCCTCCCAAAGTGCTGGGATTACAGGCATGAGCCACTGCACCCTGCCAACACAATGGTTTTGATGTGTTTACACATAGGGTCTTTTCTCCCCTTGCTTCTTTACTTTTATATAATAGTAAACATCATGTACGTACATGTCTCCACGGCATCCACTTGCCTCTGTCCTCAGCTCAGTGGCCTTCGTAGTGCTGGTGCCTCAGCTTGTCACCACTAGCTAGTCCTTTCAGTAAGTCCAAAGCAACTACATTTCTACTGACTCCTCCGTTTACAAGAGTCCCAGGCACTGCTGGAGGGTGTAGTCTCTTAAGGTCCAGGGGTCACGTTGGGGTGTACCTGTCTCCTATAGCCAAAAGTTTGGGCCAGGACTAGTGAGGATGCAGCTTGTGCAAAGACTAAAACACCATCAGGCAGCTTTTCCAAAGCACAGAAATGGCTGGAATCCACCTGCCCCATGCCCTTAAGAGCACTGAGGTAGGCTGGAGCCCAGCCTTTTCTCTTGTCCTCTCTGCCCACCACTTTCTGGGCCTCTGACTGATGCCTGGATTTTTAAAATTAGTATTTAAAATGTTAATAGTTTTTTGCATATAGGTCATAGACACTTATCTGAGGTTATTCCCACATAGTTTATATTTTTGTGTTATTACAAATGAGCATTCCTTGCCCAGTGTACTTTCTCACTGGCTATGAAAGATATGCTTTTCATTTTTGTTCATTTATTTCATACCCTGCCACTCTCCTGAGCTAATCATATCAGGCAGCCTTTAAGCTGATCCCTTTGGATTCCCAGAGATCCAATCATCATGTACAAGAAAGATAATTATGCTTCTTTTTAAAATATATCTTGCTTGTTTTGTGTTTTATTTTTTGTCCAGAACTTCTCAAATGTGACTGCATAATAATGGTGATACCACGACTCTTTGTTTTGTTTTTCATTTCAGTTAGACTACTGCATTTTCCTCTCTGAATGTAACTTCTCTCTGTCTTGCTCTAAATTGAAATCTGTATCTTCCCTGAGAAAGACACAACTTCCCCTGAAGATAAGGCTGCAGACACCTTGAGCTTGACAGTATAAGATGATGTTATTTCTTTATCTCCCCCCCCCCCTCCCCGAGACAGAGTCTTGCTCTGTCACCCAGGCTGGAGTGCAGTGGCACGATCTCAGCTCACTGCAACCTCCACCTTCCGGGTTTGAGCAATTCTCCTGCCTCAGCCTCCCGAGTAGCTGGGATTACAGGCGCCTACTACCGCACCCAGCTAATTTTTGTATTGTTAGTAGAGACGGAGTTTCACCTTTTTGGCCAGGCTGGTCCTGAACTCCTGACCTCCTGATCTGCCTGCCTTAGCCTCACAAAGTGCTGGGATTACAGGCATGAGCCACCGCGCCTGGCCTGGGATGATGTTACTATACATTCAGTTTGTCCAAGGACATGGGGAGGTGGGGTGACAAGCAACGTTAATGGGGCTGCAAATGAATATTTTATAAAAGATTTATCTGGTTTTTCTGTTCAGTGTGGCTCTCATACTCTAGGACAGAGGTCAATTTAAATTTTGGTTGTGACAGATTTTTTTCAATTCTCTTTGCGACCCTGATTTTGTCAATTCTTTTTATGATTTATGTCACACTTGGATAGTGATGAGCAATTATCACATACTTTAAGGAATTCTACTCATGTATTTTACTAGCTGACCTCCGGGGGTAAATCATCCCGGAGTGTATTTATAACTGTAACAGTATCGGCTCCAGAGAAGACCCGGCAGCTGTAACTGCCAACAAGGTTTCCCCATTGGGAACAGAACAAATAGACGTGTGGGCCCACACAAACGGCGGGAAGATTTTGAACGTATCAGTGTTTCTTAGCCTGTTTTATTTGATCACAGAATACATGGTAAATCAGAGAAAAATAAAATCAAAAGCTACTGGACTCTTTCATCCCGTGCTTGCCACAGCTTATCTGGTCATAAAACACATCCTGTCTTTCCCCACACTTTTCCTCTCTTCAGGGCCTGATGGTGTAAATCTGCCACACCCAAAAGGAAGGGGTGGGAAAAAAGCACTTTTGTTTTAAACACACAAACGGACCTAGCTGAAAGGGGCGGCGGGGGACGGGGGGCGGGGAGGGGGATGCAGGGCGGAGTGGGAAGAACAGAAAGCTACTGCCTGAATCAGTATTGTCTTTTGAGATCTCAGTAAGTTATTCTCTTCTAATTTTTCATCATATATGTGTAGATGGTGTTTCCAATTACTATATGAACACTATGGGGTTTTTAAAAAACTACTGTTAGGCAATAGTAATGAAAGGAAAAATAACAATAAACACGGGTTTGAGGGTTTGCCGGGGAGGCTTATTTATCTCTGTTTTCTTGGGCACTAGGAACATTATCTAGTATGAAAGGAACTTCAGTGTTGAACCTCAATTTTAAAAGAACTTTAAATACAGCTATTCATTATTTCATTTCAACATTGGATTAGGCCAACTATTAAGTGTCAAAAGAGCCAGTCAGAAGCATCAGCAAATGTAATTAATTTTAAAAACCCAGAAACTTTAAACACTTGGCCCATTGAAAGTTAAATGGAATGTCTAGGCTCCTATTTATATGACATAGTCTAGGGTGGTGTTTTAGTCTGTTCCTCCTTCTATAACAAAATTCCTTAGTTGGGTAATTTATAAACAATCGAAATTGATTTCTCATAGTTCTGGAGGTTGGGAAGTCCAAAATCAAGGCACTGGCAGATTCAGTGTCTGGTGAGAGCTTTCAGGACAGTGCCTTGTTGTGTCCTCACATGGCAGAAGGCAGAATGGCAAAAGAGTGAGCTCTCTGCATCTAACCCTTTCCTAAGGGCACAAATCCCATCCTTAAGAGCAGAACCCTCCCGTCACTCCCCAGGGCTCCACCTCTTAATACCATCACCTTAGGGGGTTAAGTTTCAACATGTGAACTTTGGAGGGACACACACTCTAAGCATAGCAGGTACTGTGTCAGGACTAGGACTCAGCATATAGTTGTACTCATGGGCAACAGTTATTACAGCAAAGGAATACACAACAAGATTAGCAACAACAACAAAGGCACAGGTGGAATCTGAAGAAATCCACGCCCAGGCTTATGTTCTCTCCCTTCCATGAGGAAAAACACGGCGCACCTGCCTGTCTCCAGTAGTGAAGAATGCAGGGACATGGGCACAGTGTTTGTCCCAAAGGAAGCCCGGAGGGATGTTTTTGTTGGGGGCAAGTCATGTAGGCATCCTCTGCCTAGCAGCTACCAAAATGACAGAATTCCACAAGGAAAGCAGATAGTCACCACAAATCACATTGTTTATGCAACAGTTTAAACACAGCAAAACCAGTCTTACCAGTTAGGGGATGGAAGTGCCAAGTTCCTGATGTCAGCCAAATGCCAGCCTTGCCAGTATGCCCTTGTAAAGATGGCAGCCTCGGGCCTGCCGTGGTAACTGTTTTCTGCACAGGCACACAACCCACAAACGACACTAACATACTTAAGACACATTTTGCAGCAGCAGTGTGTTTTTGGAGATGGGGTCTCACTCTGTCACCCAGGTTGGAGTGCAATGGCACAGTCATAGCTCATTGCAGCCTCAAACTCCAGGGCTCAAGGGATCTTCCCCCCTCAGCCTCCTGAGTAGCTAGGACTATAGGTGTGCACCACCACACCTGGCTAATTTTTTTATTTTTAATTTTTTTGGAAGGACAGGGCCTCACTACGTTGCCCTGTCTGGTCTTGAACTTGTGGCCTCAAGTGATCCTCCCACCTTGATCTCCCAAAGTTCTGGGATTACAGGAATGAACCACCACACCCAGCCTGAATACAGTTAGATGGTTCAGAGCACAAAGTTTAAATGCAAGGTTGCCTATAAAAGATTTAATATACATACTTCAAAACACAACTACTGAGGTGAAAGTATAACAAATGATGAGGGAAGAATGATCTTTTCAACAAACAGGTACTGGGCAAATGGATATCCACATGCAAAAGAACTGATTTGGACCTTTCCCTCATACACAGAATGAACTCAATGGATCAAAGACCTAAATGTAAGAGTAAATATAAAACTCTTAGAAGAAGGCACAGGGGTAAACTTTTGTGACCTTGGATTAGGCAATGGTTTCTTTTAGATGTGACACCTAAAGCACAGGCAAGAAAAGAAAAAATAGAAAAACTGGACTTCATTAAAAATAAAAGGTTTTGGGATCAAAAGAAACTGTTAAAGAAAAACATCCACACATTGGGAAAAAATTGCAAATTATACACTGGTATGAGACTAGTATGTAGGATATATAAAGAACTATTATAACCCAACTGGAAAATGGGCAAAAGCTTTGAATAGACATTTACAAATACAAATGCAAAATGGGTAAGAAGCACAGGAAAAGATGCTCAACATGATTTTTCATTAGAGAAATGCAAATCAAAACAACAATGAGATAGCGCTTCACATCCACTAGGATGGTGATAATAAAGATAGGCAACAACAGGTGTTGGTGAGGATGTAGAACCTTATACACTATTGGTAGGGATGTGAAATGGTACAACCACTTTGAAATACAGATTGGCAATTTCCCAAAATGTCAAACATAGAATTACCATATGACCCAGCAATTCCACTCCTAGGTACATACCCAAGAGAATTGAAAACATGTATCCTCACAAAAACTAGTACGCAGACGTTTGTTGCAGCACTATTCATAATAGGCCAAAGCTGGAAACAATCCAAGTGCTTATCAACTGATGAACAGATTTTTTAAAAATCCATATAATGAAATGTTAATCATCCATAAAAAGGAATGAAATATTGATACATGCAACAAAGTACATGAATGTTGTAAACATTATGCTAAGTGAAAGAAGCCAGACATAAAAGGCCACATATTCTATGATTCCATTTATATAGAATATCCAAAATAGGCAAATCCATAGAGACAGAAAGTAGATTAGTGTTTGCCAGGAACTGAAGGGAGGAGAATGGGGAGTGGCTGCCGATGCTACAGTGTTTCTTCTGGATGATGAAAAGGTTTTGGAATTCCATAGCGGTAATTATTGCACAACTTTGTAATTATATTAAAAACCTCTGAATTGTACACTTTAAAAGGGTGAATTTTATGGTATGTGAATTATATATCAATTTGTAAAAAGTGTAACAAATGGATTAACATAAATGTTAATTCAGGAAATCAGAAGTATAAAGATGCAGGATGAGCCATACAATAATTTCCTCACATTCTTCTGAGGAACAGACTGAAGCCCCCCAAAACAGCTGTAGTTTCCTGTCCCTCTTTGGAAATAGCCAGGACTCTTCAGCCTGAATTAGAGGCTGTCTCATACTTGTCATAGTCAGGACAACTAAAAACTTTTTACTAGGACTCCTGAAAAGTCAGCCTAATTGAATGGGTGATTTATATTCAGAACTCAAATGAACCAAGCAGTCTTCCCATAAATTACTCAAACTACCAGAAATCTAAATCAGCAATTAATTTAAAAAGGGATTTTGTGCCCAATCACTTGGAAACTATTTGGCAGTATCTACAAAAGCTGACTATGCATAGTCATTGACCCAGTAACTACTACTACTATGTTTATCCGCAACAAAAACATGTATAAATTTTCAGGAAAAAGCAGGCCCAAGAATGTTCCTAATCGTCCAAAACAGAAGCTACCCAAAGTCCATCAAGTAGAAAAGATAAATTGTGATATATTCACACAATGTAATACAACAATATGAAGGAAAAAAATTACAACTAACACAACAAAATGGATGAATCAATGTCAAGGGAAAGAAGCTAGACACAAAATATTACACACTGTATGATTCCATTTATATAGTGTAAAAAACAAGAAAAAGTAACTTGTGCCATTACAGGTGCATATAGGATTTACACTTGAGTTCATGTAGTGACTAGAAGGGAATACAACAGGACTTCCAAAGTGCTGGTAAGGATCTCTTTCTTGATCTGAGAGCTAGTTACATGGATGTGTTTGGCTTGTGAAAATCTATCAAGCTGTAAACTTACATATACATTTCTGTATCTTTCATTTACTTCAGTAAACAGTTTTTAAATGGATTGCTTTAATGGCAGACTAGATGTGGCTAAAGAGAGAATTAATAAAAAGGGAGAGATTACTGAAGAGATTACCCAGAGTGTGTCAGAGAGAAAAAAAACGATGGAAAATCTGAAAGGCAAATTTAAGAGACATGAGGAGAAGGTCTTATCAAAATGCTGGAGAGAAAAATGAAATAGATTGGGGCCTCTGAAGAGCATGGTGGGTTGACTTGTGTTTCCAACCAAAGATATATCTGAGTGCTAACTCCTGAAACCTGTGAATGTGAACCTCTTTGGAAATAGGATATTTTACATGTAATCAAGTTAAGAGGAAGTCATGTTGGATTAGGGTGGGTGCCAACTCCAATGACTGGTGTCCTCATAAGAGGGAGGAGAGGACACACAGAGATAGAGGAGACATGAAGGGAAGGCCATGTAAACACAGAGGCAGAGGTTGAGTTGTGCAACTACAAGCCTAGGAACACCAGACATCACCAGAAACCACCAGAAGCTGGTGGGGAATGCTTAGGATGATTTTTCCCTAGGGCCAGAGGAAGCATGGCCCTGCCAACACCTTGATTTTGGACTTCTAGGCTCCGGAACTGTGAGAGAGGAAATTTCTGTTCTTTTAAGCCACAAAGTTTTTGATATTTTGTTTTAGCGGCCCCAGGAAACTAACAAACACAAATAAATTATCCCTGAGAATGTTTGGGAGCTAATAAAAGACGCCAATCCAAGACAGGAAGCTAAAAATTCCCAAAACATAATAAATATCTAGTCAATCCAATAAATACCCAGTAAATCCATCAAAAAGGCAATATTTATTGTATTGCCTGGACACGGTGACTCACTGCGGTAACCGCAGCACACTGGGAAGCTGAGACAGGAGGATTGCTGGAGCCCAGGAACTTGAGACCAGCCTGCATAACATGGAGACCCCATCTCTACAAAAATTTTAAGGAATTAGCTGGATGTCATGGCATATGCCTGTAGTCCCAAGTACTTGGGAGGCTGAGGTGGGTGGATCACCTGAGCCCAAGAGGTTGAGGCTGCAGTTGAGAGCTATGATTGTACCAATGCACTCTTCTAGCCTGGATGACAGAGTGAGACGCTGTCTCAGAGAGAGAGAGAGAGAGAGAGAAGTGCGCAGGTGCTGGGACACGCCAGCTGTTCTGCTTACCTGTCCTTAACTAGCCCTGTGGCCTTGGGCAAGTTACTTAACTTCCCCACTGTCCCTTGGTTTCCCCATACGTTAAACGAGCCTCATAATGAACCTTATTTCGTAAAGTTTTGTCGGCGCTGCCTAGAAAGCCTTACAACAAAGGTCAATACTTGGCATTTAATAAGAGCTCAGTAAATCTTTGATTTAGTTTTCCAAACATCTCCAAAACTTCTTTTAAGCTACAGCAGCAAAAACCATGTGCAGTCTTCTAACCACAAAAGGCAACATGAGTTTTAAACAAAGTAAGGTATTGTTTTCTGATTTGTTTCATTTCTGATGCCCTTCCTGAATATGCCAGTTTTTTCTTAGCCTTTTTGGATAAGTAGCATATTGAGTTAATGTCTTCAATGAAAATAAAACTTCCACATCCAATCTTTCAGTCATAAATGAGTGCTATCTGCACCATCCGATAGGGATTGTTTTTCTTCTTAATACCTTACCTAATATTGCTTCACCCTAAGTAAAGCTCATTGGGAAATTTCATATTCACTAAAGGCAACCATAAGATTTGGGGAATCATATAATCAAGAATTGTATATATCTAAAAAGGAACATTATAAAATCCTTTAATGCAGACCACTTATAGTCCAACTTAAAGATGAGGAAATTGACTCTTAAAAAGATTAAATGACTCTTCCAAAATCACAAAGATAATTCAGTGATTTTTTTCCCCTACTAAATGTTCCTTTTTTCTGCACTTCATTCTCACTTAAGCAATTTATTGTCTAAAATAGCATCATGGAATGATATAAAAATGCAGCTTTCCAATCACACTAAGGGTCTCTCTATTTCTTCTCTTGACCACCAATCAGGAACCTTTGCTGGAAGCTTGTTTCTGATTGGTGAAAGTAAGCCATAACAGTGGAATGCCAAGGAGTAAATACAAAAGTGTAGCAACAACTGAGTTTGCTGTCTCACTACCCTCAGCCTAGGCCAACCTGGACTCCTTCACCCCAAATGAGGTGACCGCTACATTTTATATGAAGACACTGATTTACCATTCAACTGTGATCCATCTTATAACATGGCAATCCAATACAGACAGGAAGATAAAACTCAACAACAGCTAAAATAAAGTGTATTCCCAGGTAAAATAGACAAGTGCTTTAATTTGAAATGGATTCGTCCGATGAGTGTCAGTTACAAGGGCAGAGAAGGTACCAGTGCAGAAGAGCTCTGACTGTGGGCAGTGTCACCAGGTCCCACTAAGTGGCAACACTTGTGCTGGGTGACTTGACCCATCTTGATGTATAAACCCATAGCCAGACAGGACGTGCAAACAGGTCTCATGGTGAATGCGATGCTGTGGAAAATGACATGGAGAATGGCTGTCTCTCAGCTAGGGAGGAGGGTCTTGGTGTCCTAGTAAAGAATGTTCACGTCCTGGAGTTGGTGGTTGGTGTTCTATCTAGGCGATGAGAGAAGGATGCTTTTCCTAATGAGCACCTGGTGGGAATAGAGTCTCTCTTTGCACTTCGCTGGAGGAAGAAATTTCTACCACTTATTTTTTCTTCTTGCTTATAGAATACACATTGCAGAAAAAGGATGAAGTTGACCAGTGAAAAGTTGCCCAAGAACCCCTTTTATGCCTCTGTATCTCAGTATGCTGCTAAAAACCAAAAATTTTTCCAGTGGAAAAAGGAAAAGACTGGTACAAATCCTGATATTTAAGCTTCCCTTGGAAAACACTTTAACAGTTCATTTTGCATGCTAGAGCAAACGAGACAAGAAATAATGTGTTTTATTGATTTCAAGGAAGTGGTTAATCATTAGTCCTTTTGAGTTTTCCCGCAAGAATCTGTGAAATTGCTCATTTATCTGGTAGCAAATCGTCAGTGAGGTCTCACAGATAGTTAGGTCTTGATTTTACTCTCAGGACTTAAGGACATGCTTCTAGAAAACAGAAAGCAGATGTCACGTTTGTTAAAGAGAACAATGCCAGGCTTGACTTGCAATTATTATTTAAATACCTTATCTTCCCTAAAGTCTTAAAAATGTTATATTAGGGATGGGTTGCTCATTTGGTTAGAGGAACTCTCATTAAGGCTCAAATTAAGAATTTAACTCACCTCTCCAGAGAGCTTTGCCCATTGAAGACAAACCAATGCATAGACTTATACCCAGCCCTGCACTGTTAGGGCTCTACTTGGCCATGAGCAGGGTTAGTGTGAAACCAATCAACAAGTATTGTTTGTTGTTGTTGTTGTTGTTTTGAGATGGAGTTTCGCTCTTGTTGCCCAGGCTTGAGTGCAGTGATGCAATCTTGGCTCACCGCAGCCTCCGCCTCCTGGGGTCAAGCTATTCTCCTGCCTGAGTCTCCCGAGTAGCTGGGATTATAGGCATGCACCACCACGCCCTGCTAATTTTGCATTTTTAGTAGAGACGGGGTTTCTCCATGTTGGTCAGGCTAGTCTTGAACTCCCAAACTCAGGTGATCCACCCGCCTCGGCCTCCCAGAGTGCTGAGATTTACAGGCGTGAGCCACCGCGCCCGGCCAGTATTGCTTTATTACACAAGGCACAGTGTTAGGGCCTGTGACCATGACGTTTTTTCAGGTAATATTTCTTCCTTGAGCTAAGGAGGCCAGTTGTAGGAATGAGCACTAGAAAGCAAGAATGTCAACAGTGTTAGATGGATTTTATATGATTCATTACTTCAAGAGAGAAAATTCATATTGTGTGGTTGATGGAATTCCTTACCTTTTTAAAATCAGATTACACCCATGCTAATTTGGTGGATAAGGCATTGCAGCTCTTGAAGGAAAGAATACTGAAAGGAGACACTCTGGCATATTTCCTACGAGGTCAACTATATTTTGAAGAGGTATCATTTTTTGTTTATTCGTTTTCATTTCCTGTAATTCTGTTGTTAGATCCTCAGACAAAAATTTCATGTAGAGTTTCTTACTGTGTTATACTAGGGAAATTCTGTCCAATTACATCGACTATGGCTGTGGCTTTAACAGTAGGATACAGTGCTGCCAGCTTGAGGAGCTACCTGACTTTTCTTCATAAAATCCATGTCATGAAAGCCATTTATGGGAGTCGTTTTAGTATAAAATCCATTTCACACTATAGATTAAAAATCAAATTTTTATATTTTTGCTCAAAATATTTAATAATACAAATTATATTATCAGGCCGGGTGCGGTGGCTCACGCCTGTAATCCCAGTACTTCGGGAGGCCGAGGCAGGTGGATCACCTGAGGTCAGGAGTTGTAGACCAGCCTGGCCAACATGGCTACACCCCATCTGTACTAAAAATACAAAAAAAAAAAAAAAAAAAAAAGTAGCTGGGCATGGTGGCACACATCTGTAATCCCAGCTACTTGGGAGGCTGAGGCAGAGAATCGCTTGAACCCAGGAGGCAGAGGTTGCAGTGAGCTGAGATCGTGCCACTGCACTCCAGCCTGGGCCACAGAGCGAGACTCCCTCTCAAAAAAAAGTATGTTTGTATTACCAGGTATCTTCATATTAATAATAATTGAAGCCTTGATTTTTATCTAGTACTTAGGGGAAGCTTTAGTTGTTCCTGGATAGCATAGGAGGAAATCGCCCTCTTTCTCCACATCTTGTTGGGGTGGCCTGGGAAGTAGACTGAGGAATGGCTATGCCAGCTGTCCCCTCAACTTCAGTAATGTAGTTTCGGTTTTTCATTGACTTCCCCGGGAAGACTTGAAAAGGGACTGACTGTCTTTCACCATTTGTTGACTATTTGGGCAGCTGTTCACCTATATCCCACTTACTCTCTCACTTTTCGATGGCACCTTCGTCTATCCTGGCAACAAATGTTTGCTGAGGGCTCATCGTGCGCCTGTTACTCTGAGGATGGCAGAGCACCATGGCTGAGAGCATGCTTCCTCAGCGTGGGGCATGGGTTCAGATATGGCTGCATTGCTTGTTAACTGTGTGTTTAACTTGGGCACAAACACTTGACCACTTGGTGCCTTTGGGATTACTTTAAGATCATAATAAAAATAATTAAATATCTTCTGGGTGCTTCTAGGGATGGTATGAAGAAGCATTAGAACAGTTTGAAGAAATCAAGGAGAAAGACCATCAAGCAACTTACCAGCTAGGAGTGATGTACTATGATGGGCTGGGGACCACTCTAGACGCTGTAAGTTAATGTCTTGGTCACAGTGGTTAAGATTTCATTGTCAGTGGATTATTGGACACAATTAAAATTATTTATATTTTAATACATATATATATACATATATATATATATATATATATATATATTTTTTTTTTTTTTTTTTTTTTTTTTTTTTTTTGAGACGGAGTCTCGCTCTGTCGCCCAGGCTGGAGTGCAATGGCGCGACCTCGGCTCACTGCAACCTCTGCTTCCCGGGTTCGAGTGATTCTTCTGCCTCAGCCTTCACAGTAGCTGGGATTACAGGCACTGCCACCACGCCTGGCTAATTTTTGTAGTTTTAGTAGAGACAGGATTTCACCATGTTGGCCAGGCTCTACTAAAAATACAAAAATTAGCCAGGCATGGTGGTGCATGCTTGTATTCCCAGCTACCTGGGAGGCTGCAGTGAGCCAAGATCATGCCACTGCACTCCAGCCTGGGTGACAGAGCAAGACTCTGTCTCAAACAAACAAAAACCAAAATATATTTGATTGTCCAATATTATTTTCTTCTTTTGGGTGATGTTTGAAGGTTTGTGTCTGATGGATTTGGGGGTGGAGGGTACAGATCTGTTCTTGCTAGTGGTTAGAATATCTTCTATGCTTTCCTTGTGACCACGTAGCAGATGTCGTATTAGTGCATAAGATTTGTATATTAGATACAAACTATGAGCACACAGTAAAAGTATGCTTGAATGGAAGACGGTGTTTGTTAGGGGCTCGCAAGTGTATCGTAAGAATTATAAATGTGAAAGCTGTTCCTGGCCATTCTTCCACTTTAGCCAGTTCTAAGAACTGTGCTGATTCAGGATAAGGGTTATTAGATGGGAGGGAGGAGAGAAAAAAGGAAGCCCATATCGAGACTTAAATCAACTCAGGCAGCTGTAAAAGGAAGGAAATTTCTTATATCCCAGAGCTCCTGGGAGTGCCTGAGTAGGAGATGTACTTTTAGAGATTCTTTTCCTCCTTATCGCTTGCCCTGCAGAATCCAGGACAATTGTACCCCTTGGGCACAGATTCATAGTATTATACATCGTGTCAGAGGGCGGACACTTCACAGCCTTATTGGGAGAAAGAAATTCAGTTTGGGTAAAACTAAAAACTAGGGTTTTTTTGCTCTTTCTTTTGTCGAAGGAGAAAGGGGTGGACTATATGAAGAAAATTCTTGATTCTCCATGTCCCAAAGCAAGACACTTAAAATTTGCAGCTGCTTACAACCTCGGAAGAGCTTATTATGAAGGAAAAGGTGTTAAACGATCAAATGAGGAAGCTGAAAGGTAATCCTACCTGAGAACAAGATTAGGTTTGAAGGAAATGCTGAAACCGAGAATAACATGCCTCACTTTCTCTTGTAGACTGTGGCTTATCGCAGCAGACAATGGAAATCCCAAAGCTAGTGTGAAGGCTCAAAGTATGCTCGGGCTGTATTACTCAACCAAGGAGCCCAAGGAGTTAGAAAAGGTAACGTTCCCTCTTTTTTAATGCTAGTGTTATATTTAGATTAATATTTGTTTCACTGCTTTTTTTGAGAAAATGGTGGGGAATGTCGTTTTAAATATCTCTTATAGTTCCTTTAAATGTAAAGAAAGCATACATTTTAGGATCTCAAAGCCCTTTTATTTATAAATGTCCCCTTCCCTACCTCTACCGAAGGAAACCATGAATGTGAGAGTATTTTGTATACTATAGTATCAAAGCTAAAAGAAGAGAAACAGTCCTGAAATTACAGCCAAAATCCTTCTAAGCATGAACAGATGAATATTACCGTTGACTTGAGAAATTGATACTAATAAGTAAAATATACCAAGAATTAGTTACAAATAAAATCCATCTAAGATTTTCACAGAAATATAATCTCTTTCATCAATGGTTGAAACAGTTTCCAAAAAATCCTATAAGGAGAAGGAAATGGGGGCTGAGTCCTACTTGTGAGAGAGGAGTTAATGGCAAATTTGCAAGAGACACATAACAACTAAGGCCATCTTTGGATAGATAAGCAGCCATCTGGAATTTTTTAAATGAATTCAAATTCACTGTAGCAGAGTATGAGGCAAATGTGCTTGAGCCTACATACAGCGTTTATCCTGGGTTGTCTTTGATCGCAGCAGCTGCTATCTCTAGAATCCACCGGGAGCTCGAACTCTCCCTTAGCATCAGTGGTTTCCCCTCCTCTGCTGTGCCTCACGCCTTTCAGACACTGAGTTCCTATTTGGCATCTTCCTGATCCTTACTCTGAAGATCCCCAAATCCTGAAACCTAGGACAGCTGGTCTTCCTCTGCCATAAGCTGCCTGGACTGTGATCTCACCTGCACTGTGGACAGACAGCGGAGGAACTCGCCTCCACACTGTGTTAGGCATGTGTGCTAGTGTGAAATGCGTCCAAAGGCCTACCGCTCTTTCCTAGAGATGATTAATAGTGCTATCTAGGAAACACAGAGTTCTTTTCTGTCTAGTATTCCCTTATAATTTCATCTAGTGGATCACAAATACAATGATGAAACTGTGCTTTTCTTAGGCATTTTACTGGCATTCCGAAGCATGTGGCAATGGGAATCTGGAGTCCCAGGGTGCACTTGGGCTCATGTACTTGTATGGACAAGGCATCCGGCAGGATACGGAAGCTGCCCTGCAGTGCTTAAGAGAAGCAGCAGAACGCGGAAACGTCTATGCTCAAGGGAATCTCGTGGAGTATTACTATAAGATGAAATTTTTTACAAAGTGTGTTGCATTTTCCAAAAGGTGAATGTCTTTGTCTGTTCTGTGCTGCTGTAACAGAATATCACACACTAGGTAATTTATGAGAAACAGAAATTTATTTCTCACAGTTCCAGAGGCCAGGAGAGGGCTGCAACCTCCAGAGGGGAGGACCATCATGTCCTCACGTGACAGCAGAAAGCTACAGGAAACCTCTTTTATAAAAAGGGCTTTAGTCCTATTCATGAGGGAGGTGCTCTCATGGCCTCGTCGCCTCTTAAGAGCCCCACCTCTTGATACGATCACACTAGCAACACTGGGATTTCCAAGGGAACTTACTAGTCAAACCATAGCAGTAATGTTTGAATAAACTGGATGAAAGTATTGATAAGAATGCCTACTACATGTTCTATGCCAAATCCTTCACAGAGCTTTCTGCAGTATTAGAAATGATAGCTATTGAGCACTTGAAATGTGTCTAATGCAACTTAGCACTAAACTTTTAAATTTTACTTAATGTAAATATTCATATGGCTGGTGGTTACCATACTGGATAGCACAATTCTATGCCATTAGCCTTCAGGATTTCAGTGCTACTAGCTGAAGCAAGTTTTTTAAGCAGCAATTGCCTTATCTGTAAGAAGAGAATACCTTTATAGCAGGATTATAATCATGTACTTAACACAGCTTGGCATGTCACACATTTATTACGTCTTCATTTCTTCCTGCACTCCTCGGTCATGCAGTTCTATAACTGCACCACTGAAATACAGCTTCATAACAACTGTAACATGAGAATATGGTTAAAAGACTGACACTATATCTAATAAAATATAAAAGACGTCTTTTCTCGGAGTCCGTAAGGCTCCATGTACTTTCCTACACGTATTTACCCACAGTGTATAAAAGCAGTGGGTCGGGGAGACAGACCTGGGTGTACTCTAGAGTGGCCATCAGACTCTGCGTGTGCTGGTGTTTCCCAATCACACCCTTCCCACAGCGCCAGGTCTCCCCCCTCTCCGAGCCCTAGCTCAGGGCAGTCATCTACAAGAGAGGATGAAGGGAAGGAGGGGCTGCTTCTACCCCGCTTCCCCAGCGTCTCGGGCTCCAGGCAGCAGACCACTTACAGGAGTGATTGCCAGTGTCTCAAAGCAAGTGCCCATCTTAGTTAGAACTAAGACTTTAAATCATTCTTTAAAATCTTCGGCGCTTTCCCTTATTTTCCACATCCCTACTCCCTATGACATTGAGGTTAACATGGAGTTGACTGGATCACATTCTCACACAATTGTACATATTTGTGTCTGGGTATAAAGGATGACTTCTTTCCATTATCCTTTTTTTTTTTTTTTTTTTTTTTAGACGGAGTCTCGCTCTGTTGCCCAGGCTGGAGTGCAGTGGTGCGATCTCGGCTCACTGCAAGCTCTGCCTTCCGGGTTCACGCCATTCTCCTGCCTCAGCCTCCCGAGTAGCTGGGACTACAGGCACCCGCTACCATGCCCAGCTAATTTTTTGTATCTTTTTTAGTAGAGACGGGGTTTCACCATGTTAGCCAGGATGGTCTCAATCTCCTAACCTCGTGATCCGCCTGCCTTGGCCTCCCAAAGTGCTGGGATTACAGGCGTGAGCCACCGCGCCCAGCCAATTGTCTATTTTTAAAGAAGATGTGCTAGTGAAAGGGTTTTCTGGTCCTATGTGGCTAACGTCCAAACTGAAGGTTGATGTTTCCATACGTGATCCAAAGAAATAGAAAATGCTTTCTTCTCCGTTCAGTTTAAATCCACAAAGTGACATTAAACTTCCAGTAGTAATATTAGAAGAAAAAAGAAACATACCTTTGTTTTCCAGTGGTTATTGAGCCTGCTGAGCATAATTACAGAGACATGTGAAGTCACCACTCTGGGAAGCTCATCTTCTCCTGGTATGAGGTGCCTACATGGACCCTTCCCCACACAGCAAACAACTTAGTTCTCAAAGCAGTAGAGAGAAATCACTTCAGGCACAAGGACAGTCTCTAGGCGCATCGTTTTACAAACACTTACCATAACTGATGTCTTTTCCATTTCACAACTCTACATCCTCTCAGGATCGCTGACTATGATGAGGTTCACGACATCCCCATGATCGCCCAGGTCACAGACTGTCTCCCGGAGTTCATCGGCAGAGGCATGGCAATGGCATCCTTCTACCACGCAAGGTGTCTTCAGCTTGGCTTGGGCATCACCAGGGATGAAACAACCGCTAAACACTATTATTCTAAAGTAAGCTTTAGAACAAAATATAAATTCACCCAAAGAGAAACTGCCAGGCTTTTAGCTGCAACTTGAATAGTTTTACGGATTAGTGTTTTTTCTACTCAATTACTGTGCAGATAACCTCTGTCTACAGAGAAGCTGTCAGACATGCAGATTGTTTGCAGACAATTCTGTCAGAATCTTATTAGCATAATTTAGCTCCAATGATTAAAAGTCCTATTTTGATGCAAATTACTCTTTCATTCTGCTACTATCTGCAGCCTAAGGCCCAGCACCAAGACCTTAAAGCTGAACAGTTTTTCTTTCATCTAGAACAAGTGTGAATGTATACGTTCATTCTAGTACAGTAATGAAGTTTTTTATTCTAGTACAGAGTTTAAAGTTTTTTTGAGCGTGACATCTACCCCACTTAGGCGGGATATTTTTGAGTTTGAGGTAATCAGTTAAAATAAGTCTTTCATATTTTAATCCATGTGATCAATTTATTTAGATCCCAAATGCGTTTCACATCTCAAAGTAAATACTAAAAAGCAAGGGGTGTGGTAGTGGAGGGGGTGTAAGGGAGATCATTATGAGTACTAACTCTTAAGTTTAGATTTTTTTTAAAAAAAGAAAAACCAAAAAGCTGTGCACATCTTAGGTCCATCACATCCACGAGTCAGAATTACATCATAGCAGACTTGGTAGAGCAGTGTTTGTGGAACACAGATTGTTCAGCCTGAGTGGGGGAGTCTTCTGAGTCCCTTGGCTGACTCTGATATTACAGCAGTGGTTCCCAAGCTTCTCTGCATGTTAAAATCACCCGAGGATCTTTTACAAATTCCAAAGTTCAGGCCTTATTTCAGAAAATTTCAATCATGGTCTCTAGGAGACAGAAGCGTATTTGTTGAAGTTCCCTGTGGGATTCCAATGTCAGGTAAGTTTGGGAACCCTAAATTACTTTAAAATTAAAACTTCCAGAGCATCAAAGCCATATTAAAACATAAACATAGACACATAGCACACAGCCAAATGCAACTGATCTTTAAGATATTTACCTCTACACCATTCTTAGCATGAATAACAGTTGTCTAACTTTTTTCATTTAAATGTTCTCTGTACTGGCCAGGCACAGTGGTTCATGCCTGTAATCCCAGCACTTCGGGAGGCTGAGGCAGGCAGATCACTTGAGGTCAGGAGTTCGAGACCAGCCTGGCCAACATGGTGAAACTGGGTCTCTACTAAAAATACTAAATAATCCTGTCTCTACTGAAAAATAAAATTAGCCAGGCATGGCAATGTGTGCCTGTAAACCCAGCTACTCGCGAGGCTGAGGCAGGAGAATTGCTTCAACCTGGGAGCAGAGGTTGCAGTGAGCCGAGATCACACCACTGCACTCCAGCCTGGGACTCTGTCTCAAAAAAAAAAAAAAAAAAAAAGCTCTCTGTATTACATCAATTTCCAAACCAAGCCGATTTCAGGTTCTATCCTATCCTTAATATCCTTAGAAAACTCTAGTCAAATATATTTTGAAATATACTATATAGTCATCCTGACTAGAACAACAAAAAAAGTCCAGGTACCGTGGCTCATGCCTGTAATCCCAGCACTTTGGGAGGCCGAGGTGGGAGGATTACCTGAGGCCAAGAGTGTGAGACCAACCTGTCCAATATGGCAAAATCCCATCTCTACTAGAAATACAAAAATTAGCCCATCATGGTAACGCATGTCCATAGTCCCAGCTACTCGGGAGGCTGAGGCATGAGAATCGCTTGAACCTGCAAGGAGGAGGCTGCAGTGAGCCGAGGCTGTGCCGCTGCACTCCAGCCTGGGCAACACAGTGAGACTCCATCTCAAAAAAAAAAAAAAAACAAAACAGATTCCAATCTGAGAACGATTTTCCATACGATGGGAGAAAATAGCCCCATTACTCTGCAACTAGGATACTGTACTCTAGGACTCTAGGATACACATCTAGAATACTGTACTCAGTTTAGGCCATTGTACATTATGGGGATACTGATAAAATGGAGATCATTTAGAGGCAGTAAACCAGTGAAGGGTCTGGAATGATATCATATGACGCATGATATGAGGAACAGAAATGGTCTCCCTCAGAGCAAAAGGACACAAGGTGTCCCGACAGCGGTGTTCACTGGACCGGCAGTGTCCCGCAGGAAGGGAACGGGTTGGGAGGGAGAGGCAGTGTCCCGCAGGAAGGGAACAGGTTGGGAGGGAGCAGAATCAGTGCCCATGGCAGGCAGTGTGTTATGGCAGAAGGTGAGGCAGTAAGATGGTAACTGGGACCTGGAGGCGACAGACCCAGGCCTGCTCTCGGCTCTGCCACCGTCAGGCAGGGTGACTCCCACTTCCTAGAGTGTTAGGTTTCTGTGAAACCAGCATTATGTATTCTGTTAGGACCCTTCGAGGATTCTGGAGTACATGGAGAGAAACACCAGCCTAAAATAAGGGAAAGTTTTCTTTTTTTTGAGACGGAGTCTGGCTCTGTTGCCCAGGCTGGAGTGCAGTGGCGCAATCTCGGCTCTCTGCAAGCTCCGCCTCCCAGGTTCACGCCATTCTCCTGGCTCAGCCTCCCGAGTAGCTGGCACCACAGGCGCCCACCACCACGCCTGGCTAATTTTTGTATTTTTAGTAGAGACGGAGTTTCACTGTGTTAGCCGGGATGGTCTCGATCTCCTGACCTCGTGATCCATCCACCTCGGCCTCCCAAAGTGCTGGGATTACAGGTGTGAGCTACCGCGCCCGGCCATAAGGGAGAGTTTTCTAACACAACAGTTCAGGAAACAAAGAAAAACACAAGTTTTCTCTGAAGGTGAAAACTTCTACATATGTAGAATGTGTAACTTCCTGCTACTGGAAGCAACCAAGCAAATACCTAGTGACCAACTGTCGTGGGTACTGAAGGGACAATTACTGCATAGAATGGGGTTTGGATGAGAGCTCTATATCCCAAATTGTTGACATTCTAGAAATTATGCACCTTGTCACTATTTAGACATAATAAAATTATTTTAGCTGTATATTTTAAAATAAAATTTTACAGATGCTGTTATTCACATAATGAGATCATAACAACTTTGAGGCCAAATGTTAATGCTCTCCATTTTACTTATTTTAATAATTCATAACATACAATGCTATCATTGGTGCTTAAGTTCCCTTTATTCTTGGCATTGATAAAATATCTCTTTCAAATGAGAATAACATGGTTATTTTGAGTATTGATCTATTCTGCATAGGTTAAAGTAGGACATCAGAATAGAAAGTATCTTAACAAATTTTCTTGAAATTCACTGTACTTTACTATTCTTAAAAATGAATCAAAAAAGAAAAAAAAAAAAAGAAGAAAGACCCAAACAATTAGAATGTATCTAAATATCTGACTCTTTTTGATTTTAAGGCTTGTCGTCTGAATCCCGCATTGGCAGATGAACTTCACTCCTTACTTATTCGTCAAAGAATTTAGACCACAATGTATTTCAACAAAGATCATCAATGCTAACACCTCACAATGTGTGTATTTTTACAGTAGCTATGTTTGGTTATTTTGCACATCACAAATTACACTATCCTGGGTATTTTACAGGTGACATGTTACTTCGTTCTTGAATTCGTACGCTGTTAAGTTTTGCAACTTGAAACCTAGACACAAGGTCAAATTGCTGGAAGAGTCCTCAGAGGTCCACCTCTTACCCTACAGACTGGCCGAGACCATATCAAGTATTAAAACCATTCTATACAGCAAGTATCGTTTATCCTTTCTTAAACACCGAGTCTCCAAAAATACTTAGTTTAGCTTTAGTTTAGTAAGTTCAGAAGTAGAAACAAACTTATTTAAAACCATCATTTGAAAGTTTAATTCTTTAAATTTGTCTCTTAGTTTTGTGAATTTTGAATAATAATGTTTAAATTTTGTTTCAGTCATTTAAAATTTAAATTTTCAGTCATTTAAAATTTTAAAAATTTAAAATTTCACAAAACTAAGGGTAAAAGACATTTAAAGAATTAAACTTAAATAAGTGTGTGCAGCATTTCTACTTCTGAAGTTATTAAAGCTAAAACTGCACTAAGCCTTTTGAGACATCCTTTATTCTTAAAAAGCTCATAAATAATTGGCTTATTACATATAAACTTCAAAAAAGTGGGTTATAAGACATTGCTTTAGAATCTTGCCCCTCCAAATCTTCCCTCAAAGATCTTAATGAGTAAAACAACTGCTACATACATATGCAGAATGTGTAATAAAACAAAAAGCAATTGCTATATGAAAATATTCGTAAGAAAAGTAAAGCAAATTGTTTCTTTGTGCTTCAGCTCATTTTCCATATTTTTAAAACCCTGTGGTAAAAGCCTCAATGAAATCATTTACAAGAACTACAATTAAATATTGTTAAAATTAGCAAAAGGCTTTCCGTATATAGATGACATCTATGAAGGCAAAAGGTGACAGTAAAAACAGTAAGATCCATATGCATAAGATTGTACAAGGCTATTCATTTGTGAAACAAATATACATATCGAAGACAGGTCTCAGAGATACCTTAACTATTCCTTTTTTTATAAACATATTAAAGGATGTGGCTTTATTTTATAAATCACAACCATCCCAACAGTGGATTTAAACAAGATTTCTTTTTAGTAATGGGAAAATGCAATTAATATGGAGGTGATAGTCACTAAGAACTGTTGAATGGCAGAAAAGTATTTGCTCTCGTTTTATGTTCTGGCTTGTCTGTATTGCCTGAACTTCATTTTGTCTTTGTGTAAGGGAAGAAATTTCAACAGACTCGGGTTTGAGATATCCTCAAATGGTCATGTATTTCTGTCTCAAATCTCTTAATACCACCCATGTAACATTCCTTCAACCACTTGAAGATCCAAATTCCCAACTAGTATTCTCTTCTCCACACTTAATCCAGTTCCTAAAGATTATTATTATTATTATTATTATTATTTTTTTTTTTTTGAGACGGAGTCTCCTGACCTAATCTTAGCCCGGCGCAGTGGCTCACGTCTGTAATCCCAGCACTTTGGGAGGCTGAGGCGGGCAGATCATGAGGTCAGGAGTTTGAGACCAGGCTGGCCAACGTGGTGAAACCCCGTCTCTACTAAAAATACAAAAATTAGCCGGGCGTGATGGCGGACGCCTGTAGTCCCAGCTACTCGGGAGGCTGAGACAGAAGAACTGCTTGAAACCAGGAGGCAGAGGTTGCAGTGAGCTGAGATCGCGCAAATTGCACTCCAGCCTCGGTGACAAGAGCGAGACTCCATCTCAAAAAAAAATAAAAAGAATCTTAAAATAGGAACATAATAAAAGATCGGCCCTAAGTAAAGAGCACTTTTTAAACTGCCATTAAAGATGGGTTTCAGAAATCATAAACTTTGACGTGTGCCATACATGGTAACATGCTATGCTTATATGTCTTCTATAAATCCAATGCAGAATTTAAAATTTCAGTTTACTCTAGTTACCATAAAGCTAATGCTCTGGCACAAGCGAGTCCCTGCAAACTACCACTGCTGAGGACAGTAGTAAACCCCTTGACCTGAGACTGCGGTGAGTCTGTAACTCGAGTGCATTGAGACTTCCAGATCATTACTCTTACACACACACACACACACACACATACACACACACACACTCCTTCTCTAAGATTCCTTGTAGCTGATATCTCATGGAAAAATGACATTTTATCATAAATAAATATAGAGACAAAATAATAGTGATCTTTCTCATTCGCAATGTAAACTTAACAGCTACAGTTTAAATGATAGCATAGAATTATGCCTAAAATAGACATTTCCCATAATTGTATTGTGATAAGTTCTTCAGGCTTGACAACTTCACATTGCCTCTCTTCCTTGAATGTATTTTATCTGGTCTTTTCTATATAGTCTTTTGAAGGATAATTTTTATCAATAGCCAACTTTGGGTATTTTTTTAAGTGTCAAATATCATCATGGTTTGAAAAAAGGATAAAAAAGCTATAACTAAAAAAATCTTAAGGATAACATTTGGTTTACTAATTTTTAATCATTTATCTTTCAGAACTTGTTTCTTATCAAGAAGTTAGCAGGTATGATATGTATATCATACGTATATAAACTGGCATAGGTTACATCCTAGGGCATGAGGGGAGTATCTTTCAGGGATTCAAATGGAATTTTTACCTGTTACTTGTTTAATTGTTTTGTTTTCAATATTCTTGGGGATTAGACAGGGGAAGGTATTTTATTACTGCATAATAGATGGTGAAACCCAGGAAAATTAAGTACTTGTGCATGGCCCCACTATCAATAACACAAAGTCTGTACTCTGGATCTCCCCTAATGTCCCTGTGGTCTAAACGGCTTGATAATACAACCGAGCCCCTGAAGTAGCTGCCCTCCTCTTTCCGCTCCCCCATCTCGGCCCTGCCCATACTCCAAGGGTCAGCTCCCATCTCTCCTCCCTAATGCCTCACTTCAAGCACTAATTTGGCTCTTTCTGCTCACTAAAAATCATATATTTTACAGATTTATTTTGTTTCTGGAGAAGGCAGCAAACTTTTACTTCCCTGCAGAAGTAGTTAAGTACATAGTGTTTTCTCTAAAAAGGCATTTGATAAATATTTGAACAGCCTGTAGAGTTTCAACCTCTTTGAGATATAAGTATCTTAAATATCATAGAGCACTGTGATTCATTTTTATATTTTATTGCTTTGAATGCTCAAACTATGGGAAATCTTTGGTAAAAATAAAGACAATAAAATCTTCACAATAACTTTACACAAAGCATTGCATAACAATGTTCTTCAATATACATGAAATAATATAAGAATGTTCACAGTCCTCAGTGAGGAAATTAACTGTACAATATTCATAGTTCATTTTAAAACAAAATATTTTCATAAATATTTAAAATACTTCCTAGGTTCTCACATATTAACATTTGTATTTCAATCGGTATGTTGATCTTTAAAGTATTCATATTAAATTAAAATCAATAGAAGTTTTTTTCTGTTGCCTACCACAGCATAAGTCCCGTCCTCCCTGATTCTACTAATTTCACATAAAACTAGAGGGAGGTAACTAAAATAAAAATCAATACGGTTCTCAGTTAAGCCCTCTGTGGAAAAGAGGAAAATGTTTCATGTCTATTATTACACAGACATTTTTCTGGTGGTTTATTTGTGTAGTCTCAAACTTGGCCAGCTTTAAGTTGATCTAAATGAACTCTCAGCTCAGGACACAGTTCAATTAGCAGCAGTTCCATCAGCGCCTGAACCAACAAAGAAGGAAAAAAGTGGAAAAATGTTTTTCTCCAAGGGTTTATTCAAAATAAATATCTGCATCTAAGAGAAAAGTCTAATTTTAGGTCTGAAATTATCTCAGTAAACAAGTAACTCTCAAACAGTATTTAATATTGGTAACTATAATCAGAGATGACTGGGAAACAGTTGGCTTTGCTGAAATAAGAAAACCAACCAGTTATGCGGCAATGTGATATCAAAAGTCAAGGGAGGATGGGCGAGGTGGCTCCCGCCTGTAATCCCAGCACTTTGGGAGGCTGAGGCAGACAGATCACCTGAGGTCAGGAGTTAGAGACCATCCCAGCCAACATGGCGAAACCCCATCTCTACTAAAAATACAAAAGTTAGCTGGGCATGGTAGTGCATGCCTGTAATCCCAGCTACTCGGGAGGCTGAGGCAGGAGAATCACTTGAACCCAGCAGGCAGAGGTTGCAGTGAGCCAAGATCGTGCCATTGCACTCCAGCCTGGGGGACAAGAGCGAAACTCTGTCTCAAAAAAAAAAAAAAAAAAAAAAGTCAAGGGAGATGACTAGTATGTGAGAATGAGAGTGCTGCAGCCACTGGGGCACATGTTTTTTCTGACCAAACGAAGAAACAGACAAAAATAAAGCAGGAAACCCCCTGGGCTTTAATTTACTCACATATAACAGATGCTTGTTGGCTCTTGTTTCTTGCAGTGCATTGAATATTTTTATTATACCGTGGCGGGCATTTTGCTGTCCAACAAGGCTCTGAAGCATATCTGAAAAATTAAGTGTAGATTCTATGCTGCTATTGATAAAGTGCTCAGTGCATAGCTTTGCAGTGAAAGGAATACAACATTATACACCTTCAGTCAATAAACACATGGAGGCATGAGAAACATGAATGGTCAGTTCTCTCAAATGCTTCAGGAAAGAATGTTTCAACATAAGGCACTTATACAAATTACAATTTTAATATTTTTCAACTACGAATTTTAATAATTAAAATGTTAATATTTTGCTAAAAATTAAGCTCTCAAAACACGATACTTTAGCAGGATTTCCAAAACACAAAGTTTATTATCTGTTCTAAAACATTTTTCAAGTTCTTAACATTCTCAGTATAACTTCTTAGCAAGTGACAAAAAATGGCTTAAAAGAGTATGATCCTTTTTTTTTTCATTGTAAAGAATGTTTCCTGCAAGACATAAATGAAAATCACCTCAGTGGGGTTCACATTCCCTCAGATCTCTATGCTTTTCAGGCTAATAGCCCAGGCCTCACCTGGAATGTTTTCAAGCAGCTTTTGCTGTGCTCTCTGTTTTGTTTCCTGACTTTGCTCTTTGCTTCTGATTGTGGTCGGTGGTGCCAACTTCCCATTTGGCCAAAAAGCATCCCGGAAAATATTGATGTAGTAAACCAACATTTGCTCACTGAAAATCCAGCTGACTGTGTCCCGGATTTGTCTTTTAAGAGAAAAAGATTTCTTGGATGAGGTTTTTAAAAATTGTGTACTCTATTCTCAAAAGGCACTTATCAATACGAAGGTTAAGATACAGCCTGATCTAAGTGTTTGATGAATAAACTAGGAATTGGATTTTTTAAACTCTGGCTCTGAAAGTTATATATATTTTTAATTATTATTATTTTTTGAGATGGAGTCTTGCTTTTTCACACAGGCTGGGGTGCAGTGGTGTGATCTCGGCTCACTGGAACCTCTGCCTCCCAGGTTCAAGTGATTCTCCTGCCTCAGCTTCCCGAGCAGCTGGGACTACAGGCACGTGCCACCATGCCTGGCTGATTTTTGTATTTTTAGTAGAGACGGGGTTTCGCCATGTTGGCCAGGCTGGTCTCAAACTCCTGAACTCAGGTGATCCACCCGCCTCAGCCTCCCAAGGTGCTGGGATTAGAGGCATGAGCTACCGTGCCTGGCCCATTTTTTTATTTTGGTAATACTGCATGAGCAGTTATTCCTGGAGATAATTTTGTCATTGGCACTAACTTCTCCAAATGTTGGCTGTGTTCAATCTATAAAGACAAGAACTGAGAGACTGATTTGTCTGCAGACTGCAGCATTTCCATGAAGTGGTATAAGGTGAAAACATAAATCCATTTAAAGACTGTTGGAAGTGGTCTGGAAAACCTCCCTGAGGTCCTGAAGTTCCGCAGGAGGAGCAGGCTTTCCGTAGCTGTCTTTTAGTGTTGCTATGGCAGAGAATGCTGGGCAGGATACTCGGATCCAGATGAAGCACTTCATATGCCCATGAGGCAAGGAAAAAGATAGTCCCTTTCAAAAATACACTGCTATGTGGCCAATTTCAAAATTCCCCAAGAATGAAGACTGGGTGGCAGCCATTTGACTTGCACAGTTATGCATTTTATTTGGTTACCCAGGTCTTCTACACAACCCCATTTCGTTAGTCATTAGACAGATTCTATATATATATATATATATATATTATTTTTTTTTTGAGACGGAGTCTCGCTCTGTTGCCCAGGCTGGAGTGCAGTGGCACAATCTCGGCTCACTGCAACCTCTGCCTCCTGGGTTCAAGCGATTCTCCTGCCTCAGCCTCCCGAGTATCTGGGACTACAGGCGTGTGCCACCATGCCCAGCTAATTTTTTGTATTTTTAGTAGAGCTGGGGTTTCACTGTGTCAGGATTGGCCCACCTCGGCCTCCCAAAGTGCTGGGATTACAGGCGTGAGCCACCGCACCCGGCCAGTCATTGGTCACATTCTAACCAGTTACAGGTCCTCTGCTGTCAAGAGACTACTACACACAGTTCAAAGAGCCCAAGAGTAGTTGTGAGGTTGGGAGGAGAAAAGCCTCTCCATTGAAAAGGGGAAAAGAATCATCTTAGACTATTTGTGCCAGAAAGACCTCAAATTTCAAATTCAATTCATGAATAATAATATATTAAAAAGCCTTTTAAGAATCTGACTTCCAACCAGAATTTTAAATGGACAACACAAGGTTTCAGAAATAACATCTGCAGTAGATGTTTCAAGTCCAGTACTTTGCACATAGTAGTCGGTCACTGCTATGAGTCAAACTACACTGTTATCTCCATCTATAACTGCGTATCTCCTAGACTCTTCTCTTTCTTGGAACTGTGCAATTCAAATCTAGACCATATAAAATAAGTTTATTGATTTAACAGAACTTGTGGTTTAAGAGAGAATCTGCTGACCTGCCTGCCTAGCTTCCTAAAATTTCAGTTTACAACTTGAGATTAGGAAGCGACTCTTAATAAAGGTCATCATCTAAGTTATTTTCTACTGATTTAGATCTGACTTTCTATCAGCTGAAACCTGTCTGATGCTTTTGAAGCAATTCTAGCATGTGAAATTGTAGTTACTGCAAGGCAAGAGACACGCACTGTGCTGCTGCTGAATTCTGTCATGAGTCATCATCTGCTGAAGGCAAAAACAGCAAAGAACCATGTGCGCCATGATCGCTACTTGATAAAAAGCCCACTGAAATGGACAGCCTGGAAATCCTCTACATGTGCCTCTTCTCCATCCCTGTGAAAATTACTGCCCGATGTATGCACCACTCACAACATGCAGCCGCTCATTTTATAATTAACAGCCAATATCATAAATAGGAGCAATGAAAGCATGCATGATTTGCTGACACTGAAAAGGAAAATAGATTAGCAAGTCCTGAGTCCTGAGAAAAAGAAGGCCATTTTGGGAATTTCTTTTAATTACAGGTGCATGCACCCACCATGCCCAGCTAATTTTTGTATTTTTAGTAGAGATGGGGTTTTGTCATGTTGGCCAGGCTGATCTCGAACTCCTGACATCAAGTGATCCACCTGCTCCGGCCTCCCAAAGTGCTGGGATTACAGACGTGAGCCACCGCGCCTGGCCTTTTTTTGGGAATTTCTTTATCTAAGGCTTGTCAATACAAAAGAGATTTGTTTGCCTTAGACTAAAACAAAAAATTAAACAGGCCATTTTTTCTGAGTAAAACAAAAGCCTATGATACTTAGGTCAACTAAACAAGCCTCTGACGGGCAACTAAAACTTTTTTTTTTTTTGAGAAAGGGTCTTGCTGTTTCATTCAGGCTGGAATGCAGTGGCTCATGGCAGCCTTGACCTCCTGGACTCAAGCAGTTCTCCCGCCTGAGCCTCCTGAGGAGCTGGAATCACAGGCATGCGTGTACTACCACACCTAATTTTTTTATTTTCTGTAGAGACAGGGTCTCACCATGTTGCCCAGGCTGGTCGTAAACTTCTGGGCTGAAGCAATATGCCCGTCTCAGCCTTCCAAAATGCTGGGATTATAGGCATGAGCCACTGTGCCCAGCCAACTAAAACTCTTTTTTTAAAATCTTAAGTAGAAGTAAACTTTGTTTCTGACCACAAGGAAAATATATTCATTGGCAAATCAATAAAAAAATAGCAAATGTTCTTTACAGTGTTTCCTATTAAAATTTATAAGCTTTATATGGTAAAACTATTATACTAATCTTGTACAAATGTCTGACCACTAAATCTTTCACTTGGGAAAATCTGATAATTTCATCTTAAAACTTATTTTGTTATATAAAAAAGTGATTTTTTTTTAAATTTCTAGACGTTGACTCATATTCCTATTCTGCAGGAAATCATAATGTTTATCTTGTGAACAATTCTGGGTATAGAGTTACCATATAAAAGATCTTGATAACAGTACTTCCAAATTCCAGGCACAGAGATGAAGCAGGCACCAGACCAGGGGGCCAGGTTAGGTCAGCTAACGGGTCTGGTGACTTCAGACAAGCAGTTGATCTCTTTGGTTCCACTTCTTCACCAACAAAATGAGAAGTGAGACTAATCGCTAGGACACCCTTTCAGGCCTAAACCGATCTAAATAATTCTATTCAACTTCTATTGGCTACATGACTTTGCAGTTATGAAAAATTCCAATAATTTCTTAGAAACTAATAATAATTGACTATATTAATTGAGTTCTCAATAACAAACCCAGGGCTTTCATAAATGCATGATCAAAATGTGGATCACTTTTTATGAGCAACATTAGAACACTCAGTGAAAGACTGGGATACATATATAATGCCTTTATGTATATGGATAATATAATATAGTTTAGAATAGACATATGGCTTGTAACAGTGCTAGATGACAGGGCCACACACACACCCCAGTGGATACGCAGATATTAACTAACAAGAAGAGTTAGCACTTCAGTGCTACACAACTGTGAAAACCTTAATACATGGTCTGTATTTTCCTCTAAGTAAACGCCTGCCATGTGATGCTCATCCTACTTGCCTTCTGGCTTAGAGTCTGAACCTTAAACTGATTCTCATTATTTGACATAAAAACATTCTACTCAAGATACTCAAACTCGTCGTCATGATTAAAGGGGAGCTCTACAGAGTACAACCTCCTGACCCTCGCCAGTCAGAGTGTGGAAGTAGCTCAAGCTTTTCTTATCTAACTTGCCATATGCATTCTGTGGGAGAAATTCTTTTAGAAATCGACTCTCCTATCCAATCTTAGAATCATATCAGAAACGAAAAGTGAGAGAAAATTAAAGACTTTCAGTTAAATGACTGGCTGCTAGATCATAAGGTAATTTGACTGTCAAGGCAAAAGAGTAGGGCATGGATCCAAATATTAATTTCATACAACTCACTTGTTGATGGTTCTTCCAAAAGTGACCTGAACGAGGGCAATTAATGTTCTTCTCACCCATTTAAACACTGAAACAGAAACCAGAGGAAAACTTTTTATCACAGGGCATCACAATTTGGGACATTTTCATAGCTGTACAAAGCATAAATCTTACCACTTAAGATGATTTCAGTCCTGCCATCAAGTCATGGCTATGACATCTGCAGAATTTGGGTTTAGGTCAGGAAAACTCTTCTGACTAGGCTTTCATTTTCTACCAAGCAACTGATGAGATGAAAGCAGAGTTTTTACAGTGTTTCAGTGCCTCCCAACAGCTGAGCTCGCAAGCGGAAAGAGTGCTTCATCTGTCCCTGGGCTATTGACAACGTGTCTGTTTTCCACCACCACACAGTGTAATTCCTATTTTAGATTTCTGTCTGGCTTGCTGAACCCACTTTTTGAACACACTGCTGAATGAGAAACATCTGTAGTCAAATATTTTGAAATATTAATGAACGGATGGGTCTAACTGTTCCTGTTTGAAGCGGTTTGCAGATCACTGTGTACTTTATATATACTACGCATTTGGGAGAGGATAAGTGAATGGTGAAGAGGCAGGACCCTGAATGAGAAATGAATTTGGCCGTCTCCAGTGCCACCCCCATAGCAGGAGGGCACAAGTCACCTTCTCTGAACCCCAATTTCCTCATCTGGAAAGGAAGGTATTAACATGTGCCTTTCTTTGCTCTGAAGGTCTTTCCCCGTGTGTGAGAAAGACTGTGAAGGGTTCTACAGACCTAAACTTTTATTGTTAACATAGAGACACATTTTTATAGGTATAGAAACTGAACATAAACCAACAGAAGGCAAAGAAATGCTATGAGGATATTTTAGGTCCACAAATTGGAACCTAAACCAAAATTTTCATTTATATATTCACCTCCATCTATTGAAGTGTTTGGCTACTGACATACGAGGAAATAAGAAATTCAGACTCAGTCATAATGGAGCCAAGAGTTCGGGGCTCTTGTACCCACTAAGAAAAGCTAACAATGGCAAATTCACAGAAGTCTCTGTACAAGGGCAACCACACAAATAGAAATCATAGAAAACACAGACTTGGCACTAGACATTAATATACTCTAAAGCCATTTCTAATTTTTTTAATGGATCAAAATATCCAGTTAAAGTAGTATGAATTCTTCACGTAAAGTCAAGTCTTGGAGTCGGAATCAAACGTCAAAAATGTCTTAAACTTTTTGATGGAATTTGCTGGAATGCTGCCAAGCATGTTCATTTTAGGTTGGCATTGAGGCTGGGATGAGCATGTCTATCAGTGATGATAACTTCACTTTGTCTTTCTAGGGCAGGAAAGAGGTGGCTCATACCTAGAGGGTCTGAGGACAAGTGCAACTCTAGGAAGAGTGCCTGACGACCAAGGGGTTATTTTTAAAAAGGGGGCCAGGGGTATTACTGGTCCCTTTTTGTAAACTAGAGCAGAAACCAAAACTCATTTTGCTACAAATTTTCTATCACTGATAGCCCCTTACTCTATTACTTTTCCCTCACCTTCCCTAGTCCCCAGTAACCCCCCGATACACACACACACACACGCGAGCCCCATTACTCCAAAGGCTTGTTTGCTCAAAGCCACAGAGGCAGCTGCAGCAGCACTAGGATTCTGCTGACGACGAATAGATCACATCTCATTATATATGAGGTTCTATTTATTCTCTCTGAAATGCCACTAGCAAAACCGAATATGTTCCGAGCAGGCAGAGATGGAGGAAGTGCATGCCGCAGGCATGGTGAGGAGCCCTGCTCCAGCTGATACTGGCTCTGACATGCCTACTGTATCTCTTAAGCTCTGTACCAATAGCAAAGACAAAAACAATGATGAAGCCTAGGACAGTGTCCTCATTCTTATCAACTCTGTAGGAAACTGGGGAGACTCATGATTTAATGGGCCACATTTCACCAAACAAGAGTCAGACTTTGGGTGGATTACTATTTGTCTATATTGAATCAAGTTAAACATCACTGTATATGTCTTAAAGTGTCTCAAATATTAAAAAGCTATTAGGTTTTTTATCTGAAAGGATTTTTCATATGTGGATGATATTCCATCATATAGATATTTCTTAAATAAGTTATCTTCCATTTCTAAAATTTATCTTAGTTCCAACTTTTCATTATTGTAATTATGCTAAAATATCCTTATGTGTAAATCTCTGCCTGCACTTTAGAATTTAACTTTGTCTATTGCTTAATGTGAATTACATTTTTGGACCCTTAATCTGTAAATTCACTGATGGCAGAATCTGTATCTGATATGGTTTTGTTTCCCTACAGATCTGTATCTAAAACATATGCTCTCAAAGTGTTTGATGACTGACATTTTATATTCTCTTAGCTTTGGCTCAGAAGCTCTCAAAGTCTTTGATGATTGACATTATATATTCTCTTAGCTTTGGCTCAGAAGGAGAAAAAGGTCAATGAGCAAAGGTAATTCATTCTGGCACTTAACATTTTTCTTGCCTATTCACTCATCAGTGCATCCATCCAGGCATTTTACTGATCCCCTACCATGGGTCAGGCATTGTAGTAGATACTGAGGATTAAGACACAGAAGACAAATTCAAGTTGCACTTGAAATTTTTTCATCTGTTAATAATTCTTTAAGTGACATGTTAAGGGATTTATAAATGAGAAGGGATCCACAGCCCCATTTCCTATGTAAGACCAACTGGTAGCCTACTCCTTTGTCTCAAGGGAAAAGGTGCTGATGTGAACGGACAGAGCCCAGGACATGGACGCTGCACTATTTGGCTGGCTGGTGCCACTACTGAGTCTTACTAACCCTTGCTCTTCTCATTTGCTTCCTCTTCGAGGTGGTCAGGTGTGCCCGTGGGCACCTGCCATATCTCTAGCTGGTACTGAGGCTCTAGGTATGACAAAGTCTACTGGTGTCAAGATTTAGAGTGTTGGGAGCTGTGAATGTGTGGACGGAGAGTAGCATTAAGTCCTATTCAACGCTCAACACTAAGCCATGGAGTCCAGTTTACCTTTCACCAAGGTGATGCTTTCAGGGAGAGGCACTTGTATAGCTCTTAAGGAAATGGAACTTTGATCCCCATTTTACAATGGTTTCTTCTACGTACATCTCTCCTTGAGGATTCACTAGGGTAGGATTTCTCAACTCCAGCATTACTGTCATTGGGGGCAGGACAACTCTGCCGCGGGGCTGTCCTGAGCACAGTAGAATGTTTAGCAGTATCCCAGACTCTACCTGCTAGATGCCAGTAGCACCCCTCACTCCAAGTTAAGACAATCAAAAACATTTTCAGACATCACCATATGTCCCTCCTTCCCTCCATGAAGAACTACTGCTCAAGAGGAAAAAAGGTAGCTGAAAAATAGGGTGGAGGCATTCCCACGTCCTTGGCCATGGAATTATCCTAACACCAACACTCACCTTTAACAACAGGATTCTTCTGTGCTAAGCAAAACAGTTTTCTGTATAACTTTTAGTGACAAGGCAATGGAAGCTATGCCAAGTCACATAAAAAGCAACGTGAAGGATTCTAACCTTCTGTAGTCAGAGGAACATGGGGCAGAGTAAATCAGGACGCTATGTTACGTTAGGACAGAGATGATATCTGTCTTGGGGTTGTATATATAGCATAGTATCTGGTTGGCTCTTTTTTTTTTTTTTTTTGAGACGGAGTCTCGCTGTTACCCAGGCTGGAGTGCAGTGGTGCGATCTTGGCTCACTGCAACCTCCACCTCCTGGGTTCAAGCAATTCTCCCACCTCAGCTTCCCAAGTAGCTGGGATTACAGGCATGCGCCACCATGCCCGGCTAATTTTTGTATTTTTAGTAGAAACGGGGTTTCACCATGTTGGTCAGGATGGTCTTGATCTCTTGACTTCATGATCCACCCGCCTTGGCCTCCCAAAGTGCTGGGATTACAGGCGTGAGCCACCGTGCCCGGCCTGGGTTGGCTCTTAAAAGGCTATGTTGAATGAATGGATGCATGAATATAAATACATGTCTGATGCATTTCAGCAATAAAGGGATATTAAATGCATGTGAATGTACGATTATATATACCACTTAACTAGCAAATACCACTAAATAATAACAAAGAAGCTTACTTCCTCGAAGTTCAAAAATCTCCCCAATCAACATGAAACATGGTTCAGCCAAGGCGTCTTTCCTCCCATCCACATCATCACCATAATCTGACAGGTCACTGTCCTCCTCTGTCTCCTCCTGGGAATACAGCAAAGTCATAGGAAGCAGATAACTTATCCAAGAAAATTGGTAGAGTTGTTCTCCCTCTTCAAGTGTAAATTCCAAACTATCTGCTCGTATTTTAGCCTTAATTCTTTAGTTTTCATGCAGAAACTACCATTTTCAACACAGAGGACAGATTCAGAAAAGCTTGATTCTCGAGCCTTATTCAAGGCTTAAAATAAGCTAATTTAAAAAAAAATCTGTCGCTGTATTATAATCAGTGAATTAATAGACAATAAAATAGTTTTCTAACCATTTTGAATTTCAAAACTAAGGCTTTTAACTTATTTTTTATTTTTCACTCCCTTAAAACAGCAGGAAGTAAATAATTTTAAATTCACTGCTTTTTTTCAAACATGCATTTTAAAGTAATTTAGTTATTTTTAAAGCTGTGACTTAAGCTTTTATTCTGTCCTTCAGCTAGTCCCATTTCTTGATCTGCGCATCAGCAGGTTTCAGTTAAAAACTCATGACATACCAGGCAACAGGATAATGCAAATGAGTGTGAGGGGGATCTAGACTTCTGTGGCCCACTGCCTTCTGGGGAGACTGACAGACACACAGGCAGGTGTTATGATAGGGCAGGAGACAGTGCTGTCCCAGAGCTGCAAACATTAGGTGCTGGAGGGCAGCTGAGGATGGGCACTGCAGTGTCTGTGTAGAGGTAGGAGCTGAAGTGCGAGCCCAGGCAGGTCTTTGGGAGATACTTACTTACATCAGGCGAGCAGAGGAAGGGACAGGGAAGTCATAGAGGCTGGAGGAGTTCCCTAAAAACAGCATCACAGAAATCCAGCAACAGCAAACGCCTCAAAAGAGGCTGAGAAAGGTAAAGACTGAGAGGAAGCCACTGGCAGCTTCAGAGTCACTTCATAGAGTGACTGAGTCATATATTAACTCCAGGGGTTCAGGAATAAAAGGGAGGTGAGACAGGTAAGCAGCCAAGTACAGACGGACACATGAAGGAAAGAGGTGGGAGATGCTTGGGGGGCCGTGGGTAGATGTGTGGACTGGAGCAGGTGTGGGTGTGCTCTGTGGGACGTGCTGACTTCCGCCCCAGCTGAGAATGCAGAAGAGCAGCATGCTGCTTTTCACCATCAGTTCCTCTGTCCAAACTCGAAGCCACCTCTGGTGAAGAGGCAGTAGCATTTGGCAATGGACTGAGGGGAAGCCACATTTCAGAGCTGGTCCTGTGCAATTTGCTAGAGGGCCAGGCAAGGCGCCTCCGTGGTGTGAACAGGAGTGCACAGCCTACTCTGGGGGAGAAGTCTGGGGTTCAGAAGATGAGATCGAAAGCTCTGCAGGCTCTATACTTTCCCTTATCCACATACCATTGCCAGATCATCCTGCTTCAGAATATCCCATGCTTCTTCATGCCTGAGAATACAGCCTAAACTCTCAGCCTGGCGTGAACCTTGCCCCTCCCCACTTCTATGCTGTACTTAATCTTCCATTAGAGCACGGCACCAACCCTCCAGTCCAGGCCAACGACCTCCGGCCTGTTCCATAAACACAACCTCCTCTACTGTGAACCTTCAGCATGAACCCCCCCACCCCGCAATGACGGCCCGCACTTGGCCTCCCCCGACCTGGGGACTGGCGCCCCGTGTGTAGCGGGGCTCCTGCAGAACTTCCTACTCGCATTTCACTTACCAACTCCGAAGTGGTAAAACCACTCTGTCCTCCCCTGCAAGTCACTTGGAAGAATTAAGATACAGAAATACAAGCAGGTGCCTCAAAATGTGACAGTGCTAATGACTGAAAATAGAGGGATTTGCTTCCCCCCATGAGGAGCATGAGCTTAGTATCTGCTGAAATACACTACAAAAGTGGTTCACTCTTTCAACGGCTCACCTCCTGGTGGGAGAAGAAGTCGCGAGGAAGTCTTTCCAAAAATGAGGATAATGAAAAAGAATTTTTTTTCCCCTGCACGTCGATAACCTTGAGGTAGTCAGGAGAAGGGCTCAAGAAGGCATAAAGTGCTTCACTCTGACACAGTCTTTCATCTGAAAGCAGATTCTATGGAAGAAAGAGGATTAACTGCTCCAGTGTGGGAAACTATCTGTGTGGCTGGGAGCTACAAGTAAAGGTGAGCGAGGCAGAGCTGTCACGAATTTACTTTCATCAGACTTCTGAACCGAAAACCACTTCCCTTTCCCCCTGAAACAAACTATATAAGATCAATTCTTAATGATCTTAATGGCAAACAATCCCCTCCAGGTTAACTAGTAGTGCCCAAATCACTCTGCTCATGGGAGATAACTATGCAAAAGGCAGAACTCACTCCGCTTTGCACTGCTTGGTGCAACAGAAAATTCTTACTTTACAGCTCACAGATCCCAGGCGCTACCACTTTTGAAATACAACTTTCAGTCATCTGTGTTTGACCAACTTAAATTTTTGCAAATTACACATGGATACCTCTAAATTGCCCTTTTATGGTTATATTCAGACTTTGTACATCAGCTGAAAAAAAGAACTTTGAGTTTTCACATGGTGGCACTACCTGCCAGGCAATAGTTTCATTTCCCAGTGCTGCCACTTTCCAGGCAGTGCGCATTTACATAATTATGTAACAATTTCTTTTCTTTTCTTTTTTTTTGAGACGGAGTCTCACTCGGTCATCCAGGATGTCGTGCAGTGGCGCCATCTTGGCTCACCGCAACTTCTGCCTCCTGGGTTCCAGCAATTCTCCTGCCTCAGCCTCCCAAGTAGCTGGGACTACAGGTGCACACCATCATGACTGGCTAATTTTCGCATTTTTTGGTAGAGATGGGGTTTCACCATATTGGCCAGGCTGATCTCGAGCTCCTGACCTCGTGATCTGCCCGCCTCAGCCTCCCAAAGTGCTGGGATTACAGGCGTGAGCCACCGTGCCTGGCCATATATAACAGTTTCTACCAGCCCTCAAACTGGAAAGTTCCCAAAGTTCTGTATGTACTTACCTGACCTTAGGAGAGAGTAAAGAAGAACATAAATCGAGCTTGTCTATGTACAAGTGCTATGGTAAGACAGCAGAATTAACAATGTGACCACAGAATATTTACACATCTAGTATTATAAGACACTGGGCTTAGGAATATGTAAACCTATAAGAACTGTCAGCCACATAGGGAGATGGAACACTCAGAAGCCAGCTATGCCTCTGATGACAGAGTGTGGGGGAGGTGGAAGTTCAGGTCTAGTTCCAGAGGGGTTGGTCCATGATGGCAACATCCTATTTGTTTAGATGGCTAATGACCTGACGAACGCTATGACCCTCCCTAGAAAAATCACCTCTGAGAGGGCCCAATACTGCCCCGCTGGGGACAAGGGGTCCACGGAACACCATCAGCATTCACGTACCCTGCAGGAGACTGGCCTGGAGGTGGGCAGGCCCTGCCATGGCCATTGAGAAGGAGATTAAGGGGGATGGGCAGTGCCCCTACTGCCCTCCCTGTCCCTGAACCCTGCAGACAGTCTTCATTCGTTTTTCAGAATTAAATGGTCAGTTCAACCTGTATGTGAGGATGGATCAGGAGTAGTGAGATGTTCTCCCCCATCTTGATGTCCTTCACTCATCTACTCTCTAACATTTTACAAAATAGCAGGATATACTAATGGTTAAGTCCCAAACTTAATACAATCAGCATATTAATAGGGAAATCATTACAGATGTAAATCTTTGGCCTTAAATTATATTCAAATGAAGGAAAACAACTCAAACAATTCAACAGCAAAACACACACACACACAATAATCCCATTAAAAAGTGGGCAAAGGACTTGAATAGACACAAATGAAAACATAAAAATGGAAAACAGGTATATGAAAAAATGATCAACCTCATGAATAGGGAAATATAAGTCAAAGCCAGGAGATACCATCTCACACCAGACAAAAGAAAAGAAGTGTTGGCAAGGATATGAAAGAAAAGGGAACCCTTGTACACTGTTGGTGGGATTGTAAATTAGTACAGTCATTATGAAAAAGGGTATGGAGGCTCCTCAAAAAATTAAAAATAGAGCTACCATAAGATCCAGCAATGTCAGTACTGGATATACATCCAAAGGAAATGAAATCAGTATGTCAAAGATATATCTGCATTCCCATTTAAAGCAGCACTATTTATAATAAAGAGGCAAGACATGGCATCAACTTAGGCGTCCAACAGATGACTGGATAGAGAAAACGTGGTATACATACATCAAGCTTGTCCAACCCACAGCCCGCGGGCTACATGCAGCCCAATGCAAATTTGTGAACTTTCTTAAAACATTATGAGAATTTTTTGTGATTTTTTTTAAGCTCATCAGCTGTCGTTAGGGTTAGTGTATTTTATGTGTGGCCCAAGACAATCCTTCTTCTTCCATTGTGGACCAGGGAAGCCAAAAGATCGAACCCCCCGATATACATGATGGAATATTATTCAGCCATAAAGAAGAATGAAATCCTGTCAATTGCAACAACATGAATGAACCTGGAGGACATAAGTTGAGTGAAACAGACTAGGTACAGAAAGACAAATACTGCATGATCCCACTCATCTGTATAATCTGAAAAAAAATTGATATATTAGAGGTACAGAGAGGTGGTTACCAGAGACTGGGGAGGAAAGGATGGGAGAGATTGGTCAGTGGCTAGAAAGTTACAATTTAACAGGAGGAAAAAGTTCTGGTGTTCTGTTGCTCAGTAGGGTGACTATGGCTAACAGTAAAGTATTATATATCAAAAAGGAGCTAGAAGAAAGGTTTTTTAATGTTCTCACCACGAAGAAATGATAAATGTGGCTGGGCACAGTGGCGCACACCTGTAATCCCAGCACTCTGGGAGGCCGAGGCAGATTGGTCACCTGAGGTCAGGAGTTCGAGACCTGCCTGTCCAACATGATGAAACCCCGTCTCTACTAAAGATACAAAAATTAACCAGGTGTGGTGGCATGAGCCTGTCTGTAATCCCAGCTACTTGGGGGGCTGAGGCAGGAGAACTGCTTGAACCCAGGTGGCGGAGGTTGCAGTGAGCTGAGATTGCACCACTGCACTCCAGCCTGGACAAGAGAGCAAGAGTCTGTCTCAAAAAAAAAAATAAAGAAATGATATACATGTATCAAAATGCCAAACTGTACCTCATAAATATGTACAAGTGCAATGTCAATTTAAAGAATTCTTTAAAGGATACAAATATTCAGAACATTTTTTTTCAGTCTCAGAATGTCTAGCTTCTACTGCAGAGGCAAAACATGTTTTATGAGGCAAAGTTCCATGCCTCTGAGAACTTCAGGGCTTTAAGATCCAAAGTGTGATTAACAATTATACTCTGAATATAGATGGTGCAGCAAAGGAAAAAAAAGTGGTTGTTATTGAGGACAGTACACCTTTGGCCTTATTATTTAAAAACAGACTGATAGAAAATAATAAAGTGTTTAAAGGAAATTAAGAAAATATCTTCAGGGCCTTGGAGTAGGCCAAGATTTCTTAATAGGTGCAAAAGGCATTAACCATAAGATAAAAAAAATGATAAAGTGGGCTAAATTAAAATTGAGAACATCTGTTCATTAAAAGCAATCATTAAGTAAAAGGCAATCCATAGAAAGGGGGACAATATTTGTAGCACGTAAGATCTGACAAGGAACTCAGATCCAGAACATGGACAAACCCATAAAACATTATGGAAAGGATGAGCAGCAGCACAATAGAAAAGGAGACACAACAAATGGCCGGGCACAGTGGCTCACGCCTGTAGTCCCAGCACTTTGGGAGGTCGAGGTGGGCAGATCATCTGAGGTTGGGAGTTTGAGACCAACCTGACCAACACGGAGAAACCCCGTCTCTACTAAAAATACAAAAATTAGCCAGGCGTGGTGGCAGGCGCCTGTAATCCCAGCTACTTGGGAGGCTTAGGCAGGAGAATCACTTGAACCCGGGAGGCAGAGGTTACGGTGAGCCAAGATCGCGCCATTGCACTCCAGCCTGGGCAACAAGAGCGAAACTCCGTCTCAAAACAAAACAAAACAAAACAAAACAAAAGAAAACAAAAAAAAACACCAAACCCCCCAAACACAATGAGATACTACTACACCCAAAATGGCTAAGAATAAAAACGCAAAAGATAAGTGTTGGTGAGGATGTGGAGCAATCAGAACCCTTACACACTGCTGGGGAGAGTATAAAACTGCTGTGACCATGAAGAAAAATGGAGAAATCCTAATCTCTGGGCATCAGCCGACAGATATTTGTCAAAAGACAAGTACTAGACGTTTATATAAGCACCCTTTGTAAAAGCCTCAGAGTGGAAAGGAGCCAAAGGCTCATCAACAACGGAATGAATTTGGAATGCAGTGTATTCACACGATGAAAACCTCTCACAGCAACGAAAATGAATCATCTACAACTAAGATGACAGGATGGATGAGTCCTATGAACATAATGAGTGAAAGAAGTCAGAAACGAAGGAATTCACACTATACGGTTCCATTTATATAAAGTTGAAAGACAACTGTAACTGATCTATGGTGCTGGAAGTCGGGACAGCAGTTGCCTTTAGAGGGGCTGCAGCGATGGGAGGAAGCTGGGGGCTGCTGGTGATAACCAGTGCATTGGACTGGGTGCTGGTTACATGGGTGTGTTCAGTTTGTGAAACGGAGACAGTTATACACTTACGTGTATTTTTATATGTGTATTTTCCTTTAATTAAAAAAAACACCCAAGATATTTTTTTAGCATCTAGCATGGCTTGTGAGAACAAAAAGCAAACTACCAAGCTCGTAGAATGATGACAGTTTAACCCTAAATAACTAATTTTTTCTCTCATATCCCACATTTTTCACTTGCTTACCTGTAAAAACTTATTTAATTGATTCTTCGACTTTTCCATAAACTTTTGATCTATAGATTTGAAAGGCAGCTTGCTAAGAGAAGGCAACTGGACTTTTTTTAAAGAAGGGACGCACTGTGGGGGGAAAAAATGAAATGTTAGTATTTTGAAATTACATTTTAATCTTAAAAAAGATTTAGAATAACAATTAGAACAAAACAAATATCCTCCTCCTGTACTTGTTCCTCTGAGGTGAAAACCTACCCATCTTAATGAGGCTCGAAGAATTGGGAGGAACGGAAACTTTGATGGAAAAAACTAAAGCACATCCCCAAACCTACAGATCCCCGGGAGCTGGGAAGTCACAAGGCCAGGCTGGTACGAGGGATCTGCACACCACGCAGGGTGGCACATGATGTGACAAATGGAAACCTGGCTCACAGAAAGTTTTTCAACTAGAAGGTGTTGTGTTTTTAACATCTCTGTAAAAAGCTAAAGTTAACAATAGAAAATGGCCGGGCGTGGTGGCTCACGCCTGTAATCCCAACACTTTGGGAGGCCAAGGAAGCTGGATCACATGAGGTCAGGAGTTCAAGACCAGCCTGATCAACATGGTGAAACCCTGCCTCTACTAAAAATACAAAAAATTAGCCTGGCGTGATGGCACATGCTTGTAATCCCAGCTACTGGGGAGGCTGAGGCAGGAGAATCGTTTGAACCCAGGAGGTGGAGGCTGCAGTGAGCTGATGTTGCACCACTGCACTTGGGCCTGGGAGACAGAGTGAGACCCAGTCAAAAAAAAATAAAAAGAAAAGAAAACAATGGGAACAAAGAAAACTTGGGTTGTAGCTCTATTACTGCATTTCTTTCCTTTTTTTTTTTGAAACAGGGTCTCAGTCTGCCACCCAGGCTGAGTGCAGTGGCGTGATCATGGCTCATGGCAGCCTTGATCTCCCAGGCTCAAGCGATTCTCCCACTTCAGCCTCCCAAGTAGCTGGGACTACAAGCATGCACCACCATGCCTGGCTAATTTTTAAATTTTTTGTAGAGGCGAAGTCTATGTTGTCCAGGCCAGTCTCAAACTCCTGGATACAAGCGATCCTCCTGCCTCAGCCTCCCAAAGTGCTGGAATTACAGGCATGAGTCACCACTCCTGGCCTTATTACTGCCTCTCAGTGGCAAACTGTAGATTGTAAGTATATTAACAAAATATATTCATAGTACGAAGAGCGCACCCTTTGTGGATTAAGTCCTCCCTTCTACCAGACACTGTGCTAGAAGCATAGCATGTGTTATTTCATGCTTACAACAGCTCTGTGAAATTTCAGAGAAATGAAACAGGCAGTGAGAGTTGGAAGGGAAGACTAAAATCACTAAGTACCCAAAAAGGTACTTCCTGTCACAGCTGTCGACAGGAAGGGTTCTCACAACAGGAAAACTCACACCGTAGGAAAGGGCAGGGGTAAGAGAATAGCCCAGCCATCAGTCCACAGACGAGGAAAGATGACAAAGAGGACGGGCATGGACTTTCATGTTTGTTTCTTTTAATGCTTCCATCTAATTGTTTTGATTGTCTAAGTAAATTCTACCTTCCAAAGACATTTCATTTCAAAATTTTCCCTCAACTCTTTTTCCTCCTGTTTTGATACAAACTTTGGTTTCACAATAGTTTTTCCACAGAGAAAACAACACATTTTTCTGTAGTATCAATTTTACTCAACAACTCTGGGGAAAATTCATTGTTATACTGAGACAAATTTTTGCTTTCCACAGTGCTAAGGTGACCAAAGGCCATCTGAGAAATGTAGCATGCATGACATTCAGTTTGGGTCACTATCCTTAAAAAGCAGTTGAAGAAATTATAGTATGTAGTGATGAAAACAGGTTAAAAAATCACTCTGGAGACAAGGTTAAAGAAAAGAGACACATTTCATTCATAGAAGAGGAGTCTGAGAGGTGCCCATGAGGTTTTGTAAAGGAGCAGCGTGGCTTCAAACCGTGTTTTCAAACTTTGTTTTCCTTCCTCCTTCCTCCTTAATCTCAAGATGTAACTTTGAGACAGGCTGCGTATGTGTTTCCTTTCATTCTGAAATACAGCCTGGGCATCTGCTGTGAACCTCCACTCCCTTTCTTTCCCCATCCCGTGCTCCCATGCTTTATGCACACTGATTTACCCACATGCTTGTTAAGCGCACACCACGCTCCTTATCTGGTCATCTATTTCCTTAGAAGCTTCAAGGGCCAGATCCTGATACGGACCAGACACCTCTGGCCACAGTGGCGCCGGATGCTTCACCAGATGGAACAATAATTCAAGACGAGCCATCAGGGCAGATCACACCATCTGACACTCCCTAGACCTGCTGCCTCTTCTGCATTCCAAACCCTCTCTTTAAAATCCCCTGGGTTCCCTCCACAGTTGAAGGCTGGAAATTTTTATTTTTATTTTTTGGAATGGAATCCTGCTCTGTTGCCAAGGCTGGAGTGGAGTGATATGATCCTGACTCACTGCAACCTCCGCCTCCCAGGTTCAAGTGATTCTTTTGCCTCAGCCTCTTGAGAAACTGAGACTACAAGCGTGCACCACCACACCCAACTAATTTTTTGTATTTTTAGTAGAGATGGGGGTTTCACCATGTTGGCCTGGCTGGTCTCGAACTCCTGACCTCAAGGGACCCGCCCACTTCGGCCTTCCAAAGTGCTGGGATTACAGGCGTGAGCCAACATGCCTGGCTGAGGGTGGAAAGTTTTAGAAAGAATTTTGCCCACTCCTCCCCTTGCTAGCATGGATAGTAAAATCTCACTCTCTTTTTGTCACGCCTCACTCTTGTTATTATTATGATGGCTTCTTTCTACAAGCAGCAAGCAGCTGGACCCTTTGACAGTTATAGTTTCACCAGTATCAGTTCACGCTAAGCAAGAGAAAAATGGACCTAAATTCAAGTAGAAATAATTGAAGAACTGTTCACTGCTGGGGAAAAAAGGCAATGACCCATAGTAGAAGGAGAATTAGAGAAGATGGCAATTCCTGAGGAAAAGTAGGAAGAATAATCTAAAAGTAAGATTCCATTAATAATCTTGATTTAGCCACTATGTACATGTCCTATGACAAGTCAGTTAAGCTCTGGGATCGGTTTCCCTCCTCTCTCAAATAAAAGAATTAACCTAGATTAGTGGCTTTCAAACATTTTAACTGAAACTCACAGTAGGAAATGCATGCTACATTGCAATCCATAATGCACATACATATATACATATACATAAATAAAACTGAAACCAAAGGTCTATGAAACAATGCTCATTACTACTGCTACTACCAAAAAACACAATGATGTTTACTATGTGCCACACATTCTTATAAATGCTTTATATACATATATTCCCTTAATTCTCATAACAACCCCATAAGGTAGGCACTATTAGTATTCGTTTTCACTGATGAAAAAGAGACAAAAAGCAAGTGAGTGATAAATCCCAGGTCAGCTGGGCAAGGTGGCTCACATCTATAATCCTAGCTCTTTGTAAGGCCGAGGTGGGTGGATCACCCGAGGTCAGGAGTTCGAGACCAGCCTGGCCAACATGGTGAAACCCCGTCTCTGCTAAAAATACAAAAATTAGCCGGGTGTGGTGGCACATGCCTGTAATCCCAGCTACTCGGGAGGCTGAGGCAGGAGAATCGCTTGAACCTGGGAGGCGGAGGTTGCAGTGAGCTGACATCACGCCACTGGACTCCAGCCTGGGCGACAGAGCAGGACTCCGTCTCAAAAAATATATATATAAAAATAAATAGATAAATAAATAAATAAATTCCAGGTCACACAGCCATGAAGAGTAGAGCTGAGAGTCAGAGCTGAGCAGTCTGGTTCTAGAGGCTGTGCTCCAAGCACCGCACCTTACTGCCTCCCTTGTATATGTGATAGAATCCTCCAAGCACCGCACCTTACTGCCTCCCTTGTGTATGTGATAGAATCCTCCAAGCACCGCGCCTTAATGCCTCCCTTGTGTATGTGACAGAATCCTCCAAGCACCGCGCCTTAATGCCTCCCTTGTATATGTGATAGAATCCTCCAAGCACCGCGCCTTACTGCCTCTCTTGTGTATGTGACAGAATCCTCCAAGCACCGCACCTTACTGCCTCCCTTGTATATGTGATAGAATCCTCCAAGCACCGCACCTTACTGCCTCCCTTGTATATGTGATAGAATCCAATGCAGCTCATTCTTTCTACTGCTGCAACTCACAACTGATTTCACTACCATCAAGATATCACAATCGGCAGCTGCCAGTTGTGAGATACCTAGGTGATCCTTAGGTCTCTTCCAGCTCTAGGGTTCTCTGGCAATTTACAATGAAAATCAGACCGTTATCTGTCCTGATGGACTTAGGCTAGACTAGATGGTTTGATCTATGAGTAAATTTCCAAATGTCAGGATGAAAATGCCACTGTGCCAGTATCAACAGCAAAGGAAGAAGATTAATCAGCTTTCTTATGTGTAAAATTGAAATGAGCTCTTGTGCAGTAATTCTAGAATACTGCGTTCATGAGTATTCATACCTCACTGAGTTTCCGGTGTAAATTCTGAAACTCGCTGAGCCTTCTGGGGACCGTCCAGTTCTTAGTTTCAACTCCTCCAACTTCTTGTAGGCTTACCATGACAAAGTAACATGGCAATTGCTCACCATTCTCTTCTGTAACCTTGGGGAAAACATCAAAATCGATACTTACAAAAAGCATGGTGAATGGATGCAGAAGGAAGATCTGTAAGTGTCCCCCTAAGGAGATTTCCCTCCCCGTGATGTACCTTGCAGGATCCCTGGAACTGTGAATATTATAGATTTTATTCTAGTAACTAAGATACATTATATGGCATAGTAGACTAAAATAGGGGGATTTCCTGGGTGGGCCTAACCTAAAAGCAAAGAGTTTTTGCTAGCCAGTGATACGAAAGGAAGTCAGAAAGATTCAAATCCCAAGAAGGAAACCAGCAAGAAAACAGATATCTCAGTTCTATGACCAAAGGAACTGAATTCTGCCAACAATCTGAATAAGCTTGGAAGTGGGTTTTACTGAGTCTTCAGACAAGACTTTAGTCTGGGAAACATACTGACTTCGGCCTGTGATACAATCAGCAGGGAGCCAATGCATCCTGTGCTGGACTCCAGACCTACAGAGGTGTGACCAATAAATGGGTGTTGCTTTAAGCATGAAATGTGTTACACAGCAAAAGAAAACTATACAGCAGGCTCATCCTGTGTTACTTTGAAAAGAAATTAACAGCAAGCAAACAGCCATCAAATACATCAGAAACTCTCTCAGAGAAGGATGGGGGCACCTCCAGTTTAATTTCAGGATCCAACAAGCCCTGATTTCTATTCTCATTAAATTTTACATTGGGAGATATAATTTCCTTTACCTCCCAACTGAGATATTGTATGTGTGCATGCGTGCACACGTGCACATACACACACACTAATCCAGAATAGGCCACTACTATACTTAACATAAGAAGCTAAGAGAAAACAATAGAAAATACATTGAATTTGAGCTTGAATTAGCATCATAAATTGAATGAGAGAGAAGGAGTCAATAAGAAAGGCCAGGGAAAGAGATGAGAGGTTTACTGAGCACCCACTCTGTGAGGCAGGATTACCACCCCACTGTAAGGATAGGGAAGTAGAGGCACAGACAGGGTCCCTGACTTTCCTAGGACCACACCTCTGATGAGTCAGCTAGCACAGAATACAGGCACGTCCAGCTTGATGAAAATGCATCCTCCGCACCTTTCTGGGACTGCTTCGTGAGCTCTAGACGTCAGGTGCCCCTTTCCCATTTCCACTATCTTTTCACCAGCCAGAGTGCTTCAGCAAGCAGCAACTGACGGCCAGGGCACAGACCCTTGTGATGGTTTCCACTCCTTCCTTCCCTTTCTGCTCCCCCTAATATCTGCCTTTGGAAGATGATTTTAATACACTGTGAAGTGTCAGGGCCAGCTCTAAGCAAAACTGAGGAGGTAACAGAATTTGTATTCTGTCCTCCAGCAGCCTCTTGTAGCAGCTTTTGCCATTACATTCCCCTGAGTCCATTACCTTCCTACAGTTCCACCCAAACAGTAACTATCTGCAGTTACTGAGGGTTTCTATGTGGGAGTCTGAGGCTGGGCATGACCTTCCCTGATCCACTGCTCTCTGCCTTCCATGGAGAAATGTGTATTGTTCAGCAGCTTAGCTTAATGGGAGCACCAGCAAGTGCCAAAGACATACAGAAGGCACCTGGTTAGGCCCTCATGTACTGTGTGTCCCTTCAGGGTAGGTCTTGGAGAACATGCTTTGTTTTGCTATCCAACCTAGAGATAAATTTAAGGTCGTGAATTTTGACCCTCTCCCAACCCCTGTAAGAGTGTCAAGCCACTGGCTTGAGGGAAAGGCAGGGAAGAACAAAGATAAGCCATATTAAATACCAATGAGGACAAAAAAAAGCACTCTCTTGCTCAGGACCTTGATATTTGCTTATAATGTGGTTATGCAAATGACATTATATGACTTTCATCTCCAGGTTTCCACTTGACAGACAGTAGGGCAGGGGAGAAGGAAGTTGTCAACAGTAATGACATAAACGCCTATAAGCGTCTTTCCTCCTAAATGAAATTATTTTTATAGACAAATGAAAAGGGATACAGTATATTCTACAAACTCTTATCTCATATCCCTCAAAAAAAACAGCAAAATAATTCAAAAAACATATTCATTGAAGATTTTAGAGATACTGAAATTTAAGCAATTGAAGTTGGCAGGATGAAACTATCAGATGCACTTACATTTTTAGTTTTTCATCTCCAAGATTCAAAAAGTGCTTTCATTTCAACTCTTAATGGAAAAATAAATTGGTAATTCAAGGACATTAAAGCTGCTTTCAATTCCAGTGAACAGGAAGAACTTGCTGTTTGAAGTGGAGTGAGATCAGATCTATACCAAGCAGCCTTGTATAGTTCCCAGTCATGAGTGAACCGGAGTGAAAATTGTGGGGGAAGGAAGGTAGGACAAATATGGTCTAAAAGAATGAGTGTAAGTTTTCTACCCTCAATCTTCATTCTTCAGGATAAAATCTTTTTTAATAAAGTCAAACTTTTAAAATAAATTAAGAGGAAAAGCAGTCAAAACTACCTCTCCACTGGTGATGGAGGCTTTCCACATGCCAAGGTTTTCACACCACCAATCCGTTCTTGCCATGTGCAGCTGAAGGTCTGTGCGTTCTTTCTCTATTAGGATTATTTCATCCTTCAACTTGGAAACAATCTGCCACAGGGAAAATATCCTGGGAGTTATGAAAACACTTAAAACTATGCAATTCAGCAAAGTAGCAGGATTCAAAGTCAACACACAATAATCAGCTGTGTTTCGATACACTAACAGTGAATAATCCAAAAACAAAATTAAGAAAAAAATTCCACTTACAATAGCATTAAAAAAATTCTTAGGGATTAATGTAAACAAGGAAGCGAAATAATTCTACAATGAAAACTACAAAACACTGATGAAAGAGACTAAAGAAGACAAATATCTGGAAAGACATCCCATATTCATGGATTGGAAGAATTAATATTGCTGTCAGTACTACCAAAAGCAATCTACAGGTTCAATGCAATCCCCAACAAAATTTCAATAACTTTTTTTTGCAGAAATAAAAAAAAAATTCATTCTAAAATCCATATAGAATCTCAAGAGATCCTGAATGGCTGAAACAATTTTGAAGAGAACGAAGTTGGAGGACTCAGACTTCTTGACTTCTAAACTTACTACAAAGCTACAATAATCAAAACAGTGTGGTACTGGCTTAAAGACAGACATATAGAACAAGGGAATATAGCCCAGAAATAATATATGGTAAAGTGATTTTCAACAAGGGTGTCGAGACCATTCAATAGGGAAAGAACAGTGTTTTCAACAAATCATGTTGGGAAAATTGGACATTCACAGGCAGAAGAATGAAGCTGGATCCTTGCCACCTAACCCTATATATAACAATTAAAGTAGATCAAAGATCGAAACAAAATAGCTAAAAATTATAAAACTTACAGAATATAGGGTGCCGTGCATGGTGGCTCACAACTGTAATCCTAGCACTTTGGGAGGCTAAGGCAGGTGGATCACCTGAGGTCAGGAGTTGGAGACCAACCTGGCCAACATGGCAAAACCCTGTCACTACTAAAAATATAAAAATTAGCCAGGTGTGGTGGAGGGGGTTGGGGGCGGCGCCTATAATCCCAGTTACTCAGGAGGCTAAGGCAGGAGAATCGCTTGAACTCAGGGGTTGGAGGTTGCAGGGAGCCGAGATCGTGCCACTTCACTCCAGCCTGGGCAACAGAGTGAGACTCCGTCTCAAAAAAAAAAAAAAACACACAGAATATAGAGGGAAAGTTTCATCACATTGGATTTAGCTATGATTTCTTGGTTATGACACAAAAAGCACAGGCAACAAAAGAAGAAATAGACAAACTGGAATTCATCAAAATTAAAAACTCTGTGCATCAAAGAACACTATTGATATAGTAAAAATGCAAACCACGAAATATTTAAAAAATCTGCAAATCACCTCTCTGACAGAGGTTTCATCTCCAGATTATAGAAAACTCCTAAAACTCAACAAAACCATAAACAACCCAATTTAAAAATGCACAAAGGATTTGAATAGACATTTCTCCAAAGAGGATACACAAATGGCCAATAAGGACATGAAAGGATGCTCACCACCACTAATCATTAAAGAAATGCAAATCAGAACCAAAATAAGATACCACCTTAATAAGATAGTAGTAGGATGACTACTATCCTAATGGTTATGAAATAAGAAATATAAGATGAATTGGTTATGAAATAAGAAATATCCTAATGGTTATGAAATAAGAAAATAACGAGTGTTGGCAGGGAGGACATGGAGAGATTGGAACCCTTGTGCACTGCTAGTTGGAATGTAAAATGGTATAGATGTTGTGGTAGAGAGTTTAATGATTCCTCAAAAAATTAAAAACAGAATTAGCATAGAACCCAGCAATTCTACTACTAGGTATATACCAAAAAGAATTGGAAGCAAGATCTTTTTAAGAGGTATTTGCATACCCACATTCATTGTAACATTACTAACAATAGCCAAGAAGTGGAAGTAAATCAAGTGTCTATTGCTGGATAAATAGTTAGCAAAACAAAATGTGGTATAAACATGTAATGAAATATGATCAGCCTTAAAAAGCAATGAAATTCTAACACACGCTACCACATGGATGAACCCTGAAGACATTATTCTAAGTGAAAAAAGCCAGTCACAGAAGGACAAATGTTGTGTGATTCCACTAACATCAGGTACTTGGAGTAGTTAAATTCATAGAGATAAAAAATAGAATGATGGTTTTTCCAGAGCATGAGGGAGGGGAAAATGGGGAGGTATTGTTTAATAGTTTCAGTTTTTCATGATGAGAAAAGTTCTGGTGATGGATGGTGGTGACAGTTGCAAAACACTAAAATGCTACTGCACAGCAAAAGAAATAATCAGCAGAAATAACAGACAACCCACAGAGTGGGAAAAAAATCTTCATGATCTATACATCCAACAAAGGACTAATATCCAGAATCTACAGAAAACTCAAACAAATTAGCAAGAAAAAAATAAACAATCCCATCAAAAAGTGGGCTAAGGACACGAATAGACAATTCTGAAAAGAAGATACACAAATGGCCAACAAGCATATGAAAAAATGCTCAACATCACTAATCATCAGGGAAATGCAAATCAAAACCACAATGCGATACCACCTTACTCCTGCAAGAATGGCCATGATAAAAAAATAAAAAGATAGTAGATGTAGGAGTAGATGTGGTAAAAAGGGAACATTTTTACACCGTTGGTGGGAACGTAAACTAGTACAACCACTATGGAAAAAAGTATGGAGATTCCTTAAAGAGCTAAAAGATCTACCGTTTGATCCAGCAATCCCACTACTAGGGATCTACTCAGAGGAAAAGAAGTCATTATACAAAAAAGATACTTGCACAGCCATGTTTACAGCATCACAATTTGCAATTGCAAAAATATGGAACCAGCCCAAATGCCCATTAATCAACAAGTGGAAAATGTAGTCTGTATAGAGCACAGAATACTACTCAGCCATAAAAAGGAATGAAATAATGGCCTTCACAGCAACCTGGATGGAATTTGAGACTATTATTCTAAGTGGAGTAACTCAGGAATGGAAAACCAAACATCGTATGTTCTCACTCATAAGTGGGAGCTAAGCTATGAGGACACAAAGGCATGAGAATGATACACTGGACTTTGGGGACTTGGGAAAGGGTTGGCGGGGGATGAGGGATAAAAGACTACACACTGGGTACAATGTACACTGCTTGGGTGATAGGTATACCAAAATCTCAGAAAGCACCACTAAAAAATTTATTCATGTAACCAAACACCACCTGCTCCCTAAAAACGTATTGAAATAAAAAATAAATTTTTAGAAGTAGCTAAAATGGTAAATGTTGTTATATATACTTTACCAGAATTTACAAAAATAAATAATATCTTTTAAATGCTATGCTCGCCATCTCTTCAGATCTCTTTTATGAGAAAGCCTATAGGGTTATGTAACTCTGTAGTTTGAGGACAGCAGCTTTGCTCCAAAACTCTCCTGAATATGCAGTGTGCAAGGGCTCTTTCCTTCCTCAGAAAGCCTACAGGAAGCACTCCTTGCCTATGCCATTGTCCTGCATTTTAACATCAATAAGTACTGTGATCATTTTATTTTCATGTCTGTTTTAATTCCATAACCAGCATATTTGCTCCTTGAGGGCAGGTGTCACTCTATGTTACACTGATTCTTCACAGTGACTCGCACAGCACCATGCATTTACTCATCACTTGTGTTACTTAGATTCTTCATGGTTAATGGTTTACTCCCAATATTACCCTAGAATTGGACAGTTTGCTCCAGACTCACAAAATCTCTGTGGAGGCAAAAAACAAAAAACAAAAAAACCTAGGCAGTAAATTTCAGGAATCAAACTAAAAGGCTAATTTTACCACCCAGTAGCTAATTACACTGCTGGTACAGAGATCTGTGAGAGAAGAAGGGTTAAGCAAACCACTGGCATTCTGTGTTGAGGAGAAGTCTGCACCACTATGTCTCACAGGAAAATGATCTGATTAATAATTAGATATTTAATCCAGAAAAGTCTTACTATTACAAGATTTTGGGGGTGGGATATGTTAATTGCTAGATTGTCAAAACCTTTTTCAACATCAATCTTAAGGTTTTTTGTTTTTGTTGTGTGTGTGTGTGTGTGTGTGTGTGTGTGTGTGTGTGTGTGAGACTTTTTCACTCTATTGCCCAGGCTGGAGTGCAATGGCGTGATCTCGGCTGACTGCAACCTCCACTTCACGGGTTCAAGTGATTCTCGTGTCTCAGCCTCCCGAGTAGCTGGGATTATAGGCACCCGCCACCACGACAGGCTAATTGTTATATTTTTAGTAGAGGCGGGGTTTTACCACATTGGCCAGGCTGGTCTCAAACTTCTGACCTCAGGTCATCTGCCTGCCTTGGCCTCCCAAAGTGCTGGGATTACAGGCATGAGCCACCACTCCTGGCCAATCTTAAGTTTTTAAAAAAATTATTAATTTTTTACCAACATAAGTAAACGACAAAAGGAGGACTATGTCTTCTTCTGGAGAGAAGGATCAGCTGCCTTCCATCCTCAGAGCCCTTTCAGCCCTGTGCACAACTGCCAGAAGCAGAGTGCTCCGTGAGCAGCCTGTGGACAATCTGATTACACAGCAAATGTAGATCAGAGAGTAGAGTTCAAGTTAAGCCACAGTACCAGTGAATCGCTCCAAGTTTCTTGAGAATTCTTTCATATAATTGTAGCTAAGAATGTTTATTCCATGGTTATCAGAAGTTATTTTAAGAAAGGCTGAATAATGTCTTTCAAACAAACCAAGCAGAAAATAATTCAATGAATATTCTCTAACTCATCTTTCATACTGTTACCCATAGATGCATTTTAATTTATAATGAGATGAATCCAGAATAAATAAGACAACTGTTCTTAAAGAACATGCCATATTGCAGATACTGATTATCTGCCATGCCAGCGAATTCTGTTTATCATCTCAGACATGTTCTTGTCACTGGGAAGACTATCAGGCTTTCGAGTTCTGTATGTAGTAAATGGGAGTGACTCCACATAAGGGGGAGAATGAACTATTTCTGATGACAATCCAGGAAACCTGGCCATTTGTTTCCTTTTCAGAATACCATTAACGCTCTCTTATTTTTTATTGATTGATTGATCGATGGAGTCTTGCTGTGTCACCCAGGCTGGAAGTGCAGTGGCATGATCTTGGCTCACGCAACTTCTGCCTCCCGGGTTCAAGAGATTCTCCTGCCTCACCCTCCTGAGTAGCTGGGATTACCATGCATGCCACCATGCCTGGCTAATTTTTGTATTTTTAGTAGACACAGGGTTTCATCATGTTGGCCAGGCTGGCCTCGAGCTCCTGACCTCAAGTGATCCACCCGCCTCGGCCTCCTAAAGTGCTGGGATTACAGGTGTGAGCCACCGCGCCTAGCCACTTTTTTTTTTTTTTTTTTGAGACTATTGCCCAGTCTGGAGTGCAGTAACATGATCACGGCTCACTGCAGCCTTGACTTTCCAGATTCAAGAGATCTTCCTTTCTCAGCCTACCTAGTAGCTGGGGACTACCAGCATCCACTACCATGCTGGGCTGATTTTTTTTTTTATTTTTACTAGAAATGGGGTCTCCCTATGTTGCCCAGGCTGGTCTCAAACTCCTGGGCTCAAGCGATCCACCCATCTCGGCTTCCCAAAGATTACAGGCATGAGCCATTGTGCAGCCAGCCCATCACTAACAATTATTAAAGTGATGCTCACATTAAACTTCTTCCTACACAATTTTGTAAAAACATTACTACTAACCAAGACAACACACCTTTGCAGGACTTTCTTCCTTCTTCTTTTTTGCTTTTTCTTTGTTAAAGAAAACTCACTGTTTAACTAGACAGTAACTGGATTATAGATGAATAGATATTTTAATTGTAAATTGCTGATAGGCTCATGATACCAGTTTTTCTTACATCTTGTTTCAGGAATATTCTCCTACTATAAAAGCATTTGAATGTCCACAAAAAGAATACTAAAGAAGACTCAATAGGATTGGGCACCTGCTCACAGAAAACCCAATGTGAGTCACTGAAATTGCTTTATTCTAAGTTGCTTTCATGTTGACCGCTTGAAATCCTCAAACACACATTCAGAAAGTGCCAGAGACCAATCTGGCAGATCAAAGAGCATCAGCCATATCTATATGAGAGAAACCTCCTTGTTGAATTCTAAAGAGCAAAACACAAAGCAAAAAGCCACACCACAGCTTGGGTTTGAGAAAGGCCAATTAGTGAAATGCTGTTTACATTTTTAAACTTTCAAATTGCTGCTTTCTAGCAAAACAATGTATTTCCTGAACAATACTGTAAGGTTCCCTAAATTGCACCTGCAGCAGTTGAAAGAAAACATCTTTTTTTATTCAAAAGATTGTCCTTGAGTATTTAATTAAATTCCAGAAATGACCCTGGCACAAGAGAAAGCTTTGCCCCTTCTCCAAAGGCCCTGTAGGCAAAGCAGATGTAAAGAACAGAGTTGCTCACAGTTGAAACTGAGAAAGAACTCCAAACCATAAGAGATTAAAAACAAATGCTTTTCTAATTCTATCCTAGAAGCAAAAAAATAACAATGGAACTTGTTCATGGTTAAAATTATTTTAAAAGAAACTGACACTTCTCAACCTCAACTGAAAACTACCAAATTAGACAAATGTTAACTTTCAAAGACAACCTTGAAAGCAAAGAGTTACCTTCTTGTCAGGTTTTGGTGCATTTTGAATAGAATTTAGAGCTTGCCTTTTATATTCAAGTTTCTCATTTAGTTCTCGCAGTTTGTTTACAGCAAAACTGGCTTGTTCATTGATCTGATTGGTACCATCATCCACGGCTTCCTCACCAGCCTCATCTCTTGGGCCCTAGGGGGAGAGTCACATACCACCATATCTTATAATGATAGAAAATTCAGTAATTATTATCGGTCACGATACCCTGTTGCAAAATACTACATTCCAGTAAGGAAAGAATACTAAAGTAGAAAATTTAGACTGCTTTTTCTCAGCAAAGAGAAAAATCAAAGTCTTTGGAACCAAAGTAAATGGCGTTCAGAATTGCAAAACGGAAACATTTTATAGCTTAAAGAAAGGAGGGGAAATCCCATGCCATTATTTCCCAAGTGGTACCTCTAAGGAAATCTGCATAGAACAAGGGACGGCAACTCAGTTATCTTCCCAACTCAACCTGAATATTCTGTACCTAATGTTCAACCAAGACTGACATTTGGGTTCTTTCCAGTCTCCTATTATTAAAAACTCATGCAAGCCCCTCTAAAAGAAAATTACCATATTCCCATGAGTGAAAGTATTTTCAGTATATACTTTGTTCAGTCCTTCTCCTGATATATTCTACAAATCAATAGGTATATTATTTTACAAGTAAAATAGCATTTGAAAGTGACTTAATATTCATAAGAACTCTGTAACTTGGAAAAGTCTTGCTAGATTACCCAACAGCACATGAATTAGATTCAAGAGCAGCAACAGCAATGCAGGGCACTGCAGAGAATTGCTGAGATCTAGCTTCTGGTTTATCCTTAACTTTCTTCCAGGTTTTCTTGTTCCAGCTTTTCGTAATTGTAACAAACAGTAAATTAAAATGTTTTCAAGGAAAAATAAAGTACCAATGGTCATAGAAAAATAGGCTGTTGTCATGGGTTTTTTTGTTTGTTTTTTTGAGACAGAGTCTTACTCTGTTGCTCAGGCTGGAGTGCAGTGGCGTGATCTCAGCTCACTGCAACCTCTGCCTCCCGGGTCAAAGCCATTCTCCTGCCTCAGCCTCCCGAGTAGCTGGTACTACAGGAGCCCACCACTACGTCCAGCTAATTTTTGTATTTTTAGTAGAGACAGGGTTTCACCATGTTGGCCAGGCTGGTCTCGAACTCCTGACCTCAAGTGATCCACCTGCCTCGTCCTCCCAAAGTGCTGGAATTACAGATGTGAGCCACTGTGCCCGGCCCATATGTTCTTTTAACTGGTTGTCTATAAATAGTTATATAAAATGATATATAATTTCATACTTTGTATTCATTTGAATGGGTATTCTGCCTTCTTCATATAACGTACAATGCTGGGCATTGAGGGTATTATCATCTTCAAAAGTATCATTTTTACGTCAGCATTGTATGAGAATAATTAGAATAACAATGGCATTGAGAATTTATGAGGCGCATTCCTAATGATGCTCCTGTAATAGGTTGATTCTGCTTCATTGCTATCCCATATGTACAAAAACAAATACTATCATGCATAAACGTTTTTCTACATTTTAATTATTTTCCTAGGATAAATTTCCAAAAGTTCCCACTTCTAGAGATTATTGGAACAAAGAGTAGGAGCTCTGGAAAGGTCAGTTATGTATCAGCCCTCTTTGAATCCGAGGTGAAGGTAGACATTTCTTCCTATTTGTTTATTGTTACCTCACATCAAATGTCAGTTCACATCCTTATTCAATTTATCTGCTGAGTATAGATATTTTAATTAATTTGAATAACCTCTTTTACGGCATTTGCTGTAAAATTAACTATCTTAATTTCTGAAGTACAGAGATAACATAGATACAACAAACTGTGACCTATCAAAAATAAAATGCAATAAATAGTTTTGGACTAATCAGTTCAGTGATTTTATATGTAAAGAACCAAGTAACAAAACTTAAAAAAAAAAGAATGTATATGAAGTTCAGACAACCAACAGTTCAGAGACCTCAATTAGATGACTTCTAATACCATCAAGAGCAAGCACTTGAGTCCTCAGGGCTGGAGATAGTGAACTGGGCAGAAAGAAAAAATCCACGATAAATCATAATCTTTCTATGTAAGATGACTATAAAACAATTTGTTTCTCTTCGTACAAACCTTAAAACTCATAGGGGTCACTAACAGTAAATAAGAGGTGGTAACTGGAGCTATCCAAAATGATTGCATATGCTATAAGAAAACTAGACTTAATGTGTGGCTTAGCTAACAGAGCAGGAGCATCGCCATCTTGGACAAGCACCGCCATTTTAAAGTTTCCCTTGACCAAAAACTGCCTAAATCCAAAGGGCATCAGCCTAATGGCTAAGGTCAGCAAGATCATAAACCACAAATGCCATCTCCAACCAGAAACATTCCAACCCTAAGATAAATCCCTCCCTGACCAGAGACATGCCAGTCCCAAGACAACCTCCCCTCCAGCCAGGGAGATGTCAGCCCCAAGATAACCTCCCCTCTGACCAGAGACATTCCAACCCTGCAATAAACTTCTCCTCCACACAGAAACATTCCAAGCCTGTGATAAGCTCTCTCACCCTAAAACCAATAAATACTCTTAGTCTGCAAGAGAGAGAGTTTTCCTGACTGAAATCAGCCAGAAGCCCCTCTCAGGTTTATTCTCCAAAATAAACCTGTCTTTGACTATTGAGCCACTTTTTGTGCTTCTTTCCTTTCATTAACTCTTACATTTGATGCTGATACCCAGGATGGGTGTTGGGGATAGAGGCTCTCTCACAACCCAGGAAGCAGTGGGCAGCAGCAGCCCATCCCACTAGATCCTGAGAGTCTCTGGCCACCCACCCAGTCTTGTCTCTCACTTCACTTTTCGAGTGATTTGCGTGAGGAAGACAACTAACCTGAAGGGGACTGTGAGGCTCAGGCTGGGGCTACTCACAGGTGGGTTCTTAAAACCCTCAGGTCTCAGGAATCCACCTCTGACCGCCCACAATGGGTATTTAGCTCTCTAACCTTTGTCCCCTCCTCCTCCCTCATCCTCTCTTCTCTCTCTCTCTCTCTCTCTGTGTCTGTCTTCCTCATGCGGCTCCAATCCAAGAGGCCCTTTGCTGATTCCAACTGGAACATCCAACATCGGACACTAATCCAGCCGATTCGTAAAATCTGCCTTCCCCAGGCTTTCAAGCGGTACCCACGAAAGTCAGGTCTGCTGTCCTGATCCTCAGAGGACCAGTAGGACTAAGCTAGAAGAAATCTTGGGGATGCCCAGTTTCTTCTTAGCTTAACCGTCCTCTTTAGGAAAGAGGACGCTGGGTCTCTGTCTTTTGTCTGGGGATGCCTGGAACAAAAACAGACACCCTCGGCCTCTTCTCACCAGTCCACATGGATGCCAAACAATCCCACATTCCCACATCCTCTCCACTGAGCTGTCTCCTTCACAACCTAACCAAATTTGGCTTATAAGAAGCATAAAGCCAAAGCGTTTGGTTTTTCATTGCAACACAGCCTGGCCCCAATATAAATTAGATAATGACAACCGATGGCCTGAAAACGGCACCTTTGACTTTCAAATTCTCAGGGACCTTGACAACTTTATAACCACGAATAGCAAATGGCAAGAAGTTGTCTATATTCTTTTCTACCTTAGATCCCAACCCTCCCTATGTCAAGCTTGCACCCCTCATGAAATCCTTCTTCTTAATGAAAACCCTCCCCGGGTCTCTCCTTCCTCTGAAACTCCTTCCTTTGAAACCCCTTCCTTGGAAACCCCTTTTGAGCCTGCAGATGAACCCCCTCCGTATTCTCATTTCCCTGCATCTGCTCCTCGCCTGTTCAAACCTCCAATCTGGTGGCCCCTCCTGCCCCCAAGCCTTCAGTCCCAAATCCTGCTCCTCCTCCTTCTCTACCTGTTACCTGTTCAAAAACTACTCCAACCAGTCAATCCGCCATTCTCCCTCTCCAGGAAGCGCCTGGGGCTAAAGGCACTGCTCGCGTTCATGTCCCTTTCTCCATGTTTGATTTGTCGCAGATCAAATAGCATCTGGGATCTTTTTCTGAAAATCCCTCTCATTATCACAGGGAATTCCTACACATAACCCAATCCTTTAATTTAACTTGGCATGACATTTATATAATTCTAACCTCCACCCTCACCCCTGATAAGAAAGCGCTCAGCTTAATTAAAATGGATATCCAAGCTACGAGTATATTCAAAAGGCCTTTATGTTTTCCTCTTCATAAATCTTGTTTTCCTGAAAAAGGTTTTTTCCTAGTCAACTGAATTACTTTTTTCCACTCTGTCTTGCCACTCTTGGTGCACGTATGAAAGACCCTAAAATGACACCTGGTGGCCTGGGGCTCCTTGGGAAAACAGAAAAAGTGCCACAAATCCCGTTTTGGGAAAAAATCTGTTTTCCTTATGGAACCCCTGGAATTAGAGGTGAATAAGTACCTCTCAAAATCTGTCTTTGTCTTCCAGCTATACTTGTTTATTAGGCCCTGGAAATTGTTTTCCTAGCCCTGTTCTTAAAGGGCCTCACCCAAAGGCCAATAATCCAATTGGGAAATTAGAAAAAAAAAATCTTATAACTACTGGATCTTCTTCTGGTTGCCTGTGTGGCTATACATGTGTTGTGTGCAATGTCTATTAAAAGAACTCTAATTAATTGGCCTAAGAAAAATAAGTGCTTAAATCAAATATTTTTAAGGGAAAAGTAAAAGCTATGGGATCTTTCAGTTCACGAGACTAAAACTTACTGGTACAGTAAGATCAGAAATGTCTTAAGAACTGCCAGCATACATTTTTGTTTGCATTTATCGATCAAGCAATTTCATACTTATCTCTGCCGAATACTATAAAGTGTCAAAATTTGGCATAGAGGCTACAAAATTATAACTCAGCCCAGACAGAATAATCTTTGCTTGTGTAATTTTTTAATAAATGAAACATTAATATTGGTTTAATAAAGTTAACTACATCTTGAACTATTTAATGAAATACCCTAACTTCTAATCTGGTGGCCTTAGGCAGTCTAGTCCACAGACATGAAGGAAGTTTGTTTTGTGAAAGGACTGTTACCATCTTTGTTTCAAAGCTAAACTGTAAACCAAGTTAATAAACAAAAACAGATAAGGCCTGGGGACATGTGAAATTAGCCATACCCCCTAGCTATGCAAAAGATATTAAAGAAAAGATAATTTATATAAAAAATTATCTTATATGGTAAATTCTTGTCCTAAAGTAAATTAACTGGTTGTTTAAAGAGAGGGATGTTTACAACAAATGAGAAAGTTGAGGCATGTCAGAGATTGTCTGTGTAAGTCATGAAAAATTTTATAAAAGGGAATTCATACAACAAATGTTGTACAATTTAAAAGTGATTAAGCCTCCTGAATGCTTTATAAAATGCTACTATAACTCTTAGCTGTACAACCTGCCTGCTTTGCAGCTAGGGAAGGCCCAGGAGACATGGAGTTAAATGCTGGAGTAAGTCAGACCTTATCTGCATTTCTGTCTAGGTCCTAGGCTCTCCACCTAGTACATAATTAAAATCCCAAACTTACCAACAAAAGTAAAGGTTGCTAAAAGTTAACAGTGTAACATGTATTTAAGACTATTGAAAAAACATTTTACGTATACTTTTGGTAAAAAGATTATAAGGAGGCATAAGAATGTGGATTTTTACCTAGATTAAAAGGTTAAAGAATTGTTTTAAGTTGAATAAAATAAAAATGAAGGTTTAAGCAAGTTTTGGAAGGTTAATTGTAAAGGAAATTCCATGTGTAAACATATTGGCTAAAGTTGAAGGGGTATCATCCAGTTTTTCTGTAAATTGAGCATTAAAATAAAAGCACAACAGGTTTTTCTTAAAGCACTAACCTGCTCTTTAACAAAAATTATAAAGGGTTAAAAAGGGTCTATAAAAATCTTAACTTGTGGTCAAACATTAAAATAGGGTAAATGTGTCTACAGGTTTATTAAAAATTGAGTTTAACATTAATAGCACACTAATATAAAAGTAAAATTTGGCTTATTTGGTATAAAATCATATAGGAAGAATTGTCAAATATAAAATGGTGTTCGGCTCTCTTTGGGCTATGTTTGTATAAATAAGTTACTGGTATGTGTTCCAACGTTTTGGGAGACGCCTATAATTCTGATATATCTTAATGTATGTTATCAGTAGTAATTATAATTGTTATGTTAAAATTATTTTGTGCCACACAGGTAACAGATTTCCTTGTCAATTGTGTCTTTAACTATGGCTACCCTAAAACTTTTGGTCATCCATAAACAATTGTTGTCTTGTTTTGGTCCTCTTTAGAAGGTGGTTTTATAATCAGCTATAAAGCTCTAACAGGTGCTCTCAAATGCAGGTTTCTGATAACTTTGGAGATTGTGACATCAGAATAGAGGAAACATGTTCAGGACTCTTGAATAGCTAAAATGTTCATTAATGTCAAGCAGGACAGGAATTAACTGCACGAACTGAACTAACAGGAGACTGGAGTGACCTTTCTGACGTTTTGCTTAAAATATTGCTAATCCTTTGTTTTGCTTTTCAAAGTCAAAGTAACTTTTCTTTTGGGCTACTGACAGTTTTCAACAATTTAGTATACTCCCATGAACAAAATTTGGAGCATACTTGTTTCTCTCTACCTGACTTTCTCCAGAATTTGGAAACCATCTCTGAGTATTCTTAAGTTATGGCAATATAGTTATTTGCATAAGTGCAATAAGAATCTGTTTTCTTTTGTAACAGGACACAACTGGAAAAACTGGTTATTTTTACCCATGCTTCGACTGGAATGGTGTGCCTTCCTTTAAGGAATCAAACTTGACTTATGAAGCCAATAAAGCCCTTGGAAAACTGGCCCCATATTTTGTGTACACAGTCCCTGTACAGGGTTTCTGATCTGTGATGAGTAAAGAATGTCACTTTTTGACAGGCCAGGAACCCCAAGTTATCTTGGAATCTCAAGAGGAGAAAAATCACCCAACTCATAGTTATCTGACAGTACAAATCCATGGCTGGGCTTGGCTTTAAAAAGGTCTTATCTCAGATTCCTTCTGCAGAACAAAGTTTCATCAAAGCCAATTTAAAAGGTCTATTTAATAAATAATTCTTCTTACTGCGCTGTATGCAAATAATTAAACCAATATAATACAGCAAATCAGTCCTACCATGATTTGTCTTTTTTTTTTTTTTTTTTTGAGACGGAGTCTCACATTGTCGCCCAGGCTGGAGTGCAGTGGCACGATCTTGGCTCACTGCAACCTCTGCCTCGCGGGTTCAAGTGATTCTCCTGCCTCAGCCTCCCAAGTAGCTGGGACTACAGGCGCATGCTATCACACCCAGCTAATTTTTTGTATTTTTAGTAGAGACGGGGTTTCACTGTGTTGGCCAGGCTGGTCTCAAACTCCTGACCTCATGATCCACCCACCTCAGCCTCCTAAAGTGCTGGGATTACAGGCGTGAGCCACTGCACCTGGCGATTTGTCTTTTAATAATGGTTACTAACAGAAAATTACACATGGACCTTTCCAAACATGTGCCTCTGCCTCTCATTGGGTGAGGAATGTTGTTTCTATCTCAATCAATTGGGCCTAGTAAGAGACACTGCTGAAAAACTTAAAGAAAGGGCTAAAAAGCTAAGGGAATACCAAAATAACCAAACAGATTCTTGGTTTGGAAACAAAATCATAGCATTGGTGATCCCATTCCTGGGCTCTCTCCTAATAATATGCCTAGGACTAATGTTCTTACCCTGCCTAATTAACCTTTTTCAAAAATTTTTAAATGACAGGATTACAGCTATTTCACAGCAACTACCCAAAAACATCTACAGACGGCATTACTCTTACAGTCAATCCAAGACCAGAAAACTCTCCGTCCCCTCATCAGTAGGAAGTAGCCAGAAGGAACACGCTGCCCCTTGTCCTTTTTAAGGGTCTGGATTGACAGAGCAGGAGCATCGCCATCCTGGACAAGCACCGCCATTCTAAAGATCCCCTTGATCAAAAACCACCTAAATCCAAAGGGCATCAGCCTAATAGCTGAAGTCAGTAAGACCATAAACCACAAATGACATCTCCAACTAGAAACGTTCCAACCCTAAGATAAATCCCTCCCCGACCAGAGACAAGCCAGCCCCGAGATAACCTCCCCTCCAGCCAGAGAGATGTGAGCCCCAAGATAACCTCCCCTCTGATCGGAGACATTCCAACCTTGCAATAAACTTCTCCTCCACACAGAAACATTCCAAGCCTGTGATAAGCTCTCTCACCCTAAAACCAATAAATACTCTTTAGTCTGTAAGAGAGAGTGCTCCTGACTGAAATCGGCCAGAAGCCCCTCTCAGGTTTATTCTCCAAAATAAACCTGTCTTTCGTGTTTCTTTCCTCTTTATTTAACTCTTACATTAGGAAGTTTTCTTTTGGAGCATTTTAATTTCTTCTGCCTTCTTTAAACTCCAAAATATTTCCTTTAACTTCTCCCACATTCCCTACCTCTCCTCATTTTTTCCCCATCCCTTCTCTCTTCCAGGGCTATATAGTTCTACTGATTTTCTTAGCTGGTCTAACCCATAAATGTCCCACCCTACAGACTTTCTGCCCTCACTTTTCAGGAGTCAGACCAGAGGTGTATCTAAAACAGACAGAGGGCAGGAGGTCTCTGACTCAATGCCAGCATGAGGGAAGATGTATGTCAGAGGATAAAAGGGGAAGAAAGAAATACATACAACCAGAGACAAGGTTATTGATGCTTACTTTTTATTCTATTTAAGGTCTTGTATATTAAACGATGCTACTTTTATTCTATTTAAGGTCCTGTATATTAAAAGATGAAGATGTGCATCAAATTTGGCTCACACAATATGCACCCACTTAAACATATTTAAAAGCTTATCCAATAAAAAGGAGCAGAAAGTTAAATGTGACTCACCATCTCATCCTTGTTGGAAATCATCTGTGAGGCATGTTTTTCTTCCTCTTTTATCAACAATTTCTCATACAGGTCACTGACAATAAATGAAGGGTAATACCTATCCTTTAGGGTCTCATAAACATCTTCCTGGATTTTGTAGAATACTTCAATACCTTTATTTCCTACAAGACACTGCTGAATTTCTTTGTAAAGTGATTTTTCCACAGATATTTCTTTGCTCTCCACAAAGAAATTCTGATAAATTTCACCAACTAATTGTGGAATTTCATTCTGAAAAGACAGGAAGATAAGGAAAAGTAAGACATATCATCTCTGAGAGAAATTATTTTTCTCTGAATTATTTGCATTTGAAAGTCAGAAGAAAGACATTTAAGATGCACCCTGGTATGTAGAATTTTGTGTCCATATTCAGGGTCAAGGAGCAAATGTCAGATCCTAAAAAAAAAAAAACTAATTCTTTAAATGAACATGTTGAACAGTTAACACCTGCAATTTATTTTAAACACTGGAGGGGGCAAAAACAGAATAAGAACAGTTCTCTTCCTGCAATAGATTCCTTTTCATAAATCTCAATTCCACAAGAAGAAAATGTATTAGCTAATGTCAATTTAACTTTTTACCTAATATAAGTAACTAGAAGTGCCATTTCTCATCCCAGAAAGAAGTCAATATAATAATTGTGTAACTCAGAAAAACGAGAAAAACACTCTTCAGAATGACTACTTCAGAATGATTATGTCCTAGTCAAGCTTATATTAGACAGCTTTGTCTTCAGCAATGAGCCTGTGTCATCACCAGCCTACTTCAGAAATGCAAAACATCTCTTTGGATTAACATAATCTTTACAGTTCCTCTAGAGGCATTACATTAACTCTAGAAATGTTACGCAGTTTTCAACAATAGTAAAGAGCAAAGGCATACAACTTAATGAACATAACTAATTTAACATACATCCCAGAATGTTAACATCCAAATCAATGTTGCTAGATCAAAATAAGGCTATTTCGAGGAAGCTAGCTGCTCTTACTCCATTGAAATATTTCAAATTCTCTTCCATAGTTTAGGAAAACCTTTTTAGATTGCTCTTTACAATATTCCTTTGAGAACAACCAGAAGTTATGTGGAGTCAAAACTGGTGAATAAAATGAGTAATAGAGTTAGCAACTACAATATTGGATAAAATTAGGTAATTTGGGGCTTGTAAATTAACAATAAAAGATTTAAAGACACTATAGGACTGGATTTAGTTCCTTAACAAATATAGTTTGTGACTTACAATATATTTGGCAGTCTATTCTGGCAACATTCATATGAAAATGAGTAATTCAGTGTACAATATGCTCTTGGTGCTTCCCCCCCACCTTCCCCAAGACCAAATCTTGCTGTCGCCCAGGCTGGAGTGTAGTGGCGTGATCTCGGCTTACTGCAACCTCCACCTTCCCAGGTTCAAGCAATTCTCTTGCCTCAGCCTCCCAAGTAGCTGGGATTACAGGCCCACATCACCACGCCTGGCTAATTTTTGTATTTTTAGTAGAGACAGGGTTTCACCATGTCGGCCAGGCTGGTCTTGAACTCCTGACCTTGTGAACTGTCCACCTTGGCCTCCCAAAGTGCTGGGATTACAGGCGTGAGCCACCGCATCCAGCCTCTTGGTACTTATTTTAATAAACCTCTTACAATAGTATATACTGATCACATATGTCACATGTTATAGATATTATTGTGTACATTTACAGACATATACATACATATACGGTTGCCCCTCGGGATCTATGGAAGATTGGTTCTAAGATCTCCTGAAGATACCAAAATCCGAGGACATTCAAGTCCCTGATATAAAATGGTGCAGCGTTTTTGCGTGTAACTATGTACATTCTCTCATATATTTTAAATCCTCTCTAGATTACTTATACCTAATACAACGTAAATGCTCCGTAAATGGCTGATTTTGTATTTTTAGGAAATAATGACAAGGAAAAAGGTCTGTACATGTTCAGTACAGATGCAGTTTTTTTCCCCCCAAATATTTTCAGTCCATGGTTGGTTGAATCTACAGATATAGAACCCACAGATAAGGAAGGCTGACTGTATACATAAAGACTGTGTACACTTAATTCTTAAATATTTATTGCCAAATGCAAAGCATGATGCTGATTATTGGGATCTTCACTGTAAGATGTATGTGTACCCCAAAATAATTTTATTTTCCTTTATTCATATTTAAATTGAAATAAAAGCTGGCTGCGGTGGCTCATGACTGTAATCCCAGTACTTTGGGAGGCCCACGTGGACAGATCACCTGAGGTCAGGAGTTCGCGACCAGTCTGGCCAACACGGTAAAACCCCGTCTCTACTAAAAATACAAAAATTAGCTGGGTGTGGTAGCACACACCTGTAATCCCAGCTACTCGGGAGTGTGAGGGAGGAGAACCGCTTGAACCTGGGAGGCTGAGGTTGCAGTGAGCCGAGATCGCCCCACTGCACTCCAGCCTGGGTAAAAGAGTAAGGCTCCGTCTCAAAAAAAAAAAAAAAAAATTGAAATGAAAGGCAAAGTATAAAACATGCACATTATGATATTATAAATGGCAAGATTATGAGACTGAAGTGTAGGTGAGGGGGCCAAATTCATTATAATAGTAATGTGGATATGTATATGTCTTTTTACAATGTGTAAAAAAAATACCCAAAACTAAATTCAATCTCTTGGTACATTTATAAAACCTTTTTTCCCTTGACTACACATTCAAAAGAATCTTCTGTAAAAATATAATGTAATTTTATTTGCCATTATGGGCTAGAACATAATGTCAGTATTATATTTGGTTTAAAATATTTTTAATGTATACTTATCTTGAGAAAAACAGACATGCTGCCTCACATGCCAAGTTTACATCAGCTAGTGATTAATATTCCTTTCAGCCTACATATACTACCTTGTTAGCATTCTTTAAATGTTCCACAGATTCCCAAAAACTAATCAGAGCTCTTTTGTCCATCCTTTCCATGTACATTCCAAAGTGCTCTCGGTAGAACGTATTGGCCAAGATATCTTCAAACTGAAGAATCTATTAAGAGAATTTAAGAAAACTTTTTTTAAAATCGAATTTTAAATGTCAGTTTGCTTTAACTTCCAATGGACTGATTTCTACATTTAGGGTAAAAATGCATTTTTTAAAGGAATAAAGTAAAATTTTATTGTAGTAATTTACTATTTATTTATTTAAGTAAATGTACAGGTTTGTTACATAGGTATATATGTGCTGTGGTGGTTTGCTGTACCTATTGACCAGTCCTCTAAGTTCTCTCCCCTTGCCCCCACCCCCAATAGGCCCTGGTGTGTGTTGTTCCCCTCCCTGTGTCCATGTGTTCTCATTGTTCAGCTCCCACTTACGAGTGAGAACATGTGGTGTTTGGTTTTCTGTTCCTGTGTTAGTTTGCTGAGGATGATGGCCTCTAGCTTCATCCATGTCTCTGCAAAGGACATGATCTCATTCCTTTTTGTGGCTGCATAGTATTCCATGATGTATATGTACCACATTTTCTTTATCTAGTCTATCACTGATGGGCATTTGGGCTGCTTCCATGACTTTGCTATTGTAAACAGTGCTGCAATAAACATACACATGCAAGTGTCTGTATAGCAGAATGGTTTATATTCCCTTGGGTATAGATGCAGTAATGGGATTGCTGAGTCAAATGGTGTTTCTGGTTTTAGATTCTCAAGGAATCGTCATACTGTCTTCCACAATGGTTAAAGTAATTTACATTCCCACCAACAGTGTAAAAGCGTTCCTATTTCTCCACAGCCTTGCCAGCATCCATTGTTTCTTGACTTTTTAATAATTGCCATTCTGACTGGCATGAGATGGTATCTCATCGTGGTCTTGATTTACATTTCTCTAATGATCAGTGATGCTGAGCTGAAAACATGCATTTTTTAAGGTCAGAGTTGATGTAATATAGTACTCCTGGTAAACTGAAATACCTCTTACTACATTTTAAATAGAATAAAGCTTACTGAATATTTAAAATGCACATACTGAAAAAATACCAATTTCCTATTAACCATTCACTCACTGGACAAAGATTTATTTGGCATTGTAAACCAGAAAGTATCTGAGACAGGTCTCAATCAGTTTAGAAGTTTATTTTGCCAAGATTAAGGACATGCCTGGAAGAAATAAACAAGGAGTCACAGAAACAGTCTGTGGTCTGTGCCTTTCTCCAAAGATGACTTTGAGTGCTTCAATATTTAAAGGGGAAAAGTGATAAAAAAAAAAAAAAGAATGGACTTTCCCAGGCCAGCTGTGGTGGCTCACGACTGTAATCCCAGCACTGTGGCAGGCCAAGGCGGGCAGATCACCTGAGATCAGGAGTTCAAGACCAGCCTGACCAACACGGAGAAACCCCGTCTCTACTAAAAATAAAAAAAATTAGCTGGGCGTGGTGGTGCATGCCTGTAATCCCAGCTACTTGGGAGGCTGAGGCAGGAGAATTGCTTGAACCCAGGAGGCAGAGGTTGTTGTGAACTGAGATTGCACCATTGCACTCCAGCCTGGGCAACAAGAGGGAAACTCCATCAAAAAAAAAAAAAAAAAAAAAAAGGACTTTCTCAAAGAAAATGTATTTAAATGTCTGCACCAATAATTCCAGCATGTGTATGAATAAATATGATATGTCCTTTAAAAAAAAAAAAATAAAAAAAATAAAATAAAATAAAGGGGAAAAGTGGGCTGGAGGGGAAAGGAGGAGAGTATGGTAATCCACGTGTTCCAAACAAAAAGGAGCAGGCAGGGCAACAGTCAATTATGTAATCCTCTGTACTTTACATAAGATAAGGCAAACACAGAGTAGCTACCTGTGGAGATATTGAACCTTCTATCTGTAGCTTCTGCTGAGGAACAAAAGGAAAGACAGCTTCCTGCATGACTCAGCTTTCAGCTTAACTTTTTTCATTTGGCATCGTGAATTAGGGTGTTAAGTTTTTATCTTCCTTTCACAGCATTTACTTGGTATCAGGTACAGTTCTAGGAATGAAACAGATAAAAATCCCTACCCTATGGGATGCACATTCTATGCTAAAAATAGTAAGTGCCAATAATGGAAAAATTGAAGAGAAATGTATAAAAGACAAGGACACTGGGATCTAATAGTTTCACGTTTTTGTTTTCCATCTTATTTTTATCTATTGGAGGGATCTACAAATAATGTTATACCCTGCCTTTTTGTTTACAGTATCAACCATATTCATTAAAAAAATCTCCTGTAAGCATCCTTTTAATAAGCCCATAAAATTCCTCCGTATGGATGTACCAAAATAAGCCCATCTACTTGTTTGCTGTTTTACATACTCACAGGAAAAGAAAAAGAACCTATCTGAAGACACAGAAGGAACAATCGAGTATGGACTGCTGTAATACAGCAGATGACCTTCATAATAATTCGTGACAATGAATTAGGAAAAATGCCTCACATTAATTTAGGAGGAATTTAAGGCCTATATTCTTAGTTCTGAATTAGTAATAAAAAATTACATGCAATTAGTAGAATTCAAATGCAATTAAATAAAAACTTACATTTTGAAATTCTTAAAATTATGAGTTGGCAAATTTTCAGAAATGTCACCAGTAAGATATTTCTAAAATCAAGTGCATACCATCAGTGTATTACACTCAACTCTTCTGACACCAACAATGAGCCCCTGCTTAATCTGTTTTGTGGGCAGAAGGGGGCAGGCATTTTCTTTCTTTTTTATTTTTTCTGAGGATGATGCAGTATATCCATTTATTTACTTTTCATAATGCTTCCAGCAGAGGGTCTATTCAGATTTTCCAGTACGTTTCTTTTTTTAAATTTTACTTTAAATTCTGGGATACATGAACAGAATGTGAAGTTTCTGGTATACATGTGCCATGGTGGTTTGCTGCACTTATCTACCCGTCATCTAGGTTTTAAGCCCCACATGCATTAGGTATTTGTTCTAATGCTCTCCCTCCCCTTAACCCTCACCCCCCGACAGGCCCCAGTGTGTGATGTTCCCCTCCCTGTGTCCATGTGTTCTCATTGTTCTACTACCACTTATGAGTGAAAACATGTGGTGTTTCGTTTTCTAGCTTCATCCATGTCCCTGCAAGGACATGAACTCATTCTTTTTTATGGCTGCATAGTACTCCATGGTGTATATGTGCCACATTTTCTTCTTCCAGTCTATCATTGATGGGCATTTGGGTTGGTTCCATGACTTTGCTATTGTAAATAGTGCTGTAATAAACATACAAGTGCATGTGTCTTTACAGCAGAATGATTTATAATCCTTTGGGTATAAACCCAGTAACAGTATTGCTGGGTCACAGGGTATTTCTGGTTCTAGATCCTTGAGGAATCACCACACTGTCTTCCACAACGGTTGAACTAATTTACACTCCTACCAACAGTGTAAAAGCATTACTATTTCTCCACAGCCTCGTCAGCATCTGTTGTTTCCCGACTTTTTAATAATCGCCATTCTAACTGGTGTGAGACGGTAGCTCATTGTGGTTTTGATTTGCATTTCTCTAATGACCAGTGATGATGAGCTTTTTTTTCATATGTTTGTTGGCCACATAAATGTCTTCTTTTGAGAAATGTCTGTTCATATCCTTTGCCCACTTTTTGATGGGGTTGTTTTTTTCTTGTAAATTTGTTTAAGTTCCTTGTAGATTCTGGATATTAGACCTTTGTCAGATGTGTAGATTGCAAAAACTTTCTCCCATTCTATAGGCTGCCAGGGAAGGCATTTTCTATCAGCTCCTAGTAACTAAGGACTTGGATATCCCTTGCTACAGACCATTAATAATTCGTTTCTATAAATATTTCAGACCAATAATATTTAGTTAGTTTACTAGCTGTGGAACACTATAACATTTGACTTTATGTAAACTCTACCAGTGAAGCATTTTGAAGCACAAAATCCTAACTGTACATGCTCCAAAGAGGTTTAAAGGAACCCATATCAATTTGGCTAGGGAAGATGGGCCAACAACTCCAGTATCAACAGAAAGAGCCAGGAAACCCTTTCACACTCAAGTCGAGTCCTGGCTGCATTTGGCAGTGTTCATTTTGGCTTGACCCTGGGTCAAATAAGTAAACTGATATGTAAATTGGCCTTAAAGAAAAGATCTGCCATTTATTGCCACTGATTTCCAAACTCCATGTACTCCTATTTCCATTTCCTCTTCAACCCTTATTTTAATTCTTCCTTCCATCTTTCCATTTTGGGGCCACTGGTGTGGGGGGTGCTACCTTGCAAAAAGATAAGGCAACACAGACTTTTTGTTTTCAAAACAAAGCAAGATAGGAAGGCAACACTGTGCAGTTAGAGTTGCTCAGGCTTTGGAGGTAGATACATGTAGGTTTCAATCCTGACTCTGCGACTTTCCAGTTCTGTGAGCTCTATGTTACTCTATCTCTCTGCGCCTCAGTTTTTTCACCCATAAAATGTGAATAATACCATCTACTTTCCAGGTTGTTCGGAGACTTGTTAATAATAACTGTTCTGAATCACGAAAGACAACAACAAAAACTAATCAGGAAGAGCCTGAACCAGGAGAAAGAGAAGGCACTGATAAGTGCCAAAAATCAGGATAGTTAAGAAGTCACTTTCTAGTTACATAAATATGGATAAAAGGATTAGCAGTGATTCTCAACTGGGCTCCAAAGAGAAATTACAAAGGACATAAAAAACTTTTGTGGGTGATGGATCTGTTTATTATCTTGATTGTGGCAATGGTTTCATTGAATATATGTGTATGTCAAAACTTATCATATTGTACACTTTAAATATGAGCAGTATATTGCATGTCATTATACCTTAATTAAGCTGTTTAAAAAATAAATATTCCATCAAGCCTTAATAATAGCATTGCAAAGAAATGAAGTAGACAATGATTATACTAAGGACCCACTGTCAGGAGAACATATACTGATGTTATCTTTGTGAATTACAGATTGTTGAATCTGATTTACCAGTATTTTTGTTAAGGACTTTTCTGTCCAGGGTCATGAGAGACACCATTTTGAAGTTTTTTTTTCCTCTGGTTTGGTATTAGAATTGTGCTAGTCTCCTCCTAGGATGAGTTGAAGTGTTCCCTTCTCCGTTTTTTGAAAGAGTATGGTTAAGATTGGTATTATCTCTTCCTTACATGTTTTATAGAATTTACCAGTGAGGCCAGACACAGTGGCTCATGCCTGTAATCCCAGCACTTTGGGAGACAGAGGCAGGCGGATCACCTGAACTTAGCAGGTTGAGACCAGCCTGGCCAACATGGTGAAGCCCTGTCTCTACTAAAAATACAAACATTAGCTGGGCGTGGTGGTGCACGCCTGTAATTCCAGGTACTCGGGAGGCTGAGGGAGGAGAATTGCTTGAATCTGGGAGGCGGAGGGTGCAGTGAGCTGAGATGGCACCACTGCACTCCAGCCTGAACAACAGAGGAAGACTCCACCTCAAAAAAAAAAAAAAAAAAATCACCAGTGAAATGATCTGAGTCTGGAGTTCTGTGGGAAGGTTTTCTTTTCTTTTCTTTTTTTTTGAGATGGAGTCTTGCTCTGTCTCTGAGGCTGGAGTGCAGTGGCACAATCTCGGCTCACTGCAAGCTCCGCCTCCCAGGTTCACGCCCTTCTCCTGCCTCAGCCTCCTGAGTAGCTGGGACTACAGGCGCCCACCACCGCGCCCGGCTAATTTTTTGTATTTTTAGTAGAGACGGGGTTTCACTGTGTTAGCCAGGATGGTCTCGATCTCCTGACCTCGTGATCCGCCCGCCTCGGCCTCCCAAAGTGCTGGGACTACAGGCGTGAGCCACCGCGCCCAGCCGGGAAGGTTTTAGATTATTATTATATTCTTCAATAAATTGTGGGTTATTCAGAGTTTCTATTTCTTTTTGTCTTTTTTTTTTTTTTTTTTGAGACAGAGTCTCACTTTGTCGCCAGGCTTGAGTGCAGTGGCGTGATCTCGGCTCACTGCAACTTCCGCCTCCCGGGTTCAAGTGATTCTTCTGCCGCAGCCTCCCGAGTACCTGGGATTATAGGTGCCCACCACCACTCCCAGCTAATTTTTGTATTTTTAGTAGAGATGGGGTGTCACCAAGTTGGCCAGGATGGTCTCGATCTCTTGACCTCGTGATCCGCCTGCCTCAGCCTCCTAAAGTGTTGGGATTACAGGCGTGAGCCACTGCGCCCAGCCTCCATTTCTTTTTGAATCAGTTTTGGTAATTTGTGTCTTCCAGGGAATTTGTCTCTTCCATTTAAATTGTCAAATTTATTGGCTTGAAGTTGTCCACATTATTCCCTTAGCCTCCTTTGAATGTATGTAGCATCTGTTAGTGATGTCCTATTTCATTCCTAATACTGGCAATTTGTATCTTTTTTCTTTCCTTCCTTCTAGTTATTTTAGTTTTTATTTACAGCTTCTTTTAATTTTTTTTTTTTTTTTTTTTGTAGAGAGGGGAGTCTTGTATGTTCCCAGGCTGGTCTCTAACTCCTGGCCTCAAGCGATCCTCCTGTCTTTGCCCGCCAAGTGCTGGAATTACCAGCATGAGCCCCCTCACTGGGCCAATTTATAGCTTCTTAAAAGATTAGATCACTGATTTCATACCTTTCTTCGCTTCTGCTATAAGCATTAAAAAGTACAGTTGACCCTTGAGCAACATGAGTTTGAGCTGCACAGGCCCACTCGTACAGGGTTTTCTTCCACATCTGCCGCCCCTGACACAGCAAGACTGACCCCTCTTCCTCCTGCTCTGCCTAGACAACAGGAAGATGATGCGGATGAAAACCCTTGTGATGATCCACTTCCACTTAGTGAGTAGTAAAAATATTTTCTCTTCCTTATGATTTTCTTAGTAACATTTTCATTTGTCTTTATAGCCTACTTTATTCTAACAGTACAGTATATAATACACATAACATACAAGATCTGTGTTAACTGACTATTATTGGTAAGGCTTCCAGTTAATAGTAGGATATGGGCAGTTAAGCTTTTGGAGACTCCATAGTTATATGTGAATTTTTGCTCAGGGGAGAGTCAGCACTCCTAACCCCCACATTGTTCAAGGGCCAACTGTACATAATTCCTGTAAGTGGTGCTTTAACTGCACAATATATCCCACAATATACATATCATAATGTATCCCACAAATAATTGTGGGATATATTGCATATTCACTCCATTGAAAATAGTTCCTAATTTTCCTTATAATTTCTTCTTTGATGGAAGCCTTATTTAGATATGCTACCAAATATTTGGGAATTTTCCAGATTTTCCTATTACTGATATTACTGAGGGGGACTGTTAACATTTCCAACTCTACTTGTGACATTTTTTCTCATTTCTGTCAGGTTTCGCTTCATGTACACTCTAAAGGTCTCTTTATTGATTGAGAACATTTGATTATTCTATCTTCCTGACGAACTGACTCCTTTATCATAATGAAAGGTTCTTCATCTCTGGTTCTACTTCCTGTTCCGAAGTCTATTTTGTCTGATATTCACAGTAGCTGCTCTAGATCTCTTATACTTAGTATTCGCATGTCTTTTTCCCTCTTACTTCCAACTTATCTGTGCCTTTATGTTTAGTTTCTTGTAAGCAACATATAACTGCCTTGCCTTTTAAAAAATTCACTCTGAATCTTTCTTTTAATTGGAGGATTAACCTGATTTGGAAGTCTAAATTCTGAAATAAAGTTAATGGTAATTCTTCTGGATCACATATGATTAGGTCATAGCAAAAGTTTTCTTCCCACTCATGAAGACATCAGAATGGCCCCAAACTAACCAAAGTCTTACCTTTCAAATAGCAAATGACCATAACTATTGGAATTCTGTCTTATCTTAGCCTTCCATCCTGAAGATTAGAGGAAATGGTTTTACTCTGAGGATGAATTATTGCAACAGAAATGAGTTTCTCTTTTCCTGAATGTCTGAAAAGAACAAATCAAGGCCAGGCGCAGTGGCTCACGCCTGTAATCCCAACACACTGGAATGCTGAGGTGGGCAGATCATGAGGTCAGGATATCGAGACCATCCTGCCTAACACAGTGAAACCGCGTCTCTACTAAAGATACAAAAAAAATTTAGCTGGGTGTGGTGGCGGGCGTCTGTAGTCCCAGCTGCTCGGGAGGCTGAGGCAGGAGAATGGCCTGAACCCGGGAGGTGGAGGTTGCAGTGAGCCGATATCGCGCCAATGCATGCCAGCCTGGGCGACAGAGTGAGACTCCATCTCAAAAAAAAAAAAAAAGAACAAATCAAAAATGATCTGGCACTCTGGGTTAAGTCTACTTCTAGTAGACACTGCCAGATAGACAACCTGTACTGAAATCACATTTAATTCTCCCAAAATGAGTTTCCATTATCTTTCTTGAGATCTTCCTGTACCACAACATCTAAAAGCATATCATCTTTTGACTAGGTAGCAAGCCATTATGTGCTTCTCCTAGGTATTTATCTCATATCTCTACTGGATCACTTACCTTTTTATTTTATAATTATATGGGACTCTTTGAGAGCAGGGATTCTATCTTATTTATTTTTAATCCTAGTACCTAGCACTGTAACTGAGATGTTGTGGGCCCTCAATAAATGTCTGTTGAATGAATGAATGAATGAATGGGACATAAGACAAAGACCTCATCTACAATAAATGTGGCTAGAAATTAATCTAAGAGGCCAAAACCAAAAAGCTAATGAGGAGGAGGAAGGGGGCAATATTCAACCTGTCAAATCTACCATCTCTCTGATTCACCAAAATGCTACATTTCCATCTGGAACACAATGCCAGTATCTCAAAAATTTTATTTTATTTTATTTTATTTTGCTAATAGCAACATCAACAGACTTCCTGTGGTTAGAGGATTATAAAAACAAGAGTTCCTTGGAGCTGCATTTGCACCACTTGTGTAAGATGCTGTAGAACCCTGGCGTATGCTGGGGCTGGCCCTTCCTGCAGAGGCTCTAACAGAGACTAGCCAGAAACTAAGAAAGTCAAGGCTGATCACTGGAATAGGGAGGCAGGGGAACATCACAGATGAGTAGCTGAAGTAGAACCGAGAGCTAAACAGGAAAGAATCAAGAGACTGAAAATCAGAACAAGTGAGGTTAGAGGCTGTAGCTTGAGTTACATTATACCAGTGTTGGCCTCTTTGTAGCTAAAGGACACATTACAGAGAGGAGTCTGGCATCTGCTTTGAGGTCCTGTTCCTTCCACGGCACAGCTAAGCTCCTGAGTGGGTCACGTGGCTGCTTCCTTCTATCTTAGTATGCTCCAGGTCTTGGAAGACAAGTTTGGTCCTTCAGAGTTAGGACAGGTACTGAGGTAGGGCTAAAACACTTCCCTAAGCTCCGTGATTTGGTTGGTATTGACAGACAGTCTGAAGTTTTACAGTACAAAAACAGTCAGAGAGATGTTATGGTTCAGTGAGAAAGCACTCACATTTGCAAACCAGTCAGATCTGGGTTTTTATCTTGTTCTAGCTTTTCCTATCTATGTGGTATTAGGCAAGATACTTAAACCCACCATTTCATCAATGAAGATATCAAGTAGAAATTTCATAATATTGTGGCAAGAGTTAAGTAAAAATAATTTAGAAGATGCCTCCTACTTCATAGGTGGTTATTTCTATTCAATTGATAATGGGAAACTTGATTGGAGTCTTGTAAATATAAATATGCTCTTCTGGGTCCTCTGGGGAGGACAAAGGGAAGATGGAAAAATATCCACACACGCACACACACATGCACACACCCAAGGCCTATCTATACCTATTACCACCCATACAGGTCAAGGACACCAAGGAATGTAGCTCCTTGACTCATAGAGCAAATGTCAGTGTGTAGTTATGGCACACATGTCTAAGTTCAATACTAAAAAGTTGAAAGTCTTTATATGTAGTTCTATCAGCATTTATAATAAACTTGGTAGGGTCAAAACAAGAAACTATAAAGTTCTACCTTCTGGCTTTGAGGCCCTTCCCCCTCATCCAGGGCCCCATCCTCTTGCTGGTCATAGGCAGGGCCTCCCAGGATTCGGATTCTCTTCTCACACTGCTTCTTTGCCACAGTCAGTTGGTTGATGTACCTCTTCATGTTCCTGGCCCTCAGGAGATCAGCTTTCATTGCCGCAGTTTCTTTACCTTGAATAGGAGTGAGAAACAGTACCTGGTCAGAGGACAAGGCATGAAAGGACACAGCAATTCAGAACCAGATCAGTGTCTGCTGTGGGCATTCTGAACCAAGTGGATACTAAACAAAATAACAGAACAGAATCCATGATAAATACATATACATACTCCCAAATAAAAATGCCAATCATTTCTAAATATAATTTCTAAATATACCACTGACAAATCTTACCCAAAGGTAAAACATTTTTTTAAAAAAACCTCTGTACAAATGCACTCACAAATCTGTGTGTGTATTCTTTAACATCTTTATATGAATGTGTACGTACAAATACTCATTCATAAGCATGTACTGGGTGCTAGTTATGTGTCAAGACACCAGCTAGGCTTTTGAGATTGAAGACCAATTGTTGGCTCTCATGGACTTTTAAGAGTCTAGCAAGTAAGAAATCCAAAGAGAGGAATCCAAGCACCTATAACACGGGCTATAAAGAAAACATGCAGATACCACTGAACTGTTTAACAGAAGATTCTAACTCAGGCTTCTTTGAGGAAATTATTTTAAACAAACATGAATAATGAGTAGAGTATGGCAGACAGAAAGAATAGCGAGTGTCAAAGTGAGAAACAGGCAGGAAAGAGAACAGAGCTTTCGAGGAACTGAAAGAAGGCCGTTAGAGCAGGTGCAAAAGGAGCCAGAAGATCCAAAATAACTCTGATGCTGGCAGAAGCCATGAGGTGCACAGCCTTTCAGGCCAGAGAAAGGCTCTAGCCCAAAAGTACTGAGAAGCTTTAATGGATTTTAAGCAGGAATGTGCCATAAATGTATTTGTATCTTTCATGATTACATAGGAAGCAGGATAAAAGATAGGTTGGAAGAAGGAAGGCTGCTAGGAGGAGGACCAGCTAGAAGACCATTGCAGTACAACTGAGGAGGGAGATAGTGATGGCCTACACCAGGGTTATGGCAGGCCAGTAGAGAGGACAAGAGGATGTCTGGACCCAGTGACTGGCTGGGCAGGGTAGAGGGTAGGTTGCCGAGGAATTAAAAGGTATCAAATATGGCTCCTAGGTTTCCAACATGAGAAGCCAGAGGGATGGTGGGGCCAATTACTAAGCTAGAAACACTGGAGAAAAAGCAGGTTTGTGGAAGATGCTAACTCAACTCTGGACAATATGGCAGGTGATATTTTCCAAAAACGGCTGCAATGTCTTCCATCTCACATGCTCTTTTTACGATGTCCCTCTGACAATCTGCCTCTGCAAAGTAGAATATGTTTCCTTTTCTTGAATCTGGTTGGGGTTACGAATATGACGAAAGTGATGCTATGACTTCCAAGGCTAGATCATAAAAGACCAAGGGCTTGGAGCTCTGGGTCACTATGTAAGTGGCTCACCTGCCCCGAGGCTTCCATGCTTTGAGGAAGCCTAAGCCATCAGTCCTTGGAGAGATCTATATGGAGAGGAACCGAGGCTCCCCGAACCACAGCTCTGGCTGAGATCTCAAGCTCATATTCAGCACCAATGAGGCACCGTGTGAGTACACCATCCTGAAAGTAAACCGTCCCACCCCAGTCAAGCCACTCCAGCTGACGTCACGTGACACAGAGAAGAGTCATTACTTCCAAACCCTGCCCAGATTGCAGCTTCATGAGCAAAATAAATGGCTGTTGTTAAAGACACTATGTTTTAGGGTAGTTTGTTACACAGTAAAAGACAACCAAACAGGCAAAATGAGTCTGCGGGCTTCTGAGCTACCTAGGTGGAGAGAGAAGGTCTAGAGTTCGGAAACATTCAGCTCTGGGATAGTAAATGACATCATGGGAGTGTGTGAGACAACCCAGGAGGAAACAAATAATCCTAGACACAACTGAGATAAACCTTACTCTTAAGAGTAAGGGGGAAGAGAAGCTGACAAGGGAGATCGTAAATATATCCTCATAAAAGTAGGTGTTTATCTATGTATACACTGCTATATCCCCAGCACCTACAACAGTGCCTGGCAGCAAAGGAGACGCTCATTAAACAGGAGTTGAATGGATCAATGAACTCTCAAATGGTACATTTTGCTAATATGTATCAGGTATTGTGTTCTTTCTAGAATTTGGGGCTGAGGAAGAAAGAAAGAGGGTGAGCATCCTCAACTCCTACTCTTCAAGGACTCCTATCTGGCTTCTAACGCTCCCTCCACCAAATCTGCTGTTGCCAAGATCACTAGGGACCCCCAGGTCAAATCCAGTGGAGAGTTTTCAGAAGAGTCTGCAATCAGAGTTAGGTTAGAATCCCGGCTCTGTTACTTACAAGTTATGCCACGTCAAGCAAATATTTTTTCAAATTTAAAACCAGTAACAATGTTTTCTCAAGTTGACATATCATTTAAAGCAAAAGCAAAAAACTCATAAAAATTAATTTTTAAAAATGACTAAACATTTGAGTATTACAGCTTGTGGAGAATGGGCTGGCTGTGTATATATACCTGAAGGCAAGGGTTGGGGTGAGGGAAGGCATGTTTTTGTTTTAAGTGAGAGAGAACTGAACTGGTTTTAATGCTGAGGAGAAGAAATCAGTTAAAAGTAAAGAGAGGTGTGGGCCCGGCGTGGTGGCCCCCACCTGTAATGCCAGCACTTTGGGAGGCTGAGGCAGCAGGGTCACTTGAGGGTAGGTGCTTGAGACCAGCCTGGGCAATATAACTAAACCCCATCTCTACAAGAAGTTTTTTAAAAACTTAGCTAGGTGTGGCAGTGCATGCCTATAGTTCCAGATACTCAGGAGGCTGAGGAGGGAGGTTCACTTGAGTCCAGGAATTTGAGGTTGCAGTGAGTGATGATCCTGTACTCCAGCTTGAGCAGCAGAGCAAAATAAATAAATAAATAAAAGTTGAGAAAGGTGACAGACAAGGAATGGAATCCAGAAGACAGGTGAAGAGATCAGAGATCAGCTTTGGAGAAAGGCTACCTCCTCCACTGTAGTAACATGGAAGGCAGAGCAGGTGGACATTGGATATGAGGAAGTTTGCAGACATAGCTGGATGCCAGAGTAGTTCCCTTTATATGGATTCAGTTTTGTCCAAGTAGAGAGCAAAGTCGTCTGTGTGGAGTGAGGGGGTAAAAGACTGAGTGATCAGAGGCCTGAGGTAAAGGGGCAAGTGTGGAATCTCTCATGCAAAGAGAGCTCAGCAGGACTGCCAGGAATGCTCAGGGCCCAGAGGACCGCTAGAGAAACAGAATGCTCCTCCCTAGGCATGGGAACTACATATCTGGACAGGTGAGAGCACACTCTCTGGAGGTGAGTCAGCACATACCTCGCTTAGATATGAAACTACCAATGATAAAAGAGCATTTGTGTTTTGTCTCTTGGTTCCCACGAGTGCAGTCTAAGTAATGGTTTGCACATCCTCCCAGCTGGAGACCTCCATCCGGTTCCCTAGGATGGTCATTACCCATCTCAGGTCCCAATTAGTCAAATGTATAACATAGCACTCAGGGAGGCTGCAAAATTAGCTGAAAAAACTTAGACACAGCACCATAATACGTTTTTATCAGAAGCAGCTTTTCCGGTACTTAACACAAAGGGCCACAGGCAGGCCTCAGGTCAATACATGGACTTGTTCAAGATGATCTGTCAGGTATTATCAGACATCTTTTCATCCCATTTTCATTTACTTCAATAATGGTTTCTGAACTTGTGTTATACTTGGCCAACAGTCAGGACCTGCCTAAAGAACTCACTAATTTAGCATTTATCTCAACAGGAAAAAAATAGTATTTCAGAGACTCCTTTGTGGGAGGATGAAGGTAAATGTAGTTTGCCCCAAAATTAGTCTATTGCAAACTAAGATGTTTTGTGAGTGTACCTAAGGAAATGCAAGCTTGGAAGACCTAATTTTTCAAGAAAACTTTTACTTTTAAAATATATATCCTTAAACTTCATAGTTTGTGTATAATGTTTAAGTTAATCTAAAAATTCTGGGACTAAAGTTGCCTCTTATTTATAAAACAAACCTAGACCTCAATTTTAATTTGGGGTTAAAACATGTTAATAAAGAGAGAGAAATATAGGAGAAAACTGACACCCATTTACCAACCATTACATTCTTTTTACCCAAAGAGAGCTTAAAACGCCTTTCTAAAAGGACAAAACCTAGAAGAAAATTCCAAAGAGAAGTAAGAAAGAGAATAACCCTTCCCTAAAACCCAGCTGCAAGGCTGGGAAGAATGTTTTGGTGCTCCGCTTAAATGTGGCTTGCTCACGTGAATGCGTTCTGTTTGATAATGGGCCATACAATGCCATTGTCTGATCACAAAGCTTGTTGCTAACAAATGCAACAGCAGCTTGTTGCTTAGATGGTTCTGTTTATTTTTGCCTCAGAAAGCGAATGCCACATTCAGAGCTAAATGACTAACGTGGAGCTCATGCATCCCATGCTGCTGGCATGCAAAAATCCTTGTAAATCCAGTGATGCAGATGAATACATTTCTTTGTGGCCTTAAAACCCATTCATCCAAGAAATATTCACATCAAGAAAAGTATAGGCGAGTGGGTGTGTGACAACACCCCGTGACCCAGCTCATGCCAGAGTTATGTGGCTGTTTCTCTATAGAGTGTTAAGTAGTAACACTGTGCATTGTTAGAAACTGGGTTAATCACACAACATTTAATCTAGCTTTAAAAAGAAGTGGCCAGTGAAACACCGGATGGCAGTGTGTCTTTAAACTGGTGCCAAGATGAACACACACATGATGTTAGGTTAGTGCAAAAGTAATCACGGGTTTCGCCATTACTTTTAATGGCAAAAAAAGTGATTACTTTCGCACTAACCTATAATATTCCAAAGCAATTAGTTCAAATATTTACTGTTTTTCCGTCTAGATAGTCTAGGTTCTACTGAGATCAGAGCAAAAGGAAATGGGTGAATTTGGGTTCATTTGGTGAAAAAGACATTTATATTAGACATTAGGTAAACCCTTTTGGCTACAAAGACATTACAACAGACTTACGAATAACATCACAGAAATGCTTTTCGCTATAAATCCCCTGCCCATGATATAATTCTTCCTTAAGCAAGTGAAGTGGCTTGCAGTAAAACAAAAACAGCAACATCTAACGACAACTGTTAGATGCTATTTCTAATGAGGCAGCAGAGAGCAAAGTAACTTAAAGTGCAAACTCATGACTCCAGAAATAGTACAACTGGATTAAAATGGCACCACTGTGCTTTTCAGGTATAAAAAAAGAAAAACACCAACAGTAGAATATTTTCCTTCCCTCATAACATGCTATCATGTTCCAGGGCATATCATAATGGCAGCATCCTCAGCAGACTCACTGAGGGATTTAATGGATAATACAGGGCAGGGTTTCTCAACCTCAGCACTACTGACATTTTGGACAGGGTAGTTCTCAGCTGTGGGGGGCTGTCCTGTGTACTGCAGGATGTTTAGCAGCATGCCTAGCCTCTACCACTAGATGCCAGTAGCATCCCTTCCCCCAAAGACGACAACCAAAAATGTCTCCAGACTATTGTCACATGTCCCCTGGGGAGCAAAACTGCCACCTCCTACCCTCCACCTGGCCCCACTTAGCAGTGCTGATACAGAGGTACAACCTGCTCCTCTAACAAGAAGGTTAGAGCAAACAGAGGACAAGGCCGCACCCTCCTTCCCCTTCCCTCACTCCTCAACATGGGCTCTCTTCTCTCCTCTGCCCAGGATGCTCAGGTCTTCTCGTGAAATGCAGGCAATCGACATATGGAATAGAGACTTCCTCCCTAGAAAATGCTGGTTCTCCAATCAACTGTATGTGCACTGACAGACTAACCAGCTGTTGAATCTTTCTTGTATATTCAAATAAAAGTTTTAGGCTGGATGTGGTGGCTCATGCCTGTAATACCAGCACTGTGCAGGGCTGAAGTGGGAGGATGGCTTGAGGCCAGGAGTTTAAAACCAGCTTGGGCAACACAGCAAGACTCTGTCTCTATAAAAAAAAATTTAGGCCCGGTGTGGTGGCTCACGCCTGTAATTCCAGCACTTTGGGAGGCTGGGGCAGGCAGATCACATGAGGCTGGGAGTTGGAGACCAGTCTGATCAACATGGAGAAACCCCTTCTCTACTAAAAACACTAAATTAGCCGGGCATGGTGGCGCATGCCTGTAATCCCAGCTACTCGAGAGGCTGAGCCAGGGGAATTGCTTGAACCCAGGAGGTGGAGGTTGAGGTGAGCCGAGATGCGCCATTTCACTCCAGTCTGGGCAACAAGAGCAAAACTCCATCTCAAAAAAACAAAATAAGTTTAAAAATTAGCCAGGCGTGGTGGCATGCACCTGTAGTCCTAGCTACTCAGGAGGCTGAGGCAGAAGGATCACTTGAGCCCAGCAGGTCGAGGCTGCAGTGAGCCGTGATCACTAAAGCCAGGAGTTTGAGGTTACAGTGAGCTATGATCACGTCTCTATGTTCCAGCCTGGGTGACAGAGTGAGAACATGTCTCTAAAATATAAATAAGTAAACAGAAGTTTTACTAAATCCTCTTGATGGAAGGGTTCAAGAAACAGGTATATATTTACTTAGGGACTAGTCAAGATTTGAAGTGAGAAATGGTACTTGACCTCTTAACACAAAGCTGGCAGCAATTCTCAGTAGTTACCAATCATCACAGACTTCTTCAAAATTATCTAGAAATCACCTCAACAGTTGCTAAGGAACTCAAAAAAATATTTGCCTTACTTTTCAACCTGAGGCTGGTATGTCCTTTTTTGAAAAGAACAAATGGGCTTCTCTTACCACTCTAAACACCTGAGATTTCATAGTCTAACGTGTCACTCCACTTCAGTGGAGAGTATATTTGAGGAATAGCAGAAATCGTACAGGAGTTGATGGCGGAATCACTCACTTTATGATGGAGAAGAGTACAGAGACACATGGACTTTGTGCAGCCCGGCCAGGGTGTGCCCACTGTGTGCCCTGCCTTGCTTTTTTTTTTTTTTTTTTTTTTTGAGACAGAGTCTCGCTCTGTCGCCCAGGCTGAAGTGCAGTGGTGCAATCTCAGATTACTGCAAGCTCCGCCTCCCAGGTTCATGCCATTCTCCTGCCTCAGCCTTCCAAGTAGCTGGGACTACAGGTGCCCACCACCACGCCCGGCTAATTTTTTGTATTTTTAGTAGAGACGGGGTTTCACTGCGTAAGCCAGGATGGTCTCGATCTCCTGACCTCGTGATCCACCCACCTCGGCCTCCCAAAGTGCTGGGATTACAGGCGTGAGCCACCACGCCCTGCACCTTCGTTTAATGTCTTGGTGCTGGAACTCCTAGCACTCCCCTTGGTTTAAGGCCCTCCAACAGGCTTGCAATATGTTTTTAAAGGAATAATATAGCAATTAAATCCACATATAAAATTACAAGCAGAACCCCGTTCCCAAATCAGCACTGTGAGCTGAGCAGATTTGAGATATACACCCGGAACTCAGATCTGACCCATACAATGCTTGTTGTGAGCAGGAGCCCAGGACGAAACTCAGGAGACTTGGGCTCAAGTTTCGGATTTGTGTGTGACTAACTAGCTCTATTCAAACCAGGTCAGTTGTTTAACATCTCTGGACATGAGCTTTATTTGTTATAAAATGCAGGTGTTAGAGTCTACGAGGACTAAAGTTCTTCTTGGGGAGAGAGGGTGAGTAGAGTTGGTTATAAACTCATGAGACTATAGTGAGTGCAATGGAAGTGCCCGAGCCCACAGACCTTCAGGCAGGGAATGAGTGGGGGCCAGGTGGTGACAGTGGGGAAGGGACAGCAGGCACTGGAGGTAGTGCTGGAGGTTCAAGGACTGGGCAGGGAGGAACCCTCGCAAGAGCCCTTGGGGCAATGGCAGGGAAACAGCCTGAGAGGTGGTTGGCTCTAACAGAACACCACAGACTGCATGGCTTTCGAACAACAGACATTTACTCCGCACAGCTCTGGAGGCTGGAAGTCCACAAGCAAGGTGCTGGCAGAGTCGGCGTCTCCGCACCACATCCTCACATGGCAGAAGGTGCAAGGCAGTCTCTGAGGCCTCTTTTATAAGGGCACTGCAAGGAAAACCCAACTCCAACTGCATTTTTCCTTTGCTTTCACACCACAACAATCAATACCAAAGACTTCTGTGACCAAATGTGTGGAGGTTTTTTCCCCAAACACCAAGCTAGTGCTGGGTGTCCTCTAATTCAATTCTGGTGCTCTCCACTTAAAGACAGTGCCAGATCCCACAGGGGGAGGGTTCAGTCCCCAAGACTGCCCCCCTACAAGACACTAGTTGCAAGTCTAGGCCTCCAGAACTTCTGACCAACCAGCTTCAAGTCAGGGTTCCCACAGCCCCCTCTTTGAGTTTGATTAATTCACTACCACAGCTCACAGAACTCAGGGAAACTCTTACTTGCATTTACCAGTTTATTATAAAAAGTCTGATGATGTAATCCCAGCACTTTGGGAGGCCAAGGCGGGTGGATCACTTGAGGTCCGGAGTTCGAGACCAGCCTAACCAACATAGTGAAACCCTGTCTCTACTAAAAAAAAAAAAAAACAAAAAAAACACACACACACAAAATATACAAAAATTAGCTGCATGTGGTGACGGGCACCTGTAATCCCAGCTACTCAGGAGGCTGAGGCAGGAGAATCACTGGAACCCAGGAGGCAGAGGTTGCAGTGAGCTGAGATCACACCATTGCACTCCAGCCTGGGTGACAGAGCAAGACTCCATCTCAAAAAAAAAGAAGAAAAAACGTGTGACTAAGGGCCAGGCATGGTGGGTCACGCCTGTAATCCCAGCACTTTGGAAGGCCAAGGCGGGCCAATCACTTGAGGTCAGGAGTTCGAGACCAGTCTGGGCAACATGGTGAAACCCTGTCTCTATGAAAAATACAAAAATTAGCCGAGCGTGCTGGCGCATGCCTGTGGTCCCAGCTACTTAGGAGTCTGAGGCACAAGAATCGCTTGAACCCAGGAGGCAGAGGTTGCAGTGAGCCTAGATTGTGCCACTGCACTCCAGCCTGGGCAACAGAGTGAGACTCTGTCTCAAAAAAGAAAATAAAAAGTAATAAAAAAGTCTGACTAGGATACAGATGAAGAGATACACAGTGCAGGCGCCTGTAATCCCAGCTACTCAGAAGAATGGGGCAGGAGAATCACTGGAACCCGGGTGGCAGAGGTTGCAGTGAGTCAAGATTGCACCACTGCACTCCAGCCTGGGTGACAGAGTGAGACTCCGTCTCCAAAACAAAACAAAGGTAATAAAAAAAAAGTCTGACTAACGATACAGATGAAGAGATGCACAAGGCAAGGTACGGGGGAAGGGGTGCGGAGCTTCCATGCCCTCCCTGGGTGTGTCACCCTCCAGGAACCTCCTTGAATACTGTCATTAGGCCTTTTATGGAGGCTTCAATGGATAGGCATGACCGAAGACAACTGTGTTGAAATGTGATTGGACAAAAGGGGTGTGATCTAATACTAAGAGACTGAGGAGGACACCCAGCAAGGCCCGCCTGTTTAGATTCTTCTTGGCCTCTTCTGTGTAGCATTTCTTCTTTTGGGGTATGGGGCAGGACCCTCTTTGGAATGAGGGTCTTATGACCCATAGTCAGATGACAGTCCTGCCTTGGGCAGGTGAAAGGAGGGTAGGAAAAGGTCAGAGAGGGAGATTCTGTTTCCTGAGGTCTGCTTCTGAGGCCTAAAGTGCCCCAACAGTATAATAAAACACTGTAACAAGGGCTATGTGAGTTACGAGCCAGGAACCATGGAAGAAAACCTGTGTGTGTGTGTGTGTGTGTGTGTGTGTGTGTGTCATAATAATCATAATACCACAGGCATTAATCCCATGCATGAAGGTGAAACCCTCATGACCTAATCACCTCCCAAAGGTTCCACTTTGTAATACCATCACCTTGGTGATTAGGTTTCAACATATGAATTTGGGGGGACATAAATATTCAAACCATAGCAGGACATTCTATGAGTTTAGGTCATTCATAAATGTGGAATTGTTTGTATCACTTCACTGCAATGTTAGAAAATCAGATCACATCAAAACTTTAGAAAAGACCCGGAGAAGTCCACAAGAGTCCATAATTAGCTAGCTCTCTTTTTTCAGGCAGGGACACCTTTAAATTCTAGAATGGACAAAGAAGCTACATAACATCATTAAAAAAAGAATTCGTGGCCAGGCGCGGTGGCTCACACCTGTAATCCCAGCATTTGGGAGGCTGAGGCGGGTGGATCACTTGAGGTCAGGAATTCAAGACCAGTTTGGCCAGCATGATGAAACCCCATCTCTACTAAAAATACAAAAAAAAAAAAAAAATAGCTGGGTGTGGGGGCAGGCGCCTGTAATCCCAGCTACTTGGAAGAATGAGGCAGGAGAATCGCTGGAACCCTGGAGGCAGAGGTCCAGTGAGCTGAGATCGTGCCATCGCACTCCGGCCTGGGCGACAGAGCGAGGCTCCACCTCAAAAAAAAAAAAAATTTCCTAGTGGACATTGTTATGATTCTTATCAGCAAGTAACAGTGTCTATGTGTTTGTGTATGTACACATACATATTCAACATATTCTACAGTTCTAATTGACAAATTCTAAAACTACTTAGTTACAACACTTTAAAAACTCTAATTACACTTGGGTAAGATATACAATTTTTAAAAATGAATAAAAAGGCGAAACCTCCTCATCTGTACCCTGAGTGTATCACTCCCAAGTGTGTACTATTTATACACAGCAGTTTCCAATGTACTCAAATCAACCTCATGTTCTTTGCTGTAGTAAGCTGAATGAACATGACTCTTGAATCACCTTAAATATGCTTGATAACATGTCAGGATTCAGAACAGCAAAAAAGAAAGCTTTAAAGGGAGATATGCTGGGCTCATTCACATCAAACTGCAGGGGAAACCTGGTTTATGTCCCATAGCTACTAGAATTCCTACACTTGGCCAGCTTATTTTAATAGACCATTTCTCAACTACTCTAGCTGTTCTGTCTAGTTCTAAATAAAAAGCTAGGTAGTTGGGTACTAAAAGGCAAATATGAATATATCAGTGGCTCTGTATCATCTGCAGCAGTGGTTCTCAGTGTGATTCCTGGACAGGCAGCACAAGCATCATCAGGGAACCAGTCGGTAATGCAAACTCTGGGGCGCACTCGAGATCTACAGAACCAGAAGCTTTTGGTAGGGGTTGGGGGTGAGCAATCTGCGTTTTAACAAGCTCTCCAGTGAGGCTGACGTGCACCATAGCTTGAGAACCACTGCTCTACAGCATTACGTCCAGGCTTTCTAGGATAACTCCCAGGCCCTTTAGGCCTTGTCTATTAATCTCATCTCTCCACTGCATATCAAGCACGAGCACATGATCTCATCTGACCTACCTACGTGCACAAGGCTGCTTCACGATTCTCTTTTTCTATGCGCATGTGCCGCCATCCACCCATATCCCCTGACAAGCCCAGAGGGAATGAATGAGAGCCTCTCGCCTTTATGACTCAACTCAGCGTTACTCTGAAAAAGAAGTCTTTCTTGACCTCTGCTCCAGGTAGGGCTGACCACCCCACACATCTGTGCCACTGCTAAATCCTGAACACACAATTCTCACTGCATTTATCAAGTTGCACTGTCGTTTTGCATGTGTGTTGACCATGATCTGAGGGTACTGCTGTACCTAATACACAATGGTACTCAAGAAAGGTTGAGTAACTGAAAACCCACTTCTGGTGGATAAGATTTCCTCCAGAGTACATTCTCTACTGCCATGACGGATCTAACAGCACTCAAGAGCTCTTGTTTATCCAGGATCCAGGGAGGGAGGGCTGTGAACAATGAAGAAAGAGACAGTAGATATAAACTATAATGAATAAGGAGGAGTTATCTAGACAGAGTGATATCGAGAGTAGGGTAGCACTTCAAGAAGAAGAAACAGAATGTGCAAAGAATACAAGGCACAAGGAATCAGGGTGAGTTCAGGAAATAGAAAAGTTAATGTGGCTGGAATGCAGAGAGACAGGGTGGAAGGGCAGGAGATGAAGCTGAAAATACAGCCAGTGACCAGAGGAAGCAAGACCTTGTAGATCATGTCAAGCGTCTTCATTATAAGAAAAATGGGAAGACAATGATGAGTTTTAAATACAAAGGTGACATAAGCTATGTATTTTTTTAAAAAAAATCACATGACTTCAGTATGAAAAATATATTATTTTTTCATAGACAGAAAGAAATGTATGCTAGGAGGCCAATTAAGAAGTTACTATAGGTCAGGTGTGGTGGCTCATGCCTGTAATCCGAACACTTTGGGAGGCCGAGGCGGGTGAGTCACCTGAGGTTAGGAGTTCGAGACCAGCCTGGCCAACATGGCAAAACCTCATCTCTACTAAAAATACAAAAATTAGCCCGGTGTGGTGGTGCATGCCTGTAATCCCAGCTAGTCAGGAGGCTGAGGCAGGAGAATTGCTTGAACCCGGGAGTCAGAGGTTGCAGTGAGCCAAGATTGTGCCATTGCACTGCAGTCTGGGTGACAGAGTGAGACTCCATCTCAAAAAAAAAAAAAGAAGTTACTATAATAGTTAAGAGGGCGACTGGTGGTAAAGGATAGTGGTGTACAGACAGGGAACAGAGTTAAGCTACATGTAGGTGGTCCATCTGCATAATAATGGACTGGATAAAGTATACAAGGGAGAAGGAATCAACAAGGTTGACTTAGGTTTGTGGCTTGTATGAACAGATGGTGTTATGGACTGAATGTGTCCCTCTAAAATTCATCTGCTGAAATGTTAACTTCCAATAAGACAGTATTAGGAGGTAGGCACTTTGAAACATTTAGATGAGATGATGAAGGTAGAAGCCCCATGATGGAGTTAGAGCCCTTATTCAAAGAGAAAGACTAGAATTCTCCTTCTCCCCACTCCACCCTACCACGTGAGGATATAGCAAGGACGCCATCTGCAAACCAGCAAGAGGGCCCTCATCAGACACCAAATCTGCCAGTACCTTGATCTTGGACCTCCCAGCCTCTAGACTGTGAGAAATAAACGTTGTTTAAGCCACCCAGTCTGTGGCATTTTGTGACAGCAGCCTGAATTGACTGAGACAGATGATGATGCCATTCACTGAGGCAAGAAATTACAGAAGATGCCCAGCTATGTGAGACTTTATGTGGACATTTTCATTTGGAGCCACTTTTGAGATATCCAAACAAAACTGTTGAGATGGCAGAGATTAAGTAGAAAGGTACAGGATCTCTGCAGACAGAAATTTGGAGTCTTCAGCATACAGATAAGGGAAAGGATTAGAGTAGGGCAGTGCTACCCAACATAACCTCTGTAATGATGGAAATATTCATAATGCACTATCCAATATGGCAGCCACGTGTGGTTACTGAGTACTTGAAATGTGGCTGATGTAACTGGGGAACTGAATTTGTACTTACTTTTAATTCATTTAAATTTAAATAGTAACATGTAGCCAATGGCAATTATATTAGGCAGCACGGGTATAAAATAATTAGGTATAAAAGAGTTAGGAACAAACCCTGAAGAACTCCAACATTTAAAAGCTGAATAGAGTAAAGAAAATAAGCAGAAAAATCAACAAAAAACTAGAATAAGACAGGGAGCGTTAGCCCAGGCAGTGGAATTTCAAGAAGACTGAGCAGTCAACAATATCAAATGCCGCAGAAAGGTCAAAGAAGATGAACACTGAAAAAAGCCCATTGAAATTAGCCAGTTAGACTCACTAAGCTCCCCAAATTCTATGACCAACAGGCAGCTGATGTAATCAGTGGGTAAATTTTAGGCCTCAGTCAAAACATGTGGCCAGGTTTGAATGATAAAATAGGGGCAGGGAAAAGAAAATTTTGCGAGCAAACTAAAACTTCAGAGACTAATTGTTTCAAACTGTTTCGTACTTGTTAAGTTTTCTGTAAAAGCTTTCCCTCTAATTATACCTAATGTAATTTTGTTGCCCATAGGACAAAGACCTGACTTAGCTGGTCTCAAAAAAAATTTTTTTTTTAGTTCTATGATTTCAATTATTTTCCCCAGAATTAATTGTATTAAAATTAAACTAGCTGAGGCACCAAAGATTTTTAAAATCATACTTAATTTCTTTAAAAGACCAAAATTCCAAAAGAAAAAGGCCATCAAGAAAAAAATCAAATAAAAATTTCCACCTTGTTAAGGAGAGTAATGTTTCTCTCTCTAAGACAAACTAATCTACTGTGAACCTAAAACGTGCAGTTTTGGGTGGATTTTCTGGAGTGTGTTGAAGCCTCAAAAGCCTTATTTTGAACTGTCCTAAATATACAAAGTAAAGAGCTCTACGGGTTGTCTTATGTCATCCTGAACAAAGGCAATACGGTTAGCTGCTGCTGTGGTTTGAATGTTTGTGTCCCCTCCAAAATTCATGTTGAAACTTACTCCCTACAGTATTATCAGGTGGGGCCTGTAGGAGACGACAAGGCCAGGATGAAATGAAATTGGTGCCTTATAGAAGGGCTGGAGAGAACTAGCTAGGCCCTTATGTCCTTCTATCATGCAAGACACAGCAAGCATTTGTCCCCTCCAGGAGATGTAATAAGAAGGTGCCATTCTGGAAGCGGAGAGCAGCCCTCACCAGCCACTGAATGCCGCAGGCTTGATCCTGGATTCCCAAACTCCAGATAAGTAAGAAATAAATTTCTCTTCTTTATAGTAAATACCCAGTTTGTGGTATTTTGTCATAGCAGCAGGAATGGAGCGAGACAGCGGTTAACCCCTTAAGGTTTCAGAGAGTTAACAATCAGGTAATTTCTCCCAATCTGCTACATGGCATTTTTTCTTTAAACCCTCAAAGTATTTTCACAATTGCATATCATCTCTTGCATCACAACATCAATTATGATTCAAAAACACTTGCCAGGCCAGGTGTGGTGGCTCAGATTAATCACAGCACTTTGAGAGGCCGAGGAGGGCGGATCGATTGAGCCCAGGAGTTTGAGACCAGCCTGAGCAACGTGGTGAAACCCCATTTCTACAAAAAATACAAAAACTAGCTGGATGCAGTGGTGTGCACCTGTCATCCCAGCTACTCGGGAAGCTGAGGTGGGAGGATCACTTGAACCCGGGAGGTCAAGACTGCAGTGAGCCGTGACTGCACCACTGCACTTCAGCGTGGGTGACAAAGCCAGACCCTGTCTCAAAAAAAAAAAAAAAAGACTCACCAGAAACATCTTTATATGGAACAAAACTATATTTATATTGTGTGTATTAATGTATACTACATTCACAAATACAGTTCCTATCTCTAGGTTGAATACTAAACGTTCCTAGGATCGTCCATCTGTTCATTCTTCTTTTAAACTTCTTCAGTTTCCCACTTATAAAAAAGAATGCAGCAATAAGGAGAAAGAACATTGGAAACAAAATTACTTACAACTTACTTTTCTCTGGTTCTTTGTCTGATTTTCACTAGATCACACTACCTCCAAAATGCAAAGATCTCCAAAAACAACTCAACAATTATATTTTGGGGAGATTTTTTAACGCTAAAAATTTGGCTTTCTTTAATGACTTTTATGGGAGGGGGAAACACATTCTTATTGAAATAAATTAAAGGGAAGGTCAATCTGAGAAACAATGACATAGGTATTTTTAATGCAGCTATCTAGAACCATTCTATAAATTAGCCTTTTATTTGCCAGCCATACATCAAAACTCCAAAGACCACAGAAATACAAGAGCGACTTCCTGTAACATCCAATAAGTTACTACATACTGAGTTAAAAGAAAAAGTAAGGACAACGAGGAATGCTAAATTTGTTCTTATTTTTTCTTAAAAAAAAAAAGTATCCGTACTTAAATTATAACTTAATTATTTAAAATTGAAAGCACCTACATATGAACTTTAATGGGGAGACAGCAGAGGGTATAATGAGTTAGCGGAAGTCACTTCAGATTGTTAATACATTGTTCTGCTCTAATAATGCGGCAGCATCAGCTTTACTGATATTTGACTTGGAAATAGCAGAAACAGAAGACTATTAACTACTGTCTCTATAATGGTAACTTCCAAATATTTCTCTTCAGGTTATTCTCTCTCCACAGCATGAATCCCAGCTTAGAAATGCCAAACAAGGAGTTTCCTATGCCCCTCTTGCCCCAAATCCAGGATGTCCAAGACCAAACTCCTACATAACCCCTGACTCCTTCAGTATCTTCATTGAGAACCCTTTATGATTATCTAGAGCACTCAATCTAAAGATGAAAACAACTGAGTCCTAGAGAAATAAAATGACTTGTGCGGATTCCATCAGGAAGCTAGCAGCACAAGAGAACTTGAACCAAGGCCCCCAAGTCCCTGTGCTAGGGCTTTTTCTTTTACACCCTAAACTTGATCTCACCAGCCTGCAGCAATGGGACACAGCAGTAGACTGGAAGGGATGACCTCGCTGAGCAAAGTGTTTTGAGCTGCATTTATGCGTGCTTGATACTTACTCCTTTTGATCAAGGTGATTTACACTAACTGACAGCTGTTCCCTCCTCTGTAAAGTCAGCGGATCGCACCAGCACTATCATTCTCTTGGATCCTTTGTTCCCATCTTCCGCGAGTCGCTAAGCAGGCTGTTGTCCTTCACGATCTTCCTTATCAATCCCTTCCTTTTCACTAGCATTATCCAGGTCCTAGATTGCAATACCTTATTCCTACTTGGTGCATCGGCCTCCTAGTTGGAATACTCCAAAGATATTTTTTAAAGTTTTCATCATTTATCTATTTTTTCATTTTCTGTTTATAAACGATCGTGTTTTACATTGTTTCTCTAACTCTGTTAGTGCTGCAATCCCTCATGGTACTATTTTGAAATGTTTTCATTACTACAAAATTATGAATATGAATATGCCTGAATCATAACCAGACCATAACCATAATGTAAATAAAAACAGAAAAAATTAAAAATCACCTTTTGTCAAAAATTTTCTGTAAAATTTTAAACATCTAATAAATGACATAAAAATACTGAATACCTTTTTAGAATTATTCAATAAAAAATATAATGTAAATACTACATCAAAACATCTTAGCAACATACACTGGAAAGTGACCTGCTTTCTGTCTATAGGTTTGCCTATTCTGGACATTTCATATAAATGAAATCATGCAATATGTGCCCTATTGCATCTGGCTTCTTTCACTTAGCATATGGTTTTCAAGGTTTATTCCTTTTTATTGTTGAATAATACTCCCTTGTCTGGATATACCACATTTTGTTTACCCATTGTTGATGGTGATTTGGTTGTTTCCAATTTTTGCCTGTTATAAATTATGCTACTATAAACATTCAAGTTTTTTGTGGAGATACAAATTCATTTCCCTTGGGTATACACCTAGGAGTAGAAATGCTAGGTCACATGGTAATTCTATGTTTAAAATTTCGAGGAACTGCCAAATTGTCTTCTATTTTCCATTTCCAACAGCAATGTATAAGGTTTCCAGTTTCTCCGTATCCTCACCAACAGTTCTTATCTCTTTCACTTTAGCCACCCTAGAAGGCATGAAGTGATGTCCTGTGTTAGTTTCAACTGGGTTATTGCTCTTTTGATTATCGAGTTATAAGAGTTCTTTATATGTTATGGATACAACCTTTTTATCAGATACATGATTTGCAAGTATTTTTCCTCCACTCTGTGAGTTGTCTTTTCATTTTCTTGATAATGTCCCTTGACAAACATAAGTTTCATTTATTTCTTATTTTTGAGATGGGGTCTGGCTGTGTCACCCAGGCTGGAGTACAGTGGTATGATCACAGCTCATTGCAGCCTTGACCTCCTGGGCTCAAGCAATCCTCCCAGCTCAGCCTCCCAGGACTACAGGTGTGCACCACCACACCTGGATAATTTTTAAAAATTTTTTTGTAGAGACAAGGTCTTGCTATGTTGCCCAGGCTGGCCTCAAAACTCCTGTCCATGGCCGGGTGCGGTGGCTCATGCCTGTAATCCCAGCACTTTGGGAGGCTGAGGCAGGCAGATCACCTGAGGTCAGGAGTTCAAGACCAGCCTGGCCAACATGGTGAAACCCAACCTCTACTAAAAATACAAAAAAAAATTAGCTGGGTATGGTGGTGGGTGCCTGTAATCCAAGCTACTTGGGAGGCTGAGGCAGGAGAATCGCTTGAATTTGGGAGGCGGAAGTTGCAGTGAGCCGAGATTGTGTCATTGCCCTCCAGCCCGGGTGACAAGAGCGAAACTCTGTCTGAAACAAACAAACAAACAAACAAATAAACTCCTGTCCTCAAGTAATCCTCCCTCCTTGGTCCCCGCAAAGTGCTGGGATTATAGGAAGAGTCACTACACTCAGCCAAGTTTTTCATTTTTAATGAAGTCCAATTTACTTTTTTCCCCTCGTCACTGCTTCCCTTCATTCTTACTAGACCCGAGAGCACTGATTCCATGGAACCTGTCTTTTTCTGGACATGAAGGCATGTGCTGGCTGGAACTACCTATACAGTTCCAGCTAGTCTACTTTTTGCCAAAGTGTTTTTTTCTAACTTTGAACCCTATTATAGTCTTAAAAGAGACTAATGTAGAAAAAGCTAAATAGTGATACCAGAATTAACCCAAAAGGAGAAAAGGCAGAAAATCTTAATGTGGTCAGAAAGCTTGCTGAAAAGAGATATTTCTAGCATTTTCACACACACAAAAAAGGGAACTAAATGCTATACTTGAACTTACCAGTTATAATGCAGTGGGTTGAATTGTGTTCCCAAAAAGATATGTTGAAGTCCTAATCTGCCCCCCATACCTACTAAAGCGATCTTATTCGGAAATGGGGTCTTTGCCGACGTGATCAAGTTAAGATAAAGTCATGCTTAATCAGGGTGGGCCCCAATCCAATATGACTAGTGCCCCTGTTGAGAAAACAGAGACGCAAAACCAGAGAAGAATATCACGTGACAACTGAGGCAGGGATTGGAGTGACATATCTCCAGGCCAGGGAACACCAAGGATTGCCAGCAACATGGAAAGCTAAGGCACAGACATGGAAGAGGCTCCCCCAGCGCATTCAGAAGCAGCGTGGCCCTGCCAAAGCCTTGATTTTAGACTTCTTGCCTCCAAAACTGTGAGAAAATACATTTTTGTTGTTTGTGCCAGACAGTTTGTGGTACTTTGCTATGGCAGCTCTAGGAATTGAGACAGAAGAACCTTTTAAATATTGTATGATTCTACTTATATGAGGTACATAGACTTGTCAAACTCAGAGAGACAGAAAGTAGAATGGTGGTTGTCACGGGCTGAGGGGAGTGGGGAGAGTGGAGCTATTGTTTAACGGATACGAAGTTTCAGTTTGGGAAGATGAAAAGTTCCGGAGATGGGTGGTAATGATGGCTACAGAACAGTATGAATGTAATTAATGCCACAGAACTGTACACTTAAAAATGGTAAATTTTGTTACGTATATTTCACCACAATTAACCCTCTTCTCCCCAAAAGAAAAATCTTTTTTTCTAAGGAATGTGAGCTCCTTTAAATGATCAGGGCCAGAAAGGCATTTAGAACGTAACAGAGGTCATGTCACACTTCCCCATGAGCTAAATAATTACTTCTTGAAGCCACTTCTCTTCAGGCTCTAGACTAACGCCAGGTAGCCATAAAATGTCATCCACATCACTGTTTAACTGTGTACAGCCAAGCACTAACCATTGTTCTTTCTGTAAACCCATGAGAATTCCTGACCACGTTCGTAACTGCCCCCTTTCCTGATTTGTCTTTTTTTCTTTAAAAACTTGAGCCTCTCTTTTTGTTCTCTGCAGCACTCAAGGCAACCTGGCAGTGTGTCCCTGGCTATAGTCCTCAACTTCCGCACTTGAATAAATTCTCTTTAAACTAGATTCTGACCTTTTTGATCATTTTAGGCAGAGAGAAACTAATACTTAAAATAAACCAAACACTTCAGTTATAATTAAAATTCAACCAGAATACACCGTATTAAGAGTAAATTCTTGACAGTTACTTTGTCCTTATATATAAACATGTACACACATTCTCATGCTAAAATTTCGTATTAAGCACAAAGCACGTAAGAGTTTATCTAAGCAGTTTAACTTTGCAAAAAGCAGGAAGATTAAAATCCACTGGAGCATTATACTATGCAGACATAGAGGCTGGAGGTGACAATCACTGCTAACCAGTAACCTCAGAGAAGCAATGAGACCAGTGTCCAGTGTTTCCTGTCCCAGGCAAAACGGCTCCAAGGCCCCAAGAGTGCTTAGTTTGTTTGTCTTTTCCTCAGTGCTTAAACAACAGAAGGAAGCCAGGATACCCAAAAGAGTTGCAAGGACAGCTTAGACGGAAAACACAGACACTCAAGAATCAAGGGTCACTGAGAATGTCTGTAACATAACTGTTATGGGCTGAATCGTGTCCTTCCCGCACTCCCAAAACAAATTCAGATGCTGAAGTCCTAACGCCAAGTACCTTAGGATGTGGCCTTATTTGGAGACAGGGCCTTTGCAGAGTCAATCAAGTTAAAATGAAGTCATTAGATGGGCCCCAGTGCAGTATGACTGGCATCCTTGTAAGAATAGAAAACACAGACATGAAGGAAAGACAGGTACAAAAGAAGGACAATGTGAAGACACATGGAGAAGATGGCCATCTGCAGACAGGGAGAGGCCTGAGGCAGGTCCTTCCTCACCGCTCTCAGAAGGAACTACCTTGCTGACACCTTGCTCTTGGGTTTCCAGCCTCCAGAACTGTGAGAAAATTAATTCCTGTTGTTTAAACCACCCAGCTTGCACTTTTTAATGGTAGCCCTAGCAAACTAATGGAATAACAAAATAAGAAAGGTATTTTGCTGACTGAACTCAAAGAGGGGCACTAAAAAAGATTACAGTGGCAAGGCAGCACACCTCTCCAGTGTTCTCTTTCAAACAATTATCCATCTGTCTGGAAGTGAAGCATCTTCTCTGCAAGAACAGTGATAAAAAGGAGAGGAACAGAGTCCACACTCTTGCAGGAATTCATCAGATCAAGTCTCCTTAGCTCAAAAGCCCATTTAAAGACGTCCTCATTCAGAGTAAAATCCCAAGTCCTTGCAGTACCAGTTGGGCCTTTGTGACTGGGTTCCCTGCCGCCTCTCTGAGCTCGTGTTTGGCTTCTCTCCCTTTCTTCAGCCCCATCAAGTTTCTGCATCAGGATTTGGCACCTGCCCTTCTCCAGATACCCCCAGGCTTCCAGATGACTGCTCAAAGCCCACCATCTGAGTGAGGTCTTCCCCAACTAACTGAATGCAGAATTAGCCTCCCCTGCAGCAGAACCAGCACTCCCTACCAGGGCTCCCCGCATCACAACTTTGTTTTTCTCCAAGGAACATGTGACCACCTGAAATAACACATATTTTTTTGTTGATTGTCTGACTGCCTCCCAGCCTAGTTTAGGGAATCGGAATGCAGAGGTTTTGTTTACTACTGTATCATTATCACTCAGTAGGTGCTCAGTAAACACTGCTGAATGGACATATTTGCACAGGCTTCCTTACAGGCTGAGCTGAGGAATCAGTGCCTCTTCATAATCTATACCTATATTTGCTTTGTACTTGCTCCTACCTTCTGTCAGGCTCAGGGAGGCAAGTCCAGGTCCAAGTCCCCAGCCCAAGCTTCCTTTGCCTCTGTGTGCTCATGAGAAACCTGAAAGCATGCTTTAATGTCTTTGGCCCAACTCTTCCCCGTTCTTTTAGCACTCTACTCCCTCTCCTTGGCGGAGACTTGAGCAGGCCTGGAGGTTTTTGTGGAATGTCTGTTCTCCAAGGTGAAAGCAGTGTTTGCTGCCTCTGAGCTGCAAAGCCAGACCTGCTCTGCACTCTAGATTTTAACACGTTCTCTACCTTTGTACATGCAAAGGGGAATATTCTAGCATCAGGCAAACTACAAGGGAGTTGAGAGCCATCCTCACACCTTAATTATTCTTTGGTATCATGCCTGGGAAAGAATCTTACTTCACTGGAAGAGAAACAAACAGGAAGAAAAAGATAGAGCAATATATATATACACCACCCCCCCACCCCCCAACAAAACCTACAACACAAGAGTGAAAAGAGAGAAAAAGCTATTAGCAATCCAATGCTTAAATAAAGGAAAAAGATTTTATAATTCCTTAAAAAAAAGCTTAAAAAAGGAAAATAAGGAAAAGATTAATTATGAAATCTCAACTTATTGGAGTCATTTAAATGACCATCAAGATTATGTTTCAAGATAGAAATATTAAATTTCAATATGTGAAAAAAAGTATGTAATCATGTTTAGTTTAAAAACAGAACAGAAACATATACTGAATGATTTTAGCCTTCTAAAAATTATGACTGCAGCTGAATAAAGTTTATACGGGAATACAGAAATACAGACAAAGGTTGTTGTTAGGATGAAATTATATTTACTTCTCTAATACTGTAATAGTATTGTTTTTAATAAATTGAAATATTTAAATGTAAGCCAGAAAAGCTCCTATTTGCCAAAGATCTGACAGGTGGGAGAAGGCCGGGGATCAAGCTGACCTTTCAGATGTGGAACTGAAGAAAACAACCTGGCTCTTACCTTTGTGCCTCTTCAGTTGGGGAAAGCTGCTAATTGTAGTCGCCTGGATTATTTCCACTACAATTTGATACCTGATTTTTAAAAAGAGAAAAGAAAAAGATTTAAGAGGAAGAAAATACTATTTTCAGAAATAACTTTAGACTGTATTTATACTAAACAAATGTAACACAGGAGCTGTGAATCCTGCCCAAGGCTCCATAAAATAATCCGACATAGACCGAGCATCTACAATAGGCCGGGCCCCATGCCACGCGCTAGTCATTCTGAGGCCCTCACGTAAACATCAGGAGCCTCCTCACTTCCACTCTGTTCCCTATACCAGAAGCATAACTACCTGTAGAAACTCTGAGGTTATGCTCAGCCTCCCTCTCCTCCACAATCCTAGGTGAGCAGAGCTAGCTGATTCTACTTCTTACATTGGCACTGTCTAATAAGGTGATCATGAGCTACATGTGGCTATCCAATTAAATTAATAAACGTTTAGTTCCTCAATCACACTAGCCACATTTCAAATGCTCCACGGTACCTGTGGGCTTGTGGACCACACCGGGCGGTGCCAAGTAGAACATTTTCTTCACTGTAGAAAGTTCTACTGGATGGTGCCGTCTTAAATAGTTCTCAGAACTGCCCTCTCCCCTGCAGCCCCACTGCCCTGCCTGAGTGCAGCGCCTCATTGCTTCTCATTTAGAACACGGTCCCAACCCAACAGAATCAAAATATCTGCACCAGGACTCGCATCAGTATTTTTAAAGCTCTCCTGGCAATTCTAAGGCACACGGAGAGCTGAGAAGCATGAGATTAGAGCACCAGCTATATATATGTGTGCCTAAGAAGACCTCCAAGTCAGGAAAAATAAACATAATTCTACATTTTAAGTGCTGAGTACAACCCTGGAGTTGTAGCTATTTTGAGCATAAATTCAATTGGGCTTTACAAATCCAAATTCTTAAGAGTCCTTTAATGGTTACTAAGTATTGCCCTAATCAAAGTGGTTTATCCTGAGTGTTTCTTAGCCCTTAATTATATGAATTAATTAATTTCATCTGCTGGTAATAAAGTTCTTTAACATTAATTCTTACTTTGAACAAAAACCGTGCAGTGTTCTAAGATTTAATGTTACATCTGCTGGCTTTTAGAGCACACAATTACATACATTCTTTTGCTTTTCAACTAAAACCCAGAGGAGAGACAAATTTATCTTAGTCATAGCTACTCATGGACTCCTCACAAATTTGCACCTTATTTTTTCATTTGGATAATATAAACATCAGTGGCTGACTCTCAGGACCTCAGAGCAGGCTGTCAGGAGCAGTGTTGGCATGCCAGTCAGAGATGGTGGCAGACACTGCCGGCTGCCTGCCCAACGTCCAGTCTCCCTTCCTTCCTTGTTAAGTGACCTACAGTTTTATCAGGGAAAGTGACATACCCAGCTAAAAAGACTAGCTTTCTTCCCAGCAGTCAGAGATGGCCAGGTGATACCATTCTAGCCTTGGAGACAGGCAGGAGTCACCGGGTAGGGATTCCAGGAAAGCAGGCTAAAAGCAGCCTCCGCAGAAAAGCCCTTTCCAACTTTAGTCCTCACCCTTCCCTCATTTTTCTGTGTAAAACAAGGATGCAACTGGATAAAGGCACAACAGTACCTTACAATCATGAGGGTAAAAGCCACAGGCCAGGCCGGGCACAGTGGCTCACACTTGTAATCCCAACATTTTAGGAAGCCGAGGGAGGATTGCTTTGAGGCCAGGAGTTCAAGAGCCTAGGCAGTATAGTGAGATCTCATCTCTACAAAAAATTAAAAAGTTGGCTGGGAGTGGTGATGCATGCCGGTAGTCCTAGCTACTATGGAGGCTGAGGCAGAAGGATCAATTGAACCCAGGAGTTCAAAGTCTCAGTGAGCTATGATTGCGCCACTGCCCTCCAGCCTGGATGACAGAGCAAGACCCTGTTTCTTTAAAAAACACATAACAAAACAAAACAAAACAAAACAAACCCCAAAACAGAAAAAGGCCAGGTGTGGTGGCTCATGCCTATAATCCCAATACTTAGGGAGGCTGAGGTGGGAGGATTGCTTGAGCCCAGGAGTTTGAGACCAGCCTGGGAAACAAAGGGAGACCCTGTCTCTACTAAAAATAAAAAAAAAAAATTAGCTGGGCATGGTGGCGCACACCTGTAGTACCAGCTACTTGGGAGCCTGAGGCAGGAGGATCACTTGAGCCTGGGTGGTTGAGGTTGCAGTGAGCTATGATTGTGTTACTGCACTCCAGCCTGGGCAACAGAGCAAGACCCCGTCTCAAAAACACAAAAACAAAACTACAAGCTAAGGATGATGCAGTAAGAAGACGGGAGGAGTTCAGGGTTCCAATTACATCATGAACCATCAAAACAGCCCCTAACTACCAATCTCAGGACATGTGGTGACATGGGGAAAATAAACACCTGCCTCATTTAAGTTGCTGTATGTCAAGCTGTCTTGTGGCCAAATGCCACTCCAACTGATAGAGAGCTTTCTGAGGAAGACTTGACGTGCTTCCACACAGCAATTCCAATCTCAAGTATTTATCATAAGGTAACAGTTTAACAAAAGAAAAAAATCAAAATGAAAACCCAAAGCCCAAACTATCACATACATGTTTGTTGTAGCAAGTTCTACAAAGAAACGCACGAAAATACTCATGGTCAATAATGAGTATGGCCAATGATGCTTTCATTAAACAAACATTTCTTAATCTTTTCTTACGTTCCAGACACACAGAAATGAACACCACCAATATGGTCCTTGCTTTCAGGACATATCAGATTAAACAGAAAGCATCCAGCCAGTAATATTTATAATAATAAAGATTACATGAAAATAGATGTTTATGACAGACTAATTTTTAAAATGAAAAATGGCACATACATTTATGATTGCAGATATGTATCTATGTGTATATATGAGCCAGGGCTACAAGGCAAAATAGAGATGAAATGAATGGCAGTTGTGTTAAAATGGTAGACTTATGAGTCATTTTTAACTTTTTCTAAGCTGTTTTATCTATGTACCTATGTATCTAAGCCTATTCAAG